>NC_000013.11:112148370-112453300 GCF_000001405.40 Homo sapiens
GACCCCCATGTGATGGTCCCTGTGGAAGCCCTGACTCCCAGCGTGATGGTATCTGTGGAAACCCTGACCCCTGTGTGATGGTACCTGTGGAAGCCCTGACTCCCAGTGTGATGGTATCTGTGGAAGCTCTGACCCCTGTGTGATGATATTTATGGAAGCCCTGACCCCTGTATGATGATATTTGTGGAAGCCCTGACCCCCATGTGATGGTCCCTGTGGAAGCCCTGACTCCAAGTGTGATGGTATCTGTGGAAACCCTGACTCCCAGTGTGATGGTATCTATGGAAACCCTGACCCCTGTGTGATGGTACCTGTGGAAGCCCTGACTCCCAGTGTGATGGTATCTATGGAAACCCTGACCCCTGTGTGATGGTATCTGTGGAAACTCTGACCCCTGTGTGATGGTACCTGTGGAAGCTCTGACCCCTGTATGATGATATTTATGGAAGCCCTGACCCGTGTATGATGATATTTGTGGAAGCCCTGACCCCCATGTGATGGTCCCTGTGGAAGCCCTGACCCCTGTGTGATGGTATCTGTGGAAACCCTGACCCCTGTGTGATGGTACCTGTGGAAGCTCTGACCCCGGTGTGATGATATTTATGGAAGCCCTGACCCCTGTATGATGATATTTGTGGAAGCCCTGACCCCCATGTGATGGTCCCTGTGGAAGCCCTGACTCCCAGTGTGATAGTACCTGTGGAAACCCTGACCCTTGTGTGATGGTACCTGTGGAAGCCCTAACTCCCAGTGTGATGGTATCTGTGGAAGCTCTGACCCCTGTGTGATGATATTTATGGAAGCCCTGACCCCTGTATGATGATATTTGTGGAAGCCCTGACCCCCATGTGATGGTCCTTGTGGAAGCCCTGACTCCAAGTGTGATGGTATCTGTGGAAACCCTGACTCCCAGTGTGATGGTATCTGTGGAAACCCTGAACCCTGTGTGATGGTACCTGTGGAAGCCCTGACTCCCAGTGTGATGGTATCTGTGGAAGCTCTGACTCCTGTGTGATGGTATCTGTGGAAACCCTGACTCCTGTGTGATGGTATCTGTGGAAACCCTGACCCCTGTGTGATGGAACCTGTGGAAACCCTGACCCCTGTGTGATGGTATCTGTGGAAACCCTGACCCCTGTGTGATGGTATCTGTGGAAACCCTGACCCCTCTGTGATGGTATCTGTGGAAGCCCTGGCCTCCGGTTTGATGATATCTCTGAAAGCCCTGACCCCCAGTGTGATGGTATCTGGAGATGGGGCCATTGGGAGATAATTAGATTTAGAAGAGGTCATAAGGTGGAATCCTCCTCCTGGGACCAGTGCCCTCTTAAGAAGACACAACAGCTCTCCCTCTCCCCCACCCCACCACCTTCCCCCTGTGAGGACACAATCAGAAAGCAGCTATCTACAAGCCAGGAAGGGAGTCCTCACCAGGAAGTGACCATGCTGGTGCCTGATCCCAGACTTCAGCCTCCAGAACGGTGAGAAATCAGTTCCTGTGGGTTGACCCACACAGTCTATGGTCCTTTGTCATGGCAGCCCCAAGATGACCAACACAACTGGCAACAGACAGCTGGACTGCAAGGATCCACCAGATGCCATGGTTAGACATTGACGTGGAAAGAGAAAAAAAATGTGTTCTGTTTAGGACAACTATTTAGTGTATAGGTCAGCTTCTAAAACAGAAGACAGAGAAATCAGACAGGTTGCTATTGTGGCATATTTTCTGCAGTAGAATATTAATATAAAGACTTAGAAGCCGGCGAGTGCATGCCAAGATGAAGTTATTAATAAGAACAATACTCCACAGCTGTGTGTACTTTTCCTTCGAGAAGAGGTTTACAAAACCAACCTGCAGGAAACAAATATTCATGACTACCACCTGTACTTTCAAGATGAAGAAGAAATCAGCCACAGAGATACTTTTTTTAAGGGAAGATTTTACAAGGTCACACATCAAGGTAATGGAAGAACTAGAAATAGAACAGTGTCAGGCTCCCCCCACCGGCACTGCCGTGTCCATCCCGCCGCTGAGAGGCCGCTCGATGGCACTTAGAGAACAAAATGTGAAGTCCTTCAGCTCCCACATCCGGCTCGGAGTGCTCCTGGGTCTAAAATTCCTTGGAACCACTTGCAAACGTTTTCTACTTCAGGCAATGGTCACATTCACATTCCTTAAGAAGATGGGGATGGAGTCCTTCCTGCCCCACCCCACCCCAACACCCACACACCACACACACGCACGGCAAGCACACACATACACACACACACACGTGCACACACACACGCACACACGCATGCACACGCGCGCACACACACGCACAGCAAGCACACACACGCGCACAGCAAGCACACACACGCGCACACACCCCCACGGCAAGCACACACACCCCCCCACAGCAAGCGCACACACACACCCCCACGGCAAGCACACACACCCCCCGGCAAGCACACACACACACCCCCACGGCAAGCACACACACACCCCCCCCACGGCAAGCACACACACACCCCCCCACGGCAAGCACACACACACCCCCCCACGGCAAGCGCACACACACACACCCACGGCAAGCACACACACACCCCCCCACGGGAAGCACACACACACACCCCCACGGCAAGCACACACACACCCCCCCACGGCAAGCGCACACACACACACACCCACGGCAAGCACACACACACCCCCCCACGGCAAGCGCACACACACACACCCACGGCAAGCGCGCACACACACACCCACGGCAAGCACACACACACACCCACGGCAAGCGCACACACACACACCCACGGCAAGCACACACACACACCCCCACGGCAAGCACACACACACACACCCACGGCAAGCACACTGCCACCTGGGTTTGTCTGGACAGCATCTCTAGGCAGGAGGTGGTGTTAGCACTCCAGTTTACAGAGAAGAGCCAGCCAGGCCTGGAGCAGGTGAAATAATTTGCCCAGTATTTCATGCTCAGGATGATCTATCTGGTCAAGGTAACAAGAAAACAAAACTTTCAAAGCAAACATAAATGCATTTCACCCAAGACTTGAGTGCTGAATCCAGCTATGCTACTGACAGCGACATCTTGAATTTCTGGGTGTTATGACTTCAACTGTGTCTTTCAAAAAGATACACTAAAGTCCTGAGCCACGGCACTAGCATGCTCTTATCAGACAGATGGGAGGCCTAGGGCACAGAAATAGCCATTCTGCAGATCCATTCAGTGTGCAAGTATTAGATGTGTATCTTAAAGAGAAGCATGAAAAAAAAAGACAGTAGCCTTTGCACCAGCCTCAGATTTCTGTCATCATGTGGCTGATAGGAGAGTGACCTCGAACACCCTGCTGGCCTGGAGATCTGGAAGCTGCACACCCACAGAAGCCAACCCCTTCTAAGCGGTGCAGTGAGGGGGGCCTGCCTCAGGCCCACAGCAAGCTGAAGTGGATGCCGAGGATCCGGCAGGACCCCCCGCCCCCTGCCCCACTTAGCTGCACCCTTGCCTCACACCCCTGACCTCTTCTAGACACATGCCTGTTGGGGCCAGAAGAAACCAAGACCGGAAACTCGACGAATAATGGCAATGGATACACCCACCCTGCTGGGGTATAGGAACACATGGCGATCCTGACACTTGTCCCAGCTCTTCCCAAATTGTTTAGACTTCCTTTTAGATATTTTATTGATTATTCCTTGATTCTGAAAGCCGTACACACTTACAAAAACATTCAAGCATTTCACAATTGCATAATGCATAATCGGACAGTTCCCTAATACCTCCCTTCAAAGGTAACTGTAATTACCAGTTCAGTGGAATGCTCTGAGTCAACACTAACCTATTTTCAGTTGTACGCTAAATGAGAAGATAAGGAAGAGGAAAAAATGGAATGCAAAGGATGGTGGGATTTTAGGAAATTGTGAAGTTAAGGCTTCTTGACTCCACTTGCTCTGCTCTTTCCCCACACCGTGTTTAGGCACCAAGCGATGGAGCCCTGGGGATGTCCCAGCCAAATGTCCACTGCAGGGCTATCTGTTCGTCCCAAATGTGCGCTCCGGGGCTGAGCACTCACCCCAAATGTGCGCTCCGGGGCTGAGCACTCACCCCAAATGTGCGCTCCGGGGCTGAGCACTCACCCCAAATGTGCGCTCCTGGGCTGAGCACTCACCCCAAATGTGCGCTCCGGGGCTGAGCACTCACCCCAAATGTGCGCTCCGGGGCTGAGCATTCACCCCAAATGTGCGCTCCGGGGCTGAGCATTCACCCCAAATGTCCGCTCTGGTGCAAAAGCCACTCTGTTTTCTCCCACGTCTGTTCAAGACACACATGTAATACTTGTATTCCGAGTGAATCTGCAGGAAGGCTGTCTCTGCGCCTCAGGCCTCTCATCTCTCTGATAAGAGCACGCTAGTGCTGTGCTTCAGGACTTTAGCATGTCTTTTTGAGAGACACAGTTGAACTCATAACACCCAGAGTTTCTAGGTAAATTTCTTTTTGTTTTTGAGAGAGGGTTTCACTTTGTCACCCAGGCTGGGGTGCAGTGGAATGATCACAGCTCACTGCAGCCTCTGCCTCCTGGGCTCAAGTAATCCTCCCACCTCGGCCTCCGAAGGTGCTGGGATGACAGGCATGAGCCACCGCACCCAGCCAGTTTCTGTCTCTTAAGGAGCTGGGTTAGAATCATGAAGGGAAACACCAACCACCTGTCCTTTTCCCATGGGCGTCGTTCGCCTCCAGGCATGCTCCCTGCTTTCCTCCCCGGATGCCCGTCTTGGCTTATTGAGCTAACGGTCCATCAAGACTTCCAAGTGTAAGGCTGAAGAAGTTCCTTCCAAAGCCAATTTCAGGAAGAATCCCTCAAATCTGGAAGCTGCTTCATGGTACATGATCTGTCTGCCCCAGGTGGGGCTAGGAATCCCCCTTCCAGTCTCTCTCTAGGGAGACAATAGATGTTTGGTGATAAACTGGTTGGTCCGCTGAGTTAAGCTCAGAGGTAGATTGATGGGTTACACTAACATTTATTAAAGACAGACTGCCTGCAGGTGCGAGGGGCACGGAATAAGGGGAATAGACAGAGTTTCTGCCTTCTTAAACCCTAAAAGTAAAAGCGAGGAAGAGAGATGGAGCCTCAGCTTGGAGGCTGAAGCCTGCTGGGCGTCACCCAGAGCAGGCTGCTCCAAGGGACTGACCCTTACACCGAGTCCTGAGCAGTGGCAGGCCCTGTCCGGGGGAGAGTGCGGGTGTGTGCTGTGGGCAGGTGGAGGAGCTCCCAGCTATGGGGCCAGCAGCAGTGCAGAGACCTGGGGAGGAGAGAGCCGAAGAAGCCCACTGTGGCAGGAGAAAAGAGGAGGAAGAGTGCTGTTCACACCTGACATTTCTACGAGGCTTTAGAATCAAACAAGCATGGGTTCAAGTCTTGGCTCTGCTGTCTTTGCCTAGTGACCTTGGGCAGGTGAGTTACCTTTCCTGAGCCTCTGTGTGTTTGTAGATAAACAGGGGCAACAGCACCTGCTCTAGAGGGCGGCGTGAGGGTTGGGTGAGTGTGGAGTGTGGAGGCCTTTTCCGAGCTGGCCCGTGTACCTGTCCTGCTATCCTGTTTCCTCCCACACACACCTCACACTCCATCCACCCTGACCTGCTCATGGTTATCCAGGCACAGCAGCCCCTCCAGCTGTGCACTGGCCCTGCTTCCCAGAGGCTGGGCCCTTTCTCCATCTGAGAAGCTTCTGCCCTCCTTCCAAGCAGCTCAAGCATGGCCTCAGGGTTCCAACCCTGCCACCCAGCCCTGCCCCACAGAGTCAACGCCCCTCCTCTGTGTCCTGTGTGCTTCTGCCTGGTGGCCTTTCTGTGCTTCCCCGGAGGGCTGTGCCCCAAGCAAGTCCTGGGCACACTCCCGACACAGGTGCTCCACACACTGCAATTGGGAGCAAGTAAATTAAAGGGGCAGGGGAAACGCACACTGGAAAAGTGTGTAACAAAGGACGAGGCTGTCAATGTAAATTTGGACCAAATCAAGGAAGGTCTTGGCTGCTCTGCTAGGGGCCAGGGCTGTGTTCTGTAAACAGTGGGGGTCAGTGAGGGTTTCAAATGCAACCGTGACACAGCCGGCGGGGTCCCAAGCACAGCTGTCCTTAGGATCATCTGGGAGCTTCTAGAAAGCACTGATAGCCTAGGCCCCACCACGCACCAATTCACCTGGAACCTCTGGATGTGACTTTTTTCTGACATAAAAGAATGTTTGCCAGGGGCTTCTCATCTGCCACCAGATGGGGAACCTCTAAAGTTGGCAGGCGAAGATGAGTGACTCCAGCAAGGGCTGCTGCCAGCTCCCGGCCAGGAGGACAGCAGCATCTGCCCCTGGACAGCAGCAGGGAGGTGTTCCCCACTGGCAGGGCAGGACCAGCGAGCCAGCCACCAGGACAGGAACTGCCATGGGGGGTGGGTGTGCAGGCAGCACTGACTTGAATTACAGGGGTCTCTCCATGAGGGGCCACAGCACGCAGTGCCGTGCCGTGCGAGGTGCCCACCACCAGGCTTGGCCGCTGCTTGTGTCCACAGGTCACAAAGGCCATCTAAGTGTCAATGTTGTCATATACAGAGAACACTGGGTGTGGGGAGAGCCCCCAGGGGAAGCCCAGCAACAGGAAGGAGGGGTGTGGTGCAGGGATCTCCCAAGAGGCCATTCATCAGGTCTGGCAATATTTGGAGATGAAGGATTCGTCTGGGCACCTTGCAATACACATATATGCAGCCAAGAGTCTCTGCCATCGAAGGGATCCCAGAGCTCTTGCAGGATCCAAGTCTTTATTTTTTAATGGGAAAATAGATCAGGGAGAAGCAGCTGATGATAACTGCACTTTCAGTTGCTTGGCAGGCAGTGGAATTCAGGATCTTACACACTTCGATTTTTGGTCTTATACCCCTCCTGTCTCAGCCAGCAGAATGGGGAGGCACTGTCTGTCTGGAGTCAGAAGCTTTGAGAAGATTGAGTCCTGAAGCAACACGGCCAATCCATCTCTTTGATTCTGCGTGACAGCCACAATCCGTTCCCGAGTTTCATGGCCTGAGAACAGTGGGGGCCACTGCCATAGAAAATAATATGCAGTTGGCCAAGTTGCCTCCATCCTTTAAAGGAGGGCTCCAGCGTCCAGCCAGTCATAGAGCCCCCGGCTTTGAAATTCTCGTGCAGGTGTGGTTTCTTTCCAATGCTTTCAGTGCACATGATTTAGTACTTAGGAAAATTCTCGAAGCTGACTTTTTCGAAACCTCAGTTGTGCCATTAGAAAATTCTTCTTTAGCAGAGAAAGCACCCAACACAGATTTGTAACCTCTGGGGATCGCAGAGTTCTGAGAAAGACTGTGAAAGAAAATCGAAAACCAGCTCTGAGAAGCTGCTCGGAGCAGCCAATGGTGATTGAAGGGATGTCAGCAGTTATTCCTGGAAGAAAGGTAGACGGTTCTTCATAAGAATAATTCAGTCCACAAAAATGCATATTTTTTTACATTAAATTCCATAGTACAAAAAAGGAGAATGTAGTTTTACTGTAACTGATATTTTTTGAAATAGGAAGTCATGTTGGCAATCGCAGGTTACATAGGCTTTATGCAGAGAGATCATAGTTTGCTGTAGCCATATTTCAAAAATTTGTTTTGCCAACATTTCCCAAGCATTTTTTGGACGCGCTTTTTAAAATGCAAGTAAATGGTCATTTCTAACCCCTACCAGCAACTACAATTCAGACTTTCAACGTCTGAAGGGATGCTTGAGGTTGTGAGAGAGAAAACCCATTGTAAACTGGGCTAAATGAGAAACAAATACATTGGGTCACCTAAGCTGAAAAGTTCAGTGGTAGGACTAGCTTCTGGCATGAGAAGTGCAGATATCAAACAGTGTCATCAGGAGCTGGGTGATTTTTGCTGATTTCTGCTGAGTTGGCTTAGGTCTCAATATCTGAGTGCTAAGGAGATGGAGTCAATGATTCGATCTTTAACCTCCTCTTGGGATTCAGCTCCAATGGTAAACAAAACTCTCTTTTCCAAAAGTCACCACATCTCATTGCATCTTTTCGGCTCTGGCTGAGTCAAGTGGTCATCATGGAGTGAGCCACTGGAGCAGTGGAGAATGCACTGGGGTCCCTGTCTAGGCCTGGGTTGTGTCATGTCCCTGGAGGCGGGAATGGCACCCTGTGCTGGGACCACATGGACTGGGAATGGGACATTCCACAAAGCTTCCACCACCAATAGTGTAGCTCCAGAGGAGGGCTGCAGATGCTACACAACAAAAGAGTCGTCCACTACACTTTACAAACAGACAAATTGTGGGGTTACTATTAATATTACAGGGGAGGCTTCACTTAACAAAAGGATACTTAGCGGTGAATCCTCAAAGGAGGATTCACTGAAAGCTTTCTTTAAGCAGTTGTCTCTAAATGCAGTTAATCACTTGTTTAGTGATCATTAATGCTTCAGTGGAAAGACTGAAGGAAGAAAATCTTAAAGCTGAAATGTAAGAGTCACTGTCAATGGAGAATCAATCAAGAAAGAAACAAAACAACTTTGAAATGGTAAGTTAGTCAACTGGAAAACAGAATTTGATTTACATAAAACTTCTCACAAACATGACTATGCTGGAAGCCAAGTAGTGTCTATCGAGAAAGAAAACTGCACTTATTTACGAATATGTTTAGGAATGGTCGTAGTTCTCGTAAGCAAGCAAAATCATTCTGTGAGTTTTAGTTACCCCTAAGTAAGTGATTAGAGGGCTTCCAACACTGCGCTTCCCCAGCCCTTAACTTTGACCAAGTCAGCCACTAACCTACAACCTACCACTTTGACAAAGGGCCGCTGAGTTGTTTGGAGCACCTGCTAATATTAGAGACTTTCTGGGATACCCAAGAAGCCCAAGATAGTTCTTGAGATCAGTTCTTGTATTGACTCTTACAATCGAAACCAGACGCAGGTGGGATTTTATTCAGAAAGTTCTTATTACTTATTGGCCATTGAATGCATATGAAGGTTCTCATTTAACATTTACAAATCATATAGGTCAATGTTCATTTGTTTGGGACATTTTAGTTCCACTATAATAGAAATTGTTGTCATGTTAACTTATTTTATTTATTTTTGTGGTTTACATTTAGTCATTATGTTGACTGGCACATTTGGGCTAATGGCTCACTTTAATAAACTGTTACTTTTATTATTACAAAATACCTGCTTTTGTCTCATTTAGAGCCATTAGGCCTAAATTCTTCATTATCTTCATTATTTTTCATTAATATCACTATTTTTTCTTTCCTTTTTTATATCCTAATATCTATTTGCCTATTCCTTTATTTTCAACTTTTCTTACCACTTTGTTAGGAAAATTTTTTTTACACAACATGTAGTGGATTTTTAAAAACACAGTCTGACAATCTCTGCTTTAATAGGGAAGTTTATGTCATTCACATTTAGTGTACTAAGTGATACGCTTGACTTTATTCTCTATCTTACTTTATGTTTTCTAAGATACGTATATACTTTGCTCTGTCTTTTTTTTTTCTTTTCCTCATTTTGGACAGTTTGATCCATTTATTTCCATTTTTCCTCTGTTAATTTGGCATTTCTGTACTTTTTTATTCAGCTACTATTCTCCCATTCCTCATTCTTATCATTCATATACTTTTTTTTTCATTGCTGGATAAAAACCAGAAACCAAAGTGTTCTATTCTATTACTCTTTACTTCAGGCAAAGTAAATAATATAAAACAGTTGGATTATTTTACTCTGTTCCCTCCTTATAACTTCTAGTTATAGCTAAGATAGTTTAGCATTTTTAGTTCAAGAAAATTTTTAGAATTTTCCCCTGAGCACTATAATCAGCCTTTCACTACTAATTTTCCATCTTTATTATTATTAATTTGGAATTAATGCTAAAGGCTGCAAAATTCTTGGCTACCCAGTATTTTTTCTCGTATTTACCATACAATTGTTTTTAAGTTGACAACAGATATGTTGACACTCAAGTTTGTTCTTTCCCTGTCATTCTCTTAACTGTAGATATGCGTATAATTTCATTATTAATAAAGACAAAATAAAACAACACTGTGTTACCTCTAACCAACTACAAAAAATTATAATGATCACTAATTACCTTTTAATAGTCTATGTTCAAACTTAATCTTAATCCCTGTATTACTAATCAGATTCTACTCTGAGCATTTATAAAACCCCTTCCCACTGGTCTAAATGTGCATGCATATATTTGCGCATGTGTTATGGGTCAGTAGAGTATCTGGGAAACGGAAATGGCTGTGGAGATGGACTTTATGTAAATGATCATTGGAGGCTGTTTAGCTCACTCTGTTACAGTTTTGTTCTCAATTTCTCAGTGTTTTTCTTGCCATACTTTCACATCCTGCCTGTATTTTAGTAAGACACTATCATAGGTATTTTAATTCCTACCCCATGAGATAGACCTCTTAAGGGGAAAACTCTGCCACCCCTAGTACAGGCTTTGCCTATACAAAAGCTGCTGAATATATATTTACTTTACCTGAAATGTCAGCTTGGGGCATGGAAAGGATGTGTCAGGGGCGAAGTCTCTCCTAAGGCTGCCAAGCTTCCCTTGGGGGTTTCTGACCTCAATCTCCTATTTCCAGGGAAAGCCTCTTGAAGAGACCGTCTCATCTTGGTGGGCCATTGCTTGGAGAGGGACAGTAAATGCAGAATGAGGTGTGACGGTGCCAACAACTGGGAGGTGGGTGTTCCCTGCACATGGGACTTAGAAGCTAAGCCGGGGAGGTCCTGGTAAACCAGGATAGGACATGTTGGTCAGTAGAGTAGAAGAAGTTCTCCACGCAGCTCAGACCCCACCCGTACCAGCCCTAAGCATTGGAACTCTGCCCTGGGGAGAGCTCCCCATCCTCTCTCCCCTGGGTGGTGAACAATCCATTCTGCCTTTTACTTGAGTCTTTCCAAAGCACTCACATGCATTGTCCATGCATCCTTCTCACAGTGACCCTGTGGATTCAGGAAGGGAGATGGGACCAGCCTCAGGTCACGGATGAGAAAGCTGAAGCACGATCTCATCTTGGTGCATTTGCCCCCAGCCCACACTCCAGATGCTGTTTCCCGAGAGGACAAGTGGGATTTCTGGTTTGCCAAAAATAGTCTCTGAGGGTGTTACTATTTTAAGAATAAATGTCACTGAAAGAGGCCATTGTCCTGATAAAAATAATGGGATAATTGAAATGCAGACACTGATTTTAGGGGAACTTACATAAAATAGGCAGATGAAACAGACAGAACAGTAATTTTCCGCAAACTCATGTATTTCCTTTCATCACCGTTTCTCATTGTTCCTTCAGAACTGAGAGTTGTTTTGCCTGGACTTTGCATCTTTATGCTAGTAACTGCCGGAGAGGGGGCAGGGCTGGGGCGGGGCCGAGTGCAGTCGTGAGGCCTGGAGTGGAACAGGGCAGGCTGGAACGGTGAAGGAGTATCTTGGAATTCCTTTCCCTCTGTTTTTCATATACCCCAGGAATGGGACAATATACTGTGATTTCATTCATGTTGTCATTCATGTGCTCATTCAATAGATGTTTCTGAACAGGGCTGGGAGTTGGAATGCAGGGATGAATGAGCCCACCCTGGCCACAGAGCAGCTCAGAACTTGCTCTGGCCCTCCTGAGATGCAGACCGGGTCTCCTTTCTCCCACAGCCATATCTGGGATCTGAGGCCTGGACTCAGCCATGTTCCTCACTCCATGTTCATTTGTTTGGGATGTTTTAGTTAGTGTCTGCCTAAAAGCACATGCCTGCCGGGCAGCACGCTGCCCAGCCATCTCACCCAAGGCCTGCTCTCACACCAGCCTTAAAGACAGGCTCTGAACAAAGTATCCACATTTCATTCAAAGATTGATGGAGGAAAAGCATGTTAGCCTTAGTCCACACTGTCATCGCCCCGGGGTGGGGAGGACGGTGGGGCCCGTGTGGTTCGCAATGCCCCACATCCTGCACCTCAGGGGTCTGAGGACAGCTGCTCCCCGGCTCACATGCTTCTGCTAACAGGACTGTCAGCTCCTGGCGTGCTCCAACCCCTGTCCTGTGCCTTTGATCACCCAATTAGCCTGCCCTCTGTTTCTGGGGTTTTGTTCTTACCCATACAGAAAGCAAAAAGTTAAAATACTAAATTTTCCCTTGTTCTTATCTTTTCCCTTTGCAGCTGCCGTTTTCTGGTATTCAAGGGTTTGCATGTTAAGACCCCTTCTCTTGGGTTGACACCATCCCATGATCACGTGCCCAACCCCTAGGAAGGCAGAGCACATGCATCCTGGCGGACAGCTGCTGTCGATCCATCTGTCAGACTTGCCATAACTAGCATATGGCTGAAGCTTCCGGAAGCACCGTCACAGGCGACTCATTCAGCGCCTGTTTGTTGAGCAGTTACTGCGTTCTCATCACCACCCACACTAGGCGCGGCGTCAACACTCAGTGACCCCGAGAAGTGGCTTTCTCTTCCTTTCCAGGAACAGTGCCTGAAACTTACATTGTCCTCAGATCCATCAAAAGAGTAAACACTAGATCTCATTTATTCAGTGCGCTTAAAAGAAAAACCCATTCACAGTACATTTCCTTCAGCTCTCTGACTCTCCATGTGGTCACAGGCTGGTTTCTACTCGCCAGCTCACTCTAGGACTGTGTGCTATTAGTTTCTACAAATAATTCCACTCGTTGGGTGTCCAGAGAGTCAGGTCATCAGAGTGAACATTTTAAAACTCAGCCACGGGAGCTTCCTAAGGAATGAGAAAGCTGACGCTTTCGATCGCTCTGAAAAATCAAAGTCCTAACAGCTTCATTTTAGTCTCTGCACAAAACAGTCTCATTATTTTTGAAACATCTGATTTGAAGGCGATTTGTGTAAAAAAAAGTGTAAGCCTAGTCCCCTTGTGACTTTAAGGCTAAAAATCAGACAGTTCTCTGTGGGGACATCACCAGAAAACGGCCTCACCTACATTCAAGACGCCTCCTTCCTCCCAACCTGCTAGAATATTAATTCCTGCAGTGGCAATGGTAAAAGGTCAGTGACTTTTCACCTTTTAAAAATGAGTTTCCATGGTAACAAAACCACGATGGACAATTCACAGTGCAAAACAAAACAAAACAAGCCTGAAGTCCGGGCCCTGCTCAAACTTCAGCCGTGAAGACACTCGGCAGCCTAACCACCGTTCACGCAAACTTAGCGATCTGCCTGGTAAACAAAAGCGGAATTCAGACGCTCAGTAGGACCCATGCGCCTGCAATCCCGCCTTGCTGAAAACATTTGAGATTAAAATTTTAGTTTCATGCCTTAGTCCTTCAGCATATGGCAGGTGACTTTCAAACAAAGTAAACGGGAAAGAATAATTGGCTGACGGGAGATGGGAGAAACAATTGTGTCACCAAGTCTGCAGGCCCCAGCGCTCCCCGCAGCCCAGGTTTGTCGGGAAAATGCACCGTATCTGTAGCTCTTGTGGTTCTGGGGGTGGCTTTTGTTTGTGATATTTAATTATACTGGTAGGTCCAAACGAACTACACAATTTATAGACTCCTGTTTCTCATGGAAGAAGCAGAAAGTGATCTATTTGCAGGAGTTATGTATTTTTTTCAGGCACTTTACGGAGACACCCCAACCCCCCTTGGCTGCTGACTGTAAAATAAGAAAACTATTACCCAGCTGGGGCAACAATAGACTCCCACAGTGCCTTTCTGCTCAGCTCACAGCTGCAGGAAAGTGGAGGCTCAGCAGCAGGCAGCATTCTTCCCGCAGCCCCTTCTGTGGGCAGGGAGCCTCCCACTGATCCAATGTATTTCTATGCAAAGCGCAGAAGAAGTGACATTTTAAAAGTTTTGACCTTTTTTTTTTTTTTTTTTTTTTTTGCATGAACCGAAACATACATTTTTTAAACCTTCTGACAGGGTGTCTGTTAGAAAAGGCAATAGCCATTACTGTAATAATAAAATGTTTCAAAATTTGAAAATTCTATATTGAATATAATGCACAGATAACCTTTGTGTAGAAAATGATAGTAATGGGGGCTTGGAACCACTTTCTTATTGTTCCAGGAAAACAGATTATGACAGATTTCAGGCATATTTAGAAAACAATATCACTGGACGCAATGTTTTCATTTGCTAATTTCAGACTTTCATGATTTTTTTTCCCGAAAATGATTTGGAAGAGTTTTGCATTTGTATCATAAAGTGCTTCCATTTAATATTAGCAGTAAGGTTATTTGTTCAGAAAGCCATTCTTTGCATTAAAAAAGCATTATTTATAGAATTTAGTTTTCATACCAACATATTTAGGTATGGTTTTTTTTTTTTAAGTTTAACTTTTATTTGAATCCAAACTTCTCCAAAAAAAAAAAAAAAGACAACAAAATAACCAAGGGACAAAATGACAGCGACTTTTCTTTTAAAGACCTTCCAATTAGTACGGGACATGAATGGGAGAAGGGCTCAAAGTAAAAAAAATAACAGAAAATTAGAGCAAATGTGACGTTAAATTATTTGCAACAAAAGATAGAAGAATGGGAAGGAGATGAGATATCAAATTCTCAAGTTAGAAGATTATGCGACTTTTGAGTCTCAGACTCAAAAGATGCAGGATGGAATGTGACTGTTAAAACAGCTGAGAGGACTGGAGGACTCGGCCTCAGGCTGCTTCTGAGCGCCTTGAGTTTCCTAACTTGCCCAGCTGATCATCGTCATCAGATTTTAACTTTTATTTTCAAGACTAGAAGATGTGCAGGGCGAAGTGAGCATTTATCCTCTCTAAGGTGCTCAAAAATAAATGTTCCAGCCCCTTCTTGGCTTTTCTGAAGCCAACTTAATAAAAATGATCATCTACTCCAACAAGCTGTAATCATCTGACGGGTTCATGCTGTCCACTGCACAGAGAAAACCAACTCACTGAGGCCAGGGCATTGCAATAAAGAAGGAGTTTAACTGACGGAGGAGACTGAGCTGTCACCCACAGCCATCTCACAAAGACTTGGAGATTAGGGATTTTCGCCGATACTTTCGTGGTCAGGAGATAGGGAATGGGTGCCGCCAATTGGTTGCGGATGAAATCGTAGGAGCGTAAAAACGTGAGTCCACCTCTCAGCGTGGACACGTTCCCCCCGCGCTGAGCCCACCTCTCAGCGTGGACACGTACCCCCCGCGCTGGGCCCACCTCTGAGCGTGGAGACTTTCCCCCCGCGCTAAGCCCACCTCTCAGGGTGGACACGTTCCCCCCGCACTAAGCCCACCTCTGATCGTGGACACGATCCCCCCGTGCTGAGCCCACCTCTCAGCACGGACACGATCCCCCCGCGCAGAGTCCACCTCCGAGCGTGGACACGTTCCCCCCGCGCTGAGTCCACCTCCGAGCGTGGACACGTTCCCCCCGCGCTGAGCCCACCTCTCAGCGTGGACACGTTCCCCCCGCGCTGAGTCCACCTCCGAGCGTGGACACGTTCCCCCCGCGCTGGGCCCACCTCTGAGCATGGAGACGTAACTCCCGCGCTGAGTCCACCTCCAAGCCTGGAGACGTTTCCCCTTCACTGAGTCCACCTGCGAGCCTGGAGACGTTCCCCCCGCGCTGAGTCCACCTCCGAGCCTGGAGACGCTCCCCCCGCGCTGAGTCCACCTCCGAGCCTGGAGACGCTCCCCCCGCGCTGAGTCCACCTCCGAGCGTGGAGACGTTTCCCCTTCACTGAGTCCACCTCCGAGCCTGGAGACGCTCCCCCCGCGCTGAGTCCACCTCCGAGCCTGGAGACGTTCCCCCCTCGCTGAGTCCACCTCCGAGCCTGGAGACGTTCCCCCTTCGCTGAGTCCACTTGCGAGCCTGGAGACGCTCCCCCCGCGCTGAGCCCACCTCCGAGCGTGGAGACGTTCCCCCCTCGCTGAGTCCACCTCCGAGCCTGGAGACGTTCCGCCCGCCCTGAGCCCACCTCCGAGCCTGGAGACGTTCCCCCTTCGCTGAGTCCACCTCCGAGCCTGGAGACGTTCCCCCCGCGCTGAGCCCACCTCCGAGCGTGGAGACGCTCCCCCCGCGCTGAGTCCACCTCCGAGCCTGGAGACGTTTCCCCTTCACTGAGTCCACCTGCGAGCCTGGAGACGTTCCCCCCGCGCTGAGTCCACCTCCGAGCCTGGAGACGTTCCGCCCGCGCTGAGTCCACCTCCGAGCCTGGAGACGTTCCGCCCGCGCTGAGTCCACCTCCGAGCCTGGAGACGTTCCCCCCGCGCTGAGTCCACCTTTGAGAGTGAAGACGTTCCTCCTGCTCTGAGTCCACCTCTGAGTGGAATCCACAGGACAGCCTCATCATGGCTCACCTGTCCAGGTGGAGTTAGCTGGTCAGAAGTGCAAAGTCTGAAAAGACATCTCAAAAGGCCAACCTGGGGCTCTACCATGGTGATGTTGTCTGCGGCATACCTGGGGAAGTTACAAATCCTGTGGCCTCTGGAACAACGACTGATTGCCATTTAACGGTATCTTAGCAGAAACCCACTGCTCTCATAATCCTGACGTTGTGGCCTTTCATTTAGTTTTAAAAGGTGGTTTTGTGAAGGGTTACTATCATCCTTACTTTAAGGTTAAACTATAAACTAACTTCCTCCTGAAGTCAGGTTAGCCTACACCCAGGAGTGACCGAGGACGGCTTGGAGGTTAGGAGCAAGATGGAGCCAACAATGTCAGATTTCTCTTAATGTCGTAATTTTGCAAACGTGATTTCACAGCTAAGTGTTCTCCTTGAACACAGGCCTGGGCACCAGGAGCCTGGGGCTGAGATTTAAATTCTATTTCTCCCGTTACTCCTTGCTTTGGGCTGATCACTTAACTTTTCTTCTCTCTTCCTTGAATATGGAGGCAATAACAATCATTATTGCCGTCAGACGGCGGCCGGTGGATAACTAGTCAGTGTAAATTGCTAAATTGACAGGACTGCTTTCGCTAAATCACATAATTGTTAAAAATACCGCAGACATCAAGAGCCTGATTTAATTTAGAAAATTCAGATTGTGTCTATAGCACCCAAACCATTTGCCAACTCAAACTCATTCAAGTAAAAAGATAAATCAGTCAAGCTGGCACAACGCGTTTATGAAAAATTTGTATTGTATATGAGAAAACCCTTTTTATGATCTTATAAAGGGAAACACTTTGGAACTACAATGACATTTTAAAACTCGTTGATGTCTTGAGAAGTTCAAATCATGGAATTTTAGGGCGTAGACTACTCAGACTCGCCCAGGATCCCGGAGACAGAGCAGAGGTGGAACTGGAAGCTCATCGTGTGTCCTTTTCCTGAGCACAGCCTAGAGCTCCTCTCACCTGCCCCTCCCCTCTGCCACCTCTCCCTCCTCCCCCTCCTCCGCCTCCTCCCCCTCTTCCTTCTCCTCCTCCTCCTCCTTCTTGTTTTGCTCAAACTTCAATCACAGCAGCTGATGTGAAGCCCAGTGGGACTGGCCATCTCCTTCCTCACCCCGCACTTTCTGTGCCCCTGCCCCGTGCTCACAGCAGCAGCCATTTGCACACCTCTCGCCTTCAGAGTGTGCGTTGGCAAAGGAACACCCACTGGAAGGACCTCACTGCAGATCAGAGCAAAGGACACTGCCCAGGTGGTGGTGAGGGGCCCCGAGGATGCACCTGCGGCCCAGCAGCATGACTTGGGTCACCACCCAGGGCGCAGGCAGGCCCCGCAGCCAGTGAAATCTTAGGGGCCTCCTCCTGGAAGCCTGCTCCTCACTATTTCTGACTGTCACTCTATTAAGGCAAATTTCAAACATATGATTTCCTGAACTGCAGGGCCTCTCCTGTCCCCATGAGGATGAAGGAGGGCACACGTGATGTTTAGCCTCATCGGTCTCTCCATCATGTCACAAAGTCCTCCTGGTATGCCAAGCTCCGTGCCTGGGACTGTCACCACCCTGAGGGTCTGCCCCTTGGGTTTGGGGTGCTGAGGGTCTGACCTTAGCCCCATCATGGAGGCGGTGGGAGGGTGCAGGTTATCCACAGCCAACTACAGAAAGCAGCACCGAGAAGATACGAATACACACAATACAGGCAGAACTGCATTTTAAATCCAAACCAAGATGCAAACTCCCTGCATGCAGAATGCTACCTGGAACAATTTCTCTGGGCAACCTCATATGGGTTGACCAGTTAACAGGTCAAGGCAGTTTCAGCTGACGGCCTCTTAAGGCGTCTGCAGGGCTTTATATGAAAACCCTCCACTGGGGGAAAGCCCTTGATGGCTGCACTGTATGATCCACATATAATGAAACTTACACTATGCCAAGACGCGGCCTGCCATTTTGAGATTTAAGAGTAGACAAAAGTGAGTGGCTGTAACTCACTAAGGAAAATGAGCTGCTGAGTATCCGTGGCAGTGTGGGCCGCATTTTCCAGTCAGGAAAGAGCATCTTTAGAAAGCTGGGCAGGAGATTTGGGGGGCACAGAAAGTCCTTAGTCCCTGGCACACCGAAAGGAGCATTTTCAAAAGCATTTTCTGGTCTCTGAGTGTGGGGCTTCACCACCCTGGGACTTCCAGTGCTCTGAACTTTGAGCCAGGTCTTCCAACATCACAACACAGCAAGCTAAACCCAACAAGACAGGAGGGCTGTGAGCCCTTTCTCCTCTCACTGCTGGAAAAACCTCCCCCAAATTTCAGAAGAATTATCCAGGGGGTGCAATGGGGGAGAAGAAATGGTGATAACTGTATTCTGACAAGAAACCCAGATCGTGTTAAAATACCAAAGGTTTTTTTGTTTCCTCTGTGTATGTTTTACCTAGCTCCATTTTTATCATCTGTAAAATGGGGATAATAACAGTGTTTTCCTCATAGATGGAAAATATCTCAGGTAATGCCTATATAGCACTTAGCACCTCACACAGTATAATGAGTGACAGTTTTTATTATGAAAAATGTCCACACAAGAAAAAAATAGATTAAAATAGCTCAAGAGAATAGAAAGGCTTCCTATGGAGGAAATGAAAACAAACACGTATTTTTGCCACGGAGTGGCTTTTGAGAGGCAGAGGGGAATGTTCGTTTGCCTGCTTTCTCCATCCAGCCCAAGCATTCTATTTATAGGACATGCTTAGGTGCGACCCTTTTCTGAAATCTTTCCTAGGAAAAAGCTGCACAGCAAATTTCAGGACAAATGCACAGAGTGGTATCCAAAGCTGAGGGTCCTTTACGCACAAAATAAAACTTGCTCACAGCTGCGTGTCTTTGTCCCTGCTTTGCCCAGAACTTCTTCCCGGGAGCTAAGTAGCACATCTGCAGGACAGCAAAAGCCAGAAGATGCACATTGATAGAAGAGGACGGCAACCACACCACACACCCCAAAGCAGGAAGCTGGAACATAAGCCTCAGCCAACAACTCAGCTTGTGCACTGACCATTATTCAAATATAATGTGAAAAGCTGCAAATGTATCAATTGCCCTTTAATTTGATTTCATATGTCACTAATTTATTTAGCTGAAAGAGGTCTTAGAGAATGATGAGTATAGACACAAAGCAGGACTATAGAATCTGCCGAAAGAGCAGACATCAGTGTGGAGTTGAGGTGTTTCAGGATCATCTCTGTCCTTCTCTCTCTTTTTGTCTCTCAGCTTCGGTCTCTGTTTCTTTCTCTTTTAGGCTTTCTCAAAATTAAGCCGTTTCTCCAAGCATAACTCAGATTTTATTCGTAGAGATGGATTTTCTTTCTAAAGTCTCTGCTTCAGTGTAAGCACTGTCAGAGAAAAACCAGTGGCTGCAGCCAATGTGTACCTCTCGTGGGTCTGGAGTGGATAGAGGCCACATGCAGAACATGATAGAGGCCACACACAGAACATGATAGAGGCCACACACAGAACATGATAGAGGCCACACGCAGAACATGATAGAGGCCACACGCAGAACGTGACAGAGGCCACACGCAGCACGTGACAGAGGCCACACACAGAACATGACAGAGGCCACACACAGAACATGACAGAGGCCACATGAAGCACGTGATAGAGGCCACATGCAGGACATGCTAGAGGGGGGCCTCTCACTGTCAGGCCAGTGAGGGTAGTGCTGCTGATATCCCAATGTTATAACTGAGGAAGCGGAGGCTTGGAGAGATTTGATGCCTTGAGCAAGGCCATCTCGTAGGCAAATGGAGGCTCTGGGAGGAGGACTCAGGTCCTCACTGAGGAGCCGTAGCTGTCAGGTGTCTCTTAATAGTTTCTTCCAGTCACTTTGGGGTCCTGGCCTTTGATCGTCCAAACCAGCCTAAGCCTGCCCAGATGTGCAACTGTATTCATTTCAGCAAAACGTTAGAACCATACATGAAATAAGGTATTTAAAAAAAAAATATCCACCTAAGGATAAAGATCCTCTCAGAAACCCCATGGACCTAGAAAACACACAAATGCATCTTACTCGATAACTAACATGTGGAAAGTTCATTTAGAGTTCACTGAGAGAGAACAAATCTCTCTTAGCTGCCAGGTGAAGCGGGAGCTGTTTGTATAATTATTTGAAATGAGTCCTCTAAGAGGATGCACTGACTGCTGAAGAGGCGTTCCCCATAAGCCTGTGTCACACGGCTTTCACT
Source organism: Homo sapiens (assembly GCF_000001405.40). NCBI lineage: Eukaryota > Metazoa > Chordata > Mammalia > Primates > Hominidae > Homo > Homo sapiens. Next base: position 112,168,975 of record NC_000013.11, read on the forward strand.
ATGACTCACAGACGCCATTTGCTTCCTTTCCGCTCTCCCATGTGAACAGGTGTTAAAATGTCCACACCAAAACCTATCCGAAAACCTCTCAGTAGTGCTGTACGTGGCCTCTATCACACTCTGCGTGTGGCCTCTATCACATTCTGCGTGTGGCCTCTATCACATTCTGCGTGTGGCCTCTATCACGTTCTGCATGTGGCCTCTATCACGTGCTGCGTGCGGCCTCTATCACGTTCTGCGTGTGGCCTCGATCACACTCTGCATGTGGCCTCTATCACATGCTGCGTGTGGCCTCTATCACGTTCTGCATGTGGCCTCTATCACACTCTGCATGTGGCCTCTATCACGTCCTGCGTGCGGCCTCTATCACGTGCTGCGTGCGGCCTCTATCACGTTCTGCGTGTGGCCTCTATCACGTGCTGCGTGCGGCCTCTATCACGTGCTGTGTGTGGCCTCTATCACACTCTGCGTGTGGCCTCTATCACATTCTGCGTGTGGCCTCTATCACGTGCTGTGTGTGGCCTCTATCACACTCTGCATGTGGCCTCTATCATGTTCTGCGTGTGGCCTCTATCACGTGCTGTGTGTGGCCTCTATCATGTGCTGCGTGCGGCCTCCATCATGTTCTGTGTGTGGCCTCCATTAATCATGTGAACAGCAAAAGGCCGGAGTGCATCACTCATTGATGCTGTTTCTTATTCCCTCCTCATGATGTGTTGTGCTAATCATTAACTAATTAATTAACTCACCAGTATCTGTTGCGTGCCTGGCACTTAAGAGACTTTGCTAGAATCTCTGAGTGTAGCAGTGACTGGAATGAAGTCCCTCCCGGTTTCTGTTTATTGCTTCCACACATTTATCCATAAACCTGGACGGCTGGATTGAAAGCCCCCTCACGTCTCCCTCCCTCTCAGGGCTGGCCTCCACTCAGCACTTCGCACTCGCAGGGAAAGTCGCACCGGCAGTGTGAGTTGAGGCAAATACCCCAAATGCACAGGGCAGCCATTAAAAGCTGAGGTGCTAATCTGGATAATATTTGCCAGTTTACTTATTTAGTTGACTAAATCTAAATTTCCTTGGCTGACTGATGTCACAAGGGACCTGGCAGGCCCAGGGCCAGGCAGCACCCCACCTGCACCCTCTGGGAGGGTGGCCCCGACAGTCCCTGCCAGGACGCAGGGTTCGAGGACATCCTCACCTGACCTGAGCCGGGTTAGAAAGAGTCTTGCTCATCACATCCCTTAGCTCAGGATTTTCCCCAAGAGATGCCCAGACAACCGGGACAGGCAGAGGAAAGTCACGAAAAGGTGGTCGCTGGTGACTCATCAGCCGGGATTGAAAAACAGGCTCTGATGAAGGAGACACACAGAGGCCGAGAAGATGGAGGTGGGGACACCTTGCAGGGACCCGAAGGCCTGGACCACTGAGAAGCCTGCACCCTTGGGATTCCACGTGGAGCCCAATTCTGGACCAGGGGCATCCAAGGCCCTCATGGGCGGGTACCCCTCACCCCCACAGACGGGGAAGCCAGGCTCCAAGGGGCACCAGGCTTGCCCACGGGTGAGTGCAGAGCTGGAGCCAAGGTCAGGTCCCTGCCAGAGCCTCAGCATCCAACCCCCAGCCACACCCAGGACCCCTACATTCGGCCTCAGCTATGCTCTGGGACCCCGTAGACCCCTTTTCCAGCCATGCCTTGAGACCCCCACACCCCTCCCTCCCCCAGCCATAACCACCTGGGGAGTCCCCGCAGTCCTGGGCTTGGGGTCCCAGCAGCAACCCCATCCCCCAACCTGGGACTGAGACACCTTGTAAGAAGGGGAAGCCTGGGTGAGAGGAGGCCTTGGGAGGGAGGAAGACTTTCTTTCCTTGTCTGCTGTTCCTATGTTGATGGCTGCCTTGTCCAACTCCTTTGTCTTTTCCCAGGCACGTCTCTGCCTGGGCGCATGGGTGGGTGGCCCAGCATGTCCCTGGCGGCACCTTGCCCAGGCCCCCTCCTCATCCATGCGCACTGGCCAGGAGCCCACCACACTTCTCCCTGGCAGGTGCACAAGAAGGAAGGAAGTGGCCTGCGTGGAACGGACACTGGTGACCTTTAGAAATAGAAGAGGGACCCTCAGAAGCTTGGCTGACCCCACAGTGAGGACAACGCCAGGGCCTAGAGCTCCTTCTGCAGCGGTGCAGGGGTCTTTCTGGCCCAGCACATAGGTGCAGGAGGCCACCCGCCTCCCAAGCCAGGTGCTGGGTGTTAAGTGAGGAGGAATCAGGACAGGCCAGGCCAGGCCAGGGCAGGCGGGGAAAGGCCAGAGCCAGGGTGGGAAAAAGGAGGGGAAAATGCAACTCCTTGCTGCTCACAGCTTCCCCCCACAGCAGCGGGCACCAGCTTTGTGCTCACCCATGGTCCGTGGCAGCTCAGCCAGTGCAGCAGGCACTCCGAGCCTCTGGGGCCTGTCATGTACTGGCCTCTACCTGTGGCGAGGCTCCTCCAATGGGCTCCCTGCCTTCCGGAAAGTCCTAATCCAGAGCTCAGGTGAATCCTGACTTTGCAGGGAGGTCAAAGCTGTCTTTCTGAACAGGTTGCATCTGAGCTGAGCTGGAAGGGTGCTGGGAATTGGACGGGCAGAGAAATCAGGAAGAGCAATTCTGCCAGGTGGGAGGACCAGCCTGAGCCTCTGCAAGGCTGTGCACCCTGGGATGGGGTGAGCTGGTGGGGGAAGCCACAGAGGATAGTGGATGCAGGCTGGAGGGTAAGGCCTGATGGCCCAGAGGCTGCAGCTTTACCCGGGAAAGGGTTCTCTCACGCAAGGCAGGAAGAGGGGCGGCCAGGCCCAGGCTCTGGACAGCAGCGCTGACTGGGTGCGAGGAGCCATATCAGAGGCAAGGGGCAGGAGCACGGGACCCTCGGAGGCTTCTGCGTGGGAGAAGAGCAGAAATGGCACAATGAGACGGGTGGGGGTGAGCTCAGCTTGCGGGAGCGAGGGAGGACCGCCAGGGCAGAGAGGGCTCAGGGAAGTGCCTGGGGTCTGGACAGCAATGCAGCTTTGTAGGAAATGAGTGAATGGCGTGGAAGGGAAACGTGGTGGGTTGTGGGCTCAGCAGATGCTATTTGTATTGGTCTCCAGATGCTGCCCTGACAAATGACCACAGACAGGTGGCTTAGACAGCAGAGCACATTCACTCCCAGCTCTGGAGCCAGGTGGGCAGGACTGCTTCCTTCCGAGGCTGCAAGGGAGCCTCTGTTCCAGCCTCTCCCCAGCTTCCGGTGGCAGCCGGCCATCCTCGGTGCCCCTCAGTGTGTGGAAGCACCACCCGACCTCTGCCTGCATCTTCACGTGCTCCTCTCCCTGTGTGTGTCTGTGTCCAAATCACCCCTTTTTCTAAGGACATGGCCATAAGCATTCAGGCCCACCCCACTCCAGGGTGACCACCTCCGAGCTGAACTAATGACACCCAGTGACCTTATTTCCAAATAAGGACACACATTCTGAGGTATTGGGTGTCAGATCTTCACCATGTCTTTTTGGGGAACACAATTGAGCCTGTAACACTGCTTTTTAGGATTTAAAGCTTTACATTATTTAATAGCAAGATGAAGTTTCTATTCTTCCATCAGGACTTCAGAGTGAACATGGTTTGCAAATCCTGCTCCTGATGTCCATGAGAGAGCGCCGCCGCCACGTCTGCATCCCCTTGCGGGGGCCAGGTAGCACTCTGTGAAAAGCACGCTCTTCCTCAGCCAGCCGAGCCAGCCAGTGCGCTGGACTTTGCTGGGCATCCTGGGCTCAAGTTGCAGGGTAGGGTTCCGGGCTGATGGACAATGCAGGGACCACACAGGCAGATGGCCCTCGACCCCGTCGCCCCACACTGCCAGAGAAGCTGTTCACCCAGCAACATAGCTGAAGGGTGAAAGGAATGGAACAGAAGATGGCATGGAGCCCGAAGAGTGCCCCGCAGATCTGTAATTTGGGCTAATGAGAAGCTCCAGAGCAAGCTGACTCGGTTACATAAGAATCCGGAGCTGCCTCCTGTGTTGCTGCCTGGCTTTATTTTTGTTGCCTCTCCGTGGGGTTCATTTAAGGTCTGTGGTGGCTGAAGTATTTTAGCCTGAGTGATGGTGGCAAACAGTGTGTCCTTGTGTGGATGTACAAGGGCTGACCCAGGGGAGGGTGTTGGGGAAAGCAAGCCACCAAGAACCCCACCACCCATGACTCAGAGGCAGAGCTGTGGCCAGCGGCTGCATGGCCCCGGTCTTCCTGCCATCCTGAGGACTGTCTTCAGCATCAGGATGAAGTGAAGGGCAGCTACCGCACGTCCTTTTGGGAGCACATCACCGCCTGAAACCATGGTGAAGCGAGATGCAAAGCAAGCAATTAACCAGGAAAAAATACCCTAGGAGCTACCGGGAAAATCGTTAAAACACAGAAAAACAAGCAGGATAATTACACAAAATGCCTCCACCAACTCGGAGGAAAAGAGGGGCTTAGAATTGATGGTAACAGCTGGATTTCACCCTCCTATCACAGCAATCGGATGTTTCAAGGAATACATTTTCTTTAAAATGGAAATATATTTTAGTCTTTTGGGGGAGGTACTTCTAATATTGTTGCATTTTATAAGAGTGTTGAAAGTTTTCTTACTGAAGACAAGGCACACTGAGCCTTGTGCTGCAGATTTAGGACAAAATAGGAACACTTCTAATCATCTGCTCCATGACTTCTGAAATTGGGAGGATTCTTCCCAGCATGGTTCTTACAAATATGGCTGCCAGAGCAAGGGCACAAAATCTGCTGAAGAACCATTTTCCTCTGTCCCACCCCCGCCCCGCCCCAAGTAAGTCCATAACCCTGAGTCTGCATAGAATCTACAGAAGGTGACTGTTGGCAATACGGACTCTGAAAACACAGGAATTGCCCTCACAGGGATATTTAGACTAGCAGGGGTGTCAACATGTGTCCCCTTAAACACATTTAAAAACTGAAGACAGAAGGAAATGATGATATTGAGAGTGAAGAAACGATGGGAAGGAATGAGAATACCATGGCAAGGAGGCTAGGAAAATGTGGATGGCTCTCTACTCTCACTAAATCCCGCTCTGTTATTTGCTACATTGAATGGCATAAATGGTCTCAACAAAGTAGATACAAATCCACATGTACATCTTAATATTGACCAACAATTTCAAAACCTGTTTGTGTCTTGGGAAAAGTATGGCCAAAAATATTAACTAGATCTCTAGGACAGAAGAACTGAGATGAACATTTTCCGGAAATCTTCACAATGTGGACATCTAAATGCACCCAGTTAGCTATATGGCCTGACTCTGGACTAGTATGGGCCAGGATTTTCAGAGCTAGTATTCCATGAATTACTATGAATCATCCTCATTTGACAGCACTAGTAAGGCATCCCTGTGCCTCTATGAACAAGTCACTGAGGAGGATCCGAGAATCTAAGAACGGACTGTTCTCAAGGAACAGAGAGTGTGCAAGGCAAGGCAGCTACACTAGTAGATGCAAAATACAACTGAACAAAATGTGACTGTGTAATCCAAGTTATATATATGAGGGTGGGGGAATAAAAAATGAGGAACTGAGGCAGATTAGCCAAGCCATATGGAGACTGATTTTTAAATTTCAGACATATGATCCAACAAAGGAAGTGTGTTGCGGTTTTTGTGGTTGTTAACCTCTCTCAGAGCTAAATGCTTTGTGGGAGGCGTAGCTCTGATGCCGAAGTACTGGAATCCCTGGGACATTTCTGTGGTTTCTGCTTGTGCTCCAGCTCCATGGCAGAGAAGTTGGAGCTCAAGTGCTCATGTGTCAATGAGTTGGAACAGATCAGAGCAGAACCTCTGACCAGTCCTGATTCTCACAGAACGATGTACCTCCTGCCCCTGCTTCACTGACCTTCCATAGTCATGGATGGAGAATGTTCCTCAAGCCCTCAGCTGCCCAGGCCCCACCAAGGACTGGGTGTGTGTGACGATGTCATAGAGGAGCCGCTGTCCTCAGATGAAGCCACACATTAGAGGCCTCAGTGTATGGACCACATTATTTTGAGTCATCACAGACTTGGTTTTCTCAGTTTTACCTTTGCATTTTCCACTGGCCCGTGATATGGGTTAAATTGTCTTCCCTCAAAAATACATGTTGAAGTCCTAACCCCCAGTACCTATGAATGTGACCTCTTTGGAAATGGAGCCATTGACGATGTAATTTGACTAAGATGAGGTCACCCTGAAGTCGGCTGGGCCCTAATCCAACATGCCAGGGGTCCTCATAAGCAGACAGAGACACAGAGGAAGGAGGTCATGTGAAGACACAGACACAGAGGAAGGAGGTCACGTGAAGACAGAGGTACAGAGGAAGGAGGTCACGTGAAGACAGAGACACAGAGGAAGGAGGTCACGTGAAGACACAGACACAGAGGAAGGAGGTCACGTGAAGACAGAGGTACAGAGGAAGGAGGTCACGTAAGACAGAGGCCGACTGGAGTGATGCGGCCAGAATCTGGAGGAGGAGGAAGGATCCCCCTGAATCTCCAGAGAGAAAGCAGCAGCCCTGCCAGCACGGGGCGTTTGGATTCTGGCCTCCAGATTGTGAGAATAAATTTCTGATGTTTGAAGCCACCCAGTTTGTGACACTCATAACAACAACCTTAGGAAATGGACACAGTCTGCGTTGAGGGTTATGATGGGAAACAGGCCATAGGGAAGTCATGCTTGCATTCTAGAGACGTAGCTGAGAACCTATTCCTCTCTATCCCTCAGTGACCACAGGATATTGGTAAACACTGGTTCCACGAAAAGCGCTCATCTCTCCTGCCAGCCCATGTGTCACCAGGAGTGGGTCACAGGTGTTCTGAGCTCTGGATTCCCTGCATCTTTGGGGTTGGACGGCCTGGGACAGTGGCTGCACCGTGGGGGGACAGGGCCCTTGGAGGACTGTGAGTGGCCTCCTGCCCAGGACAGCGGCAGCACCTCGGGGGGACAGGGCCCTTGGAGGACTGAGTGGCCTCCTGCCCGGGACAGCAGCAGCACCGCGAGGGGACAGGGCCCTTGGAGGACCGCGAGTGGCCTCCTGCCCAGGATAGCGGCAGCACCTCGGGGTATGGGGCCCTTGGAGGACTGAGTGGCCTCCTGCCCGGGACAGTGGCAGCACCTCGGGGGGACAGGGCCCTCGGAGGACTGTGAGTGGCCTCCTGCCCAGGATAGCGGCAGCACCTCGGGGAATGGAGCCCTTGGAGGACTGAGTGGCCTCCTGCCCGGGACAGCGGCAAGCACCTCGGGGGGACAGGGCCCTTGGAGGACCGTGAGTGGCCTCCTGCCCAGGACAGTGGCAGCACCTCGGGGGATGGAGCCCTTGGAGGACTGTGAGTGGCCTCCTGCCTGGGACAGCAGCAGCACCGCAGGGGGACAGGGCCCTTGGAGGACTGTGAGTGGCCTCCTGCCCAGGACAGCGGCAGCACCTCGGGGGGACAGGGCCCTTGGAGGACTGAGTGGCCTCCTGCCTGGGACAGCAGCAGCACCTCGGGGGGACAGGGCCCTTGGAGGACCGTGAGTGGCCTCCTGCCCGGGACAGTGGCAGCACCTCGGGGAATGGAGCCCTTGGAGGACTGAGTGGCCTCCTGCCCAGGACAGCGGCAAGCACCTCGGGGGGACAGGGCCCTTGGAGGACTGAGTGGCCTCCTGCCCGGGACAGCAGCAGCACCGCGAGGGGACAGGGCCCTTGGAGGACCGCGAGTGGCCTCCTGCCCGGGATAGCGGCAGCACCTCGGGGTATGGGGCCCTTGGAGGACGGAGTGGCCTCCTGCCCGGGACAGTGGCAGCACCTCGGGGAATGGAGCCCTTGCAGGACTGAGTGGCCTCCTGCCCGAGACAGTGGCAGCACCTCGGGGGATGGAGCCCTTGGAGGACTGTGAGTGGCCTGCACAAGCCTCAGCATGTACTGCAGCTTTCACGGCTCCTGTGCCCCATGGTGCTGAGAAGGCGGGAAGCGTTGTCCAGATGGATGGCTCTGTGTGTGTGTGTGAGGAACACTCGCCCTGCTACCTGGAGGCTTCCATTTGCAGCTCACCTGAGTTGCCACTTGGATCCATTTTCTGAGTCTTGTTTTATGTGTTTTACAGGGCATTCAAAGTCCTTTAGGATAGAAAATACAGCAAGAGTGAACAAATGGATGCCAGGAAAGGGGAAACCGAGGGCAGCATATTTTACATGAGGGCTGCCCCATACACTCTAGGGTCATTGCACCTGTCGAGAAACTCTGATCGTTGGTTGGGTTTTTCTTCTGTAGGAGCCTCAGCGTTTGGTGCATTCCATGCATATGGAGGCACAGACAGATGTCACCTGTGGCGGAGACAGCCGTGCCTGTCCAGTTTCTTTTTATTTTTTATCATTATCATTTGTTAAATGTTTTCTGGCTCCTTACGAGTGTCCTGGACGCTGTGCTGGGCACCCAGTGCTGAATAAAAAGTAAGGCTCTCATCTTGGGTGTTTACTTGCTAAATTCTCTGTAGAGGCAAAGGCTCTATATTCAGAAATTTTAGAATGAACAGGAATTAACATTAGCAATGAATTGAATGCAAGAGCCAATGCACTCTGTAAGTAAATCCTTCCCACAAGTCCTTTTAATTTTTATTGGATTATAAATAACTTCCTGGGCCAACAGCCAAGGGAAAGCTGCCTTGAGAGAGCCCAGAACGATTTGCACAATGAAGTTGCTGTGGCTGGAACTTTCTACTGTCCGGCATGAGCCTTCCTCACAACTGATCATTGTAATTTCCATACATAGATTTCAAATTGAGTCACAAGAATTAAAAGCACAGGTTCTGGAGAATGTGGAAGACGATCAACAGGGAAGGAGGTGGGGGCGTGTGGAGATGGTCGTTCACATGTTAACACTGGAGATCTTCCTGCGTCCTCATCACTTTTCCTGCCTACAAGCAACTCACACTATTTCTTCCTTGGCCACAAGATGGAGATTTTTTTTTAGAGAAGAAAGAGGGAAAAAGAGGAGCAGAGTCACCATGAGGTTCACCAGGCGTGGAGTATAGATGAAAGGGCTCAAGAGTGGGGCTGCAGAGTGTGGGTCTGGTGATGCAGGGGCAGACAAGCAGCCCAGGAGGCTCTCCCAGGTAGAGTGCGGGCAGGGACGGGTGGGAAGCGGGCACGGTGCTGACAGCTCTCGGGTCCCCTGTACCATCCTATGGCTGAATATCAGGATAAGTGTCTCAAGTTATGGGCCAGCTCATCCACCTTGTCCATCTCATCTCAGCAGGGTCAGCCCCAGGTGACTGGTGTCCTTGGCTCACATGGTTTATTTGGGTGACTGTCTTTGGAAGACACTATTTAAAGCACTTTACACACATAAACTCATTTAATTCTCTTGACAATCCTATCCTACAAGATGTTTTTAAGTCCCCGTTTTATAAAGGAGGAAACTGAGGCACAGAGAAGCTAAGGTGCTTGCCTGAGGTCACACAGCCTGAGTGGGAGAGCCCCCACGTGCACGCATTCACTGTATTCCCTCTGGAGAGAAGGTACTTCTCCATTCTCCTGATTTCACTCACTGTATTCCCTCTGGAGAGAAGGTACTTCTCCATTCTCCTGATTTCACTCACTGCATTCCCTCTGGAGAGAAGGTACTTCTCCATTCTCCTGATTTCACTCACTGTATTCCCTCTGGAGAGAAGGTACTTCTCCATTCTCCTGATTTCACATTCTCACGTTGTCTTGTGGATGGAGGCTATGGGCCTCCACTGAGGAGAGGCTGTGGCCAAGCGTTCAGAGTCAGGTAGACCTTCACTTTCACACCTGCCCCAAGCAGGGCTGGGCCCACAGTGCCCTAAGGCCAACTGGTAATGGGATCATTGCCCTCCTTGTGGGCAGCAGTAACTGGCTCCTCCCTAGGAGGGCAGAGAAGGTCCTCCTCCTAGGAGGACCACGATCAGGGTGGTGGGTGGGACTCTCCTCCCCAGGTGTCAGCCAAGGGACCTCCCTCCCTGTGAGGCTGTGGGGCAGTGGGCTCCCGCATCTTAGATTGTACGTGTATTTGTGTACGTGAACTGGCATCTGTCTTCCCAGCTGCGTTGTGGGCATCACAAGGCCAGGTTTCATGTGTGTTTTTGCTCACACCTGGCACCTGGCCCTATCTGAGCCAGTTCCTGGTAGACAGTAGGTGCTCAGTAGCTGTTTGTTGCGTAATTGATCACCCCCATTGGAAAGCTCCTGAAAGGTCTGCTCGTGGGACTGGGTGAGTCCATCGCCCTGGGACAGGCTGCTCATGGTGCATTTGTTTATTTTTTAAATGTTTCATTTTTGTGACCGTTATAAGTGAGTATGGTTAAAAAGCAAGATGGACTCACAAGCTTTTCAGGAAAAACACCAGCGCTCTGCCCCGCAGAGTGGGCACAGGGGCTCAGGGTTCTTACAGGGGATTTCCACGGTCTTTCCAGTAACACAGCATTGCTGCTCTTTCCCGCCTGGTTCCAGCCTCGCCGCACAGCATTTAGAGTTCTGGTCTACTTCACGTGCACACAACAGCTGCCTGTGCCATCACCATGGAGCAGTGTCACTGGTGCCTCTGCATCCTGGGCAGCTGCATTGGCTGTGGTGCAACTGCACGTGTTGGTGTGAGGACAGGAGCTGATACTGCAGAAGGAAGGGGGTGACCCGGGGTCTCTGAGGTCCCCACTGGGTACCTCAACCTCCTCCTCTAGCCCTGGCCCTGGGGATCCCCCATCCGCCTCCTCCCGCACTCATCACTGGCCGCTTTGTATCCTTATGGCCTCCTAGGATGGGGTGGAACCTCAGTGTGAACAGGTAACTGGAATTGATAGGCTGGAATGGCATTTTCTTATTAATTTATATATATATTCAAAAGATGCTGGCACTCCTAGTTTGATAATTTGTAGAAAAGTCCTTGCCTCTCTACTTCATCACCTTTATTCCCTTCTCAGTCTGAATTAGTGCATGGACTGCTCTTGTAGAAGCATCCCATCAGGATGGAATCCACGTGTCCAGAGACACACACTGATTGGCTCAGAGCAGGAGCACCTGGTGCCACATGGAGGCACTGCTGAAAGCCAGCACCAGCAAAGAACATGTCCTCTAGAACCGTGAGCAGAACTGAGAGGACAGTGAGGATGAAGTGGGAGAATAACAGTGGCCGCTTGTTCACGAGTCTATAACATCCAGCCCAGTGGCTGGAGGCTCGGCAGACGTGTGGGTGGATGTGGGTGTGCGTTTGTGCTCCATGTGTGAGTTGTGAACATACCACGTGCCCTTTCCACCACTTGGTTCAGTGTTTGAAGAGCGAGCCATGAGTCGGCGTCGGGACAGAATCCTAACAGCAATCCGTTCCTTTTCAACAGAACAGGATGTAATGAAATGTGTCACAGTAAAGGTGAGCTTCACCTCACTCATCTTTGTGCATATGCATGAGTCTACTGAGGCAGGCCACAAAGTATGTTTCCTACCACCGACGGGGATCCAAAACATTTGACAACACTGAATCAGTTGTTACCACCCTATGGGACATCCTTTTAATTTGCTTACACTTACTAGCATACTTTCCTTATAAACTTATAATTTGTATTTGTCATTTATTGTGGCTCTTCATGTGGGAAAGATTTTTAAAGGACAGTTAGATTTTCAAAGAAAACCATGAGCATGCATACCAGTTATGATTTGGCCATGGTTATCCATGCACCTCTCTGTTTTCAATGAGGTTTGGTGGAGGCGGAATGTGTTCCTTGTTGAATACAAAGCTTGGTTAAGTGTTGTTGGGAGGAGACCCCTGAGGGGAAAAAGTCTTTGTGGAACATAGTCCAGCCTGGTCTTCGTGGCTCAGGCAGAGGGAGGAGGATGCACGTGGCAAGCCCTCTGCAGCTCAAAGACACCCAGGGGTTGGCACCAGAGCAGCCAGGACCCCCGGGCTCAGGAGAAGCCAAGTCTTCATCGGGAACCCGGGCTCATGCATTTGGATGGAAAATTGTTGTGGGCTACATAGCCTGGGGCAACACCGTGTCTTCTTACTGTGTCCAGGAAAAATGAAGGAGAACTTGGGTGAGATCATTGATTCAGGGAGAGCTGAGCCACACTCTGTCTCTACCCTGGAGAAGCACACCTGCCTGCCTGGCACCTCTGGGAAGCCTCACTGCAGCCAGTCTGCTCACCTTTCCTTCAGCCAGAGGAGAGGAGATGTCCATTTTCCCAAAGTGGCCAGTGCTCTGGGGTTGACCATTCCCTCTCTGCTGTGTTTCTCATTCTGCTGTGTAGTGGCAAAGGCAGAAAGGAAAGGTATTTAAAAGAGCACCAGAGTCTCTCCTAGGTGATGCTGAATCCAAGAGGGAGAGGTTAAACTGGGAAGGGAATAAAGAAAAGGAAATTCAGGGAGAAGAGGGGTGAACTCCAGGTCAGTGGGCGGCTCTCCACCTCACTCGCATCAAGCCTGGGCAAGGGGTGTGGTGGGTCTCAAACTCCCTCCCGAATCGAACTGTTCCCTCTGGTGAGGACAGTGCTGCCCATCTGTGTGGAGCGGCTGAGCTCACTTGGAGGAGGAGGTAAGGAGCAGAGCCCAGTGTCTGAATGAGATTCCTGTCCACAGGAAATGAGCAAGCACCTGTCCACAGAGGGGGCAGGCCAGGGAAGTGGCTCCACAGTCCCACCTGGAGACAATGCAGTGTCAGGCCAGGAGCGTCCGACTTCCAAGTGGCCCCGTGGGTCCGCGTGTGTGTGTGGACAGGGCCAGCGGCTGTTTTCCGCTGAGACCAGCCTTAGCCAATTATGTAAGTGCCCAGAAATGACATCCATTTAGTATCTTGCTCTGTGGAGGAAAAAGCTCCCCACTAATAACAACACCAACTACATAGCCTCTCAGACAGTTGCAGTAATTTTCACATTATTCCAGACCCATTCATTGTCTGACAGTTTGGTACTTCAGTTATTTTCCTACTTCTGCTTAAACTCTCCCCAAGGGAATAAGCTAATTAGTTTAACTCTTTTTGCACCTGGCTGGTGTGTGTGTTTATGGCTTTGCTTGCAATGTGTAATGACCCCTCCCAGTCTCATTCACTCTTCGTGGTCAGAGGGCCCGAACCTGTGCAGGTGCATGTACTAGAAATATGCAGGAGAGTCCACAAGTCCTGGCTAAGTCCTGAGCCTAAGGAAATCCAGCTGAAAACCAAATTCAGGAGTTGGGGTGCAAAGCTGAGAAGACAGGGGCTCTGGGCTGAGCCAGCAGGTATGCTCACAGCTGGGTGTGAATGAGGCAAGGGCCAGAGACAGCCAGGAGAGGCCTGGAGACCAGAGGCTTCCAGCAGGGAGGGAGGGGGCAGGTGGCAGCGTCTGCAGTGGAGGAAGTGCTGCCCCATGAGAAGCACAGTCCGTCCTGTCCAGACTGCCCAGGGCTGTGAGGGCCCACAGTCCCAGGAGATGTCCAGGCCAGAAAGGGCAGCCTCTTAGCGGCAATGAGGCAGAGGGAGCCTGGCCCCGGGCAAGGGGCCTGCGCACTGCACTCCATGCTCCCAGCTGCGTGACTCCCCCTCACTGACGAACTTATGTGGTGGAGAAGGGCAGATGCTGAAGAGACCCCGGAGGGACATCCCTACTCCAGCGTCACCCTCCCAGGACGGTGAACTGTGCGAGTGAATTCACACACCTGCCTTGATGGTAGGGATGTCCCTCCTCCAGCGTCACCCTCCCAGGACGGTGAACTGTGCGGGTGAATTCACACACCTGCCTTGATGGTAGGGACGTCCCTCCTCCAGCGTCACCCTCCCAGGACGGTGAACTGTGCGGGTGAATTCACACACCTGCCTTGATGGTAGGGACGTCCCTCCTCCAGCGTCACCCTCCCAGGACGGTGAGCTGTGCGGGTGAATTCACACACCTGCCTTGGTGGTAGGGACGACCTAGATGGAATCGGAGGGCATTGGGAGCATTCAGCACAGAGGCTTTCAAACGTGGGGCACTTTCTTTGGATGGAAGCAAAGGGGAAACCCCCCGAAGTCCCCCCGCACGGCTGCCATGCAGGCTCAGGGTCAGGTTCTCCTCCTTCAAGGCTGGAGTGCCTGGGCTCCATCGTCAGCCTCCTTCTCCACCTGCGTTGGTTCCTTAGCCAAAGCCATCCAGTCCGGGCCTGCAGCTGGGAGACAGGGAAGAAGAGGATGTGTGGGGCCCGTGGCACTTGACCTGGGTGACATGAGGGTCACTTCAAACACGGCCAGTGTGCAGCCTCCCAGGTCCCTGAGGTCGGCGTCTCCGGGTCAACCCTTAGTGACATCTCCAGGCCCAGGTGGCCTTGAAGTGTGGACACAGGTGGGCACCACTGGGACAAGCAGCCGTTCCCACACCAGCAGCCAGTTCCCACGCCAGCAGCCAGTTCCCACACCGGCAGTACCCACACCCAGGGAAAGGGAGACCGTGCCCGGGGCTGGCCCCTCGGGACGGCCTAGGCGTGAGTGCCAGTGACATAACCAATTCTGAGGAAATTGCAAAAGACAAGGCATGCACTTTGAGTGGTTGCGTAACAGGCTGTGAAGGGCCTCTGCCTGAAATGCTTGTATTTTTCAGAAAGCCTTGTTACAACCTGCCATAACAAAATTCCGCAGACTGGGTGGCTTACTTCTTCGTGGTTCTGGAGGCCGGAAGTCCAAGACCAAGGTGTGAGTAGGGCTGGTTCCTCCGGAGGCTCCTCTCCTGGGCTTCTGGATGCTGCCCTCTGCCTGTGTCCTCGCCCGGCCGTCCCTGTGTGTGTCTGTCCTAACCTCCTCTTCCTATAAGGACACTGGTCCTACTGGATGAGGGCCAACCCCTATGGCTTCATTTTACCCAACGATCTCTTTAAGACCCCACTGCCAAATGCGGTCCCATTGGGAGGTCCTGGGGGTGAGGGCTGCAGTGTATGAAAGTGGGGGAGACGCAGTGCAGCTGGTGACGCAGCCCCGCAGAGCTGAGCGCGTTGCCCGGCACACACTCGTGCCGACTCAGTGTGCGGCTGGGTTGGTGGCCCCTCGAAGGCGTCTGTTAAATTTGTTTATTTCTAGCATCGCAGAGTCACCAAGAAAGCGAGGCTGGAGCTCCACTCTCTCTGTGGGTTTGTCGTCACGCAGTGCAGCTTTCTCACAGAGTGGATCAAAGACTCACCACACTTTAAAAAAAGGAAGAAGAAAGAAGAAGAAGAAGGAGAAGGAGAAGGGGAAGGACAAAAATTTCAGATAAGTTGACTCCTGGGGGCTGGCGCAGCTCCACGGGACGCCCTCCACAGCTGGTGGCCTCGGCTTCTCCTGAAAAATGCTTCATTCACTCCGGCAGCTGTGCCCTCGGGGGCTGCCACGTGCCTGAAACTGAGGCATGGAGAGCCCATCTCTGCAGCAGAACCAGCAGCAGTGGGTACAGGAGAGCCAGTGACACTCAGGCCCGGGACCACGCCAGCCTCGCCAGGCAGAGACGGAGCACAGAGCCCAGGTGACCTGCACACTCAGGTCACAGAAACAACTGAAGCCCAGGCCCCCAGGCTCAGGCCGGAGACCCCAGCGCTGGCCTTGCTGTTGCAGGAGTGGGTGGGCTTCTTTTCTCCCTGCTGTGCCACACCAGACTCACTGCCCACCGGGGCTTTCGCCGGAGAGAGAAAATACTGAGGTAAACGAGGCCTGCTTGGGCTGTTGAGGTCCCTGAAAGTCCGTGGCTGTAAACTCGTTCAGCAGTTACAACACAGAGCTTGTGGAACATGAGGGAAGCCCCTGGGAGTTGATCGAAACATGTATAAGGAGAGAGTGTAATAATTAATGGTAATAAAATCATAATAATGCCACTTACCACGCACCAGGCACTGTCCTAGGACTCTGCGTATATTAACTCATTTCATTCTCACAATAAACTCATGAAATCTTCCCCAGTTTTCAGTGATGAACCAGAGCCACGAGGGCTCAAAAAATATGCCCCATGTCATCCAACCGGAAGGTGACAGCCAGGATCTCCACCCAGGTGGGCTCCTAGGTCCTGCTTCAGACTTGCACATTAGAAGCCTGTGCAGCTGGTGACAGCTCCCACCTGGCTTTCACGCACCTTTAACTCAACAATAGAGGCAGCCCCTGATGATGAGGAAGGAGATGGGGTGATGGGGTGCAGGCCGTAGTGTCGAAGGGCAGAGGAGGGAAACACCCAAAGGAGGCCGACAGCCACTCTCAGAGGGCGCGATGCCTGGTGGACATGGAATAGCCTGACAACCGGTCGTCTTGGTGCCGGAAATCCCGTCTCATCCTGACACTCAGCCGCGTGACCCTGGCAAGTCACTTAACATCAAAAGCTTTATTTTCCTAATTTATGCATGTGACAGGTTGCATTTTCCAGTGATGGCTACACTGGTATATTTAGTCCAACCGCATGGTCTCCCACAATGCCCCTCCCACTGAGGGGCTCCCCTCCCACTGAGGGGCTCCTTACTGCCCCAACCAATGGACTGCCAATCTAGGTCATGAAATGTGTGGACCCCTGCCTGGCACGTGCACTCTCTCTTTCTCTCCCTCCCCATGACCACAGTGCCGCCTCGCACCCTCGGTCTCTGTCTCTCTGTCTCACCATGTCTCTCCCAACGTTCACCTTTGGAACTCAGCCACCATGTTGTAAGGAAGTCTTGACACAGGGGGATGCCACGTGTAACATTCTAGTGACAGCCCCAGCTGCAGTCCTAGCTGGCAGCTATCACCCCCCGCAAGGCCTGTGGGTGGATGAGCCTTCGGGGGGGTCCAGCCCCCAAGCTTCCTGTCGTCCTGCTGAAGCCCAGACTTCAGGGAGCAGGGTGGAGCCATCTGTGCTGTACCCCATCCCTGTTCCTGACCCACAGAAATGGATAACAATATAATCAATTGGAGTGTAATTTTCTATTTTAGGTATTTGTGAAAATTAAGTGAGACTATGTGAAAAGGTTTTGTAAACCATTATGAGATACACAAGTATTGGACATTATTATGACAATACTTATGAGAAGCGCCTTGGGTTCTTGAGCACGGAGGTCCAGTTGTAGTATTTCTTTCTAAGCTGCTGTTATGGTTTGAATGTTTGTGTCTCCTCCAAAATTCACATTGAAACTTCATCCCCAGCGCGGCAGTAGTAAGAGGTGGGGCCTTTAGGAGGTGGTAGGCCCTGCGGGTTCTGCCCTCATGAATGGGACTAGTAACTTTATAAAAGGGCTGGAGGGAGCTAGCTTGGCCCATTCCTGCGTGGCCCCAGGTCTGAGTGTCACTGGCTCCCCTGCGCCCACTGCTGCGGGTTCTGCTGCAGAGACGGGCTCTCCATGGCTCAGCTTCAGGCATGTGGCAGCCCTGGGGGGCCACAGCCACTAGAGTGAATGAAGCATTTGTCAGGAGAAGCTGAGGCCACCAGCTGTGGAGGATGTAGGTGGAGCTGCTCCAGCCCCCAGGTGTCAACGTATCTGAAATTTTTGCCTGATTTTTGCCTTTCCCTCTTTTTTTTTTAAAGTGTGGTGAGTCTTTGATCCAGTCTGTGAGAAAGCTGTACCCCGTGACGACAAAACCACAGAGATGGTGGAGCTCCAGCCTCACTCTCTTGGTGACTCCACGATGCTATAAATAAATAAATTTAACAGACAACTTCGAGGGACCACCAACCCAGCCCTTTGGTCATGTGAGGACACAGCATTGAAGGCACCATCTTGGAAACACAAAAGCATGTCCTCACAGACTTGGAACCTGCTGGTGTCTTGATCTTGGACTTCCCAGCCTCCAGAGCTAAGACAATAAGTTTCTACTGTGTATAAATTACCCAGTCTATAGTATTTGGTTATAGCAGCACAAATGGTCTAAAACAGTCATGCTGACAGTTTCAGTAGAAATTTGGTAAGGAGAGTCTTGCAAAATCTGTGAGCTCTTAATACATAATATGTTTTCCATCCCCTGTCTCTGAGGTGTTGGTGCCCTACAGCACCTGCTGCTAGTGTGATGGCCACCATCTACTGAGCATCTGTTTTGTACCAGGCGCGAGTAACCTGGAGCAGAGACTTCCCATCATTCCTCAATTGGCAGGATCCCTGTGATTGGATCTTCCACAGAATTGGGTGTCAGAAGCTGCTTAGTTGTCAGGGCGATTTCTCTGCTCTGAAACCTAGGGTGGGGCCATGGCTCACTGTGGAGGCAGAGGACATCCTCCTATACCAAAGCACTGGGGTCCAACGTGGCCTGTGGTGTGAGGCATGGCAGATGCCATACAGTGTGGGGCTTAACTTAGCCACAGAGTTCAGGCAACTGTATCTGATCCTGAAGTGTTATTTTCTCTATATATTACTAGTTTATATACATAAAACTATTAATCCTGATATGGCACTCTTTTTACATGAAAACATTCCAAGAGCGTGAAGTGAATGCGTTTGGCCTCGGATGGAAGGAGAGCGAAGGGACGGAGAATTGACTTCCTGAGTCATGGACTGGACGCCGAATGTAGTACCTGTATCGATCAGATTTCCCCAGGGAAATAAAACCAAGTCTATATCCACATATATCTCAAGGGAGACAGAGAGAGGGGAGGGGAGTGTGAAGAACCCGTCCTGCACAGTTTTGGGGCCTAGTGGGTAAGTCTGATTTTCTGGGCAGCTGGAAACTGAGGCAGGATCAGGCCCTTCCCAGGAGTTTCCTCCTCTGCAGGGGGACCTCGGCTCCCCTCTCCAGGCCTTTCTGCTGACCAGTCAGCCTCCCCACCCCGACGAGGTTATGCAGGATGATCTCCTCTACGACAGGGTAATGGGGGGTGTTCGTCTCATTTACAGAATACGTTCACGGCAGCACCGCGTAACCGAGCATGGTGGCCTGGCCAGGGGACTCCCAAGCCTGACTGTCTCAGTCTACTCTTGGACCTGCCACCCTCCACATTGCCTGAGTCTTATACTCGTCTCCAGATCAAGACAGCAGCAAAGTCACACTGCTGCCCGAAACACAAGTATGCTGCACGCAACTGAAAACATGCTCCCTTTCCCCAGAAGATGAATGTCTGGGTGATGTCCAGGCTTATCCTGGATGTCCTGCAGCAGAAATGAGGGAGGCCTGTACATGAGAGTCGCCCCAGCCGGTACAGTCACCCCCATCTTCGCATGCTGGTTCTGTGGCACAGGGAGTCCAAGGCAGGCCTCACTTTCAGTTCAATGGAATCACTGCTGTGTCTCCTGGTGGAAGCATTTCTCCCTTGGGAACTGACACCTGTTGGCCAGCAGGGGTGTTGGGGACAGGAAACAAAAATGTTGCCAGTGGGTCACTAGGGGTAACACTGAGTGGTGCCACTCTCATTTCCACCCTGTTGATTCCTGGGCCCGTGAATCCCGGCCAGGAGAGACAGCACTACATAAAATCTGATGCAGATTTAAAGCACCTTGGGAAGAACCTTGCCCCAGCCCTGCAAGGGGCTGCCACCTGGCTGGCATGGTAACTGAGTCTTCAAAAGGCCATTCCTCTGTTCCATGAAGCCAGCCACTCCAGGACGGTGGGAACATGGTAAGACTGGGGAATCCGTGAGCGTGGGCCCATTGCAGCCCTTCTTTCCTACAAGGTGAGTTCCTTGGTCAAAAGCAATGCTGTGTAGAATACCATGACAGTGGGAAAGGCATTCTGTAAGTCCTCGGATAGCCGTTTTGGCAGAAGCATTGCATGCAGGGAAGGCAAATCCGTATCTGGAGTAACTGTCAATTCCAGTAATAATAAAGCACTGCCCTGTCCACAATGGAAGTGGTCCAGTGTAACCAGCTGGCTACCAGGCAGCTGGCTGATCATGCCAGAGAACGGTAAAACACCTGGGACTCAGGATTGGGTGTGAGCGTTGCTATAGACTGGGAGAGAGGAAGGAGACCTTTAATACAATTTAAACTTGGAATGGATTGGGTAAGAGCGTTACTGTAGACTAGGAAAGAGGAAGGAGACCTTTAATACAATTTAAACTTGGAATGGATTGGGTAAGAGTGTTGCTATAGACTAGGACAGAGGAAGGAGACCTTTCATACAATTTAAACTTGGAATGGATTGGGTAAGAGCGTTACTGTAGACTAGGAGAGAGGAAGGAGACCTTTAATACAATTTAAACTTGGAAAGATGTTTTCCTTTGAGTGAAGACCACTAAGTGAGGAGGAAGGAGCTTGCAAGCCGCCGGGTCATGCACCACTACCCAGACAGTGTTGTTGCCTGCCCAGCAGCCATTTCTCTCAGGTCTTCTCTGCTAGTGCAGCCTCAGTTTTGCTCAGATACTGGCTGAAAAGTCCCCAACCTCAGAGGAGGCCAGTTCCTGCCTCAAGCCGGGGGATAAACCGTGGTTGCTCAGAAACAGCCATGGGGCTCCCTTTCCATGCCAGTAGGTTAGGCCGTGTGTGCCTGTGTGCCCAACTCTTGCCATAAAGTGTAGGAGAAACTTGGCCAGGGGATGCTATGGAAAATATTTTTCCCAGATGAAAAGGAGTATCTTCCCAGAGAGAAAGCTTCCTTCTGCACCTGTCTCCTACCTTTCTCCTTCAGATGTTGCTGTTTGGAGCTGAGGCAGCCGTCCTGTGACCATCTGTCAACAAAGGTAAGGATAAAAAGACAAGCTCAAAAAGATATTGGCGCGATATTTATCAAAGTTATTTTTAAGAGCAAAAATGAAGAAAGAAATTTTTAAAATGTCCATACAGTGAAATACAATCATAGACATGTTATTGGTAAGAAAATGTTTACGATAATTTATTAGGGGACAAAGGCAGGTCACGAATGGGATGTAGGAACCCATCCTGTGGGTAGGTGGGCGTGTCTGCAAAAGACCATAGGAAAATACATCAATACTGGTCATCTTTGGATGGTAAAATTATGAGTGACATTTGTTTTCTAATTTTTCTTCAATGCATTTGTAATACATTGTGTATATCTCAGTACTGAATTGTAATGTGAAATGTTTTCTTACGGTGTGATATGGTTTGGATCTGTGTCCTCACCCAAATCTCATGTTGAATTTAATTCCCAGTGTTGGAGGAGGGAACTGGTGGGAGGTGACTGGATCATGGGGTGGACTTCCCCCTTGCTGTTCTTGTGATAGTGAGTGAGTTCTCCTGAGATCTCCTTGTTTAAAGGGTGTAGCACCTCCCCACCCACTTGCTCTCTCTCTGCTGCTAGACATGTGAAGACATGCCTGCTTCCCCTTTGCCTTCCACCATGATGATAAGTTTCCTGAGGCCTCCCCAGAAGCCGAAGCCTGTACAGCTCACAGAACCATGAGCCAATTAAACCTCTTTTCTTTATAAATTACCCAGTCTCAGATGGTTCTTTATAGCAAAGCCAATACACAGTGGAACACAGTTAAAAAAAAAAAAGAAAAGAAAAAATAGTCAGTGTTCTTCAAAATGGGACTTTACCTAAAAGTAGAATCACTGTATTATTAGGAATGCAAAAATCTTCAACGTGAGTAGAGGTGTAGTTTCCTGGGGGCAGCCATAACAAATCGTCACAAAGTAAGTAGCTTCCAAGAACAGAAATGTGTTGTTTCTCAGTTCTGGATACAGAGTCAGAAATTAAGCTGTCAGCAGCTGTGCTCCCTCTGAAGGCTCCAGAGGAGAATCCTTCCTTGCCTTTTCCAGCTTTTGGTGGCTCCAAGCATCCCTTGGCTGGTGGCTGCATCACTGCAACCTCTGCCTCCATCTTTACATGGCTTCTCCCTTGTGTCACTGTGTCCTGTCCTCCTAAGGGCACTGGTCATTGGATTCAGGACTCCAAATCCAGGAAGATTTCATCTCAAGATCTTTAACTTGACTCATCCGCAAAGATCCTTTTGTGAATCTTTTGTGAATAAGGTCACATTCATAGTTACTAGGGATTAAGACACACATATTTTTTGGAGGGACATTATTCAACCCAGTAGAGTGGATAATACCAAGTGGCTTTCAAAAGGGACTTTTACTACTGAATTCTCATGACATGAGGTTGTGAGAGTTCCACTTACTCTGTATCCTCACATTTTTTATTGTCAGGTTGTTTAATTTTGTTAATCAGGTACCTATGAATTATTATCTCTCTTTTCCCATTTGCCCCAATAATACTCGCTGGTGGTACTTGTGGTTGCAGCATTTACCCCAGGACACCTTTGCCACCATTATGTTTTTAGTAGTGGTATTTCCCTTTGCAAAATATAATAATTCTTGATTGCTGAAAATGTCAAATCCTAGAAAATGTAGCATTCCTACATGTGATGTTAACACTGTTCTTAAACGGTTGTTGGCCAAAGATTTGTTTGATGAATCCAAGTCTTCCGAAATAGATGATTCTCATGATTCAGATTATTCTGATGTTAGTTTTGTTTAGAAATAATTCCAAAAACAGTTTTTCTATTTGATTTTCATATTGAAACTCAGTCAGATTTGCTTCAGCCTCAAAGAGCGTGTTTATGTAAAAGCAAATGAGCGCTGGCAGTAAGCTGCACTTTTTTCTTTGTAAACAGGAGAAAGGTTAATTCATATTTTTCTGATTGCTAAAGAGATTATCTTCTTTCTTTCTTTTCTTCTCCTTTTGCTATTCATGTTTCTATTCATGTCTTCTGTGAAACACTTGTTCATGTCTTTTTTCCATTTCTATCGTGTTTATTTCTTTTTGATTTGCAGGTCATGTGGCTAACTTTGTCAGGAGGGACCAGTCTTCAGGGCATCTGTAGCATTTTTTATTTCCATCCGTAACGCACCAGTGCTCCCGATGCTCCCCATCCTTGCCAGCACTGAGTGTTTGGAACCTGTTTTATTGCAGGCCTGCTCATAGGCATGCAGTTGTATCTCGCAGTGGCTTTAAGTTGCATCTCCGAAAGGACTAATGATGCTGAATATCTTTTCACGTGCTAAGGTGCTTTCCACATATTCTCTTTGGTGACACGTCTGTTGCCTACTTTTATACTGGTTGCTTATTTCCTACTGTTGAGTTTTCAGAGTTCTTTATAGACTCTGGATAACAGTCTTTCATTGGATATGTGACTTGCAAATATTTTTTCTCAGTCTATAGGTTACCTTTTAAGTCTACTCAGCAGTGTCTCTTGCAAAGGAGAAAATTTTACTTTTGATTAAGTCCAATAATTATTTCATTTGATTGATGAAGTATGCTTTTGGAGTCATATCTACCAGTTCTTTGACTAATCCCAGGTCACAAAGAATTTCTTCTACACTTTTTTCTAAACATTTTATAGTTTTGTGTTTTACATTTAGTCCTAAGATCTGTTTCCGTTTTGTATAAGCTGTGAGTGTCAAGTCAAAGCTCTTTTTATTTAACTTTTTGCATATGGTTATCCAATTGTTCAAACACAATTTGTCGAAAAGACATCTTTTCTTCTTTGAATTGCCTTTGTAACAGTGTAAAAACCCAAATGGTCATGTTTGTGTGAGTTTATTTCTAGACTCTCCGGTGGGCATCCTTTCTGTGACAGCACATATAGATATCCTTTCGGTGATAGCATCCTTTCTGTGATAGCATCCTTTCGGTGATAGCATCCTTTCTGTGATAGTATCCTTTCTGTGACGGCATCCTTTCGGTGATAGCATCCTTTCTGTGACGGCATCCTTTCTGTGACGGTATCCTTTCTGTGACGGTACCCTTTCTGTGACGGTACCCTTTCTGTGACGGTATCCTTTCTGTGACGGTATCCTTTCTGTGACGGTATCCTTTCTGTGACGGCATTCTTTCTGTGACGGCATCCTTTCTGTGATAGCATACTTCCTTCATCACCACATCTTTACAATGTCTTAAAATTGAGTAGTGTGATTCCTCCAACTTTACTCATCTTTTTCAAACATGATTTGGGCATTCTATTTTCTTTGAATTTCCAGATAAATTTTAAAATTTGATTCTCTATATCTATAAGAAATCCATAATTTGGGGAGCTTCCCAGCTCTTAGGATGGATATACTTTGTCTATTCTGGAAAATTCCCCATCTGTCTCCACTTGTTCCCGTAACTATTCTGTAATTATCATCATAAATGTGGCAATCATCCTCACTTGATCCTTAAAGCCTCTTAATATTTATTTCCTATTTTTCTCTTTTTTCTTCCAGAACTGCATTCTGAATAATTTCTTCAACTTTATCTTCCAGCTCCTTGATTCTCTCTGCAGTTGTATCAAATGTGCTGCTTACCCTTTCTGTTGAGTCTAATTTCATATACATATTAAAAAATTCTAGGGCTTTTGAGTGGTTTTGAAATCTTCCTGGTCAATTTTGACAACCTTATGCTGCTTTCTCAGACTTTTAATATCCTCGTGTATTTCCTTCAATGTGTTAAACATTCTTCTTTTCTGTTCTGTATCTAATGCTTTCTGTATCTTCAGTTCTTTGCAGTTGACTTTTTGCCTCACGTCTTATTTCCTGTGTGTTTCTTGGTTTTGATTATGAGCCCATGTGTCTTGGTATTTTATCTTTCATAATTCTTTGAGGATTTAAAGTGAGTTTCTTCAAGGAGGATTTTATTTTGTTTCTTCCAAGAACTCAGGAGTACTATCAATTCTGGGATGCTTCAAGTTAAATTTTTGTCTTTCTTAACAATCATATAGTTAGTGTACATTTGGACCTCAAAGCCCGTGAGCGCAGGCTTATGGCTGGGAATTCTGAGGGAAGACTTTACTTGCACTGCTCTCAGAGCCAAGGCTGAGGCCACCATCAGTGGGCAGAAGTTTCTGTTCCACTGATTCGGGTACTGTGCCCTGGCCGCCCCGCACAGGCCTCAGGCTCCGTCTCCTTCGAGAGTGAGGTCCGCTGAAAGTCGGATGACCAGGACCATGGGTGCTAGCAGATACCTCGGGGAAGAGTGCCAGTTTAAATGCACCTTTATTTTCTCAACGTGTTTCTGACTCTGATAAATTCTGTTATTTTCCCTCAAACTCGGCCATTCAGTAAAAGAATTTTTTTTCTTTTCATCTATCTGGCATGTTAAGTGTGGTGTACCAAAGCTAGTTGTTTTTGAAAAGCAAATCCATCGAATTACTGAAAATAAAGTCCAGGCACCTTGAACTTTAAAATTGTAAACACACCCATCATTGCTCCATAAGTCCTGGCAGATAATGTGACCTAACCTTCCTCATTTTGTAGATAAACTAACTGAGGCTCAGACCTACAAAAGTTAAGCAGGAAAGAACACAGCGATGGGATGGAAGCCACAGCCCAGAGCCCTGGGCCCCTGGCAGGACACTTCCTGTCCCCCTCTGCGCCCTGAGCAGCCAGTTTCCAGTTCAGGGCTTTGTAGCTGAGCGCGCAGCCCCAGCCTTGCTGACATAGCACCTTCGACCCAGGCTTTGCAGGTAGCCGGCGGCGGGGAACAGTGGCCAAGTCCCCCGGGGGGTCTGGTGAGCAAGGGCAGGGGGAGATTCGTGACAGGAACGATGCCCAGGGTGAAACAGAAGGGGCGATAAGCAGTGCCCCGCCAGCCCACGAGCCACAGGGAGCCACACGGAGACGTCACGCGGCACACGTGGAGTCCCACACCCACGTCGCACAGAGTCCGGGCTCTACACATCTGCAGGTGGCTTGCACATCAGGAAAACCAGTGAAGCCCCCGCGGAAGGAAGCCTTTCCTAGCTGCGCGTGCCGGTTGGATACAGCCCGAATTAGTGCTATTTTCCAACGTGAAGTTCTGTTTTGGCCGAAATAAGAAAGCGACCCACACTCGGAAGGAAGCACCTGAGACTCGTGTCCTTCCTCGTTGGCTCGTTGGTGCTCGGCGGCGCCAGACCGCTGTCCGAGAGACGACATCTCAGCGGACACAGCGCATCTGTGTGGCCAGCACAGATACAGAGAACCCCGGAGTAAGCCTCCTCCCGCCTCCCCAAACCCACACCCATGCCAGCGTTTCCGCGCTCACCCCGTTGTCCCTGCAGGCCCTGGCTGGGCATGAACTGGGCGCCTTCATCCCAGCGCCGTGTCCGGGTGCGCGCCGAAAAGGCCGAATTCCGGTTTCTTGCAGCCAGCAGGGGGGCCTTGGCTTTCCATCAAGATTTTTTCCCAGGAGGATATTATCTCACGTGAACAAAACTCAGGAGGAGTCAGAATAGGCTCCGGAAGAACTCTGTGCTCTCTGACTTTTTAAAACCTTACAGAAACAGCAGCCCACCCCAGGCTCCTGGTGCTGTGAAGGCTGATTCCGATTCCCAGGAGGTGGGCAGTGTCTCCTGGCGTCTGTTTCTGCCCCTGCTAATAGGGCTGGATGCGGAGCTTTTCTGACCTGAGGGAAGATCAGGGAACCCACTACTAATTCACTCAGGTGCCAGCGACCCAGGATCTTATCCATAAAGACTCTAGAGTGCTGAAGCAGCTCCCAAGAACCCGGAAAATGCAAAATAAATTTCTCCTCCCTAAAAATAAAAAGTAATGCAGAAGACAGGCACTTTTAATATCAACATGAAAACAAAGCACCAGTTAATAAAAATATAAATCTTACATTAAATCACCACTCTTAGTTGAATTTGAGGAGTGTGGTAGCAGACTTGCTGAAAATATTTCTTCCCTCCTAATTTTTTGATACCTTTTCCAATTTATCCCAGATCTCATCTCTTCCACACAGCCTGCTCCGTCCTTTCTCAAGAGTGAAATGATGGCTCTCCTTCATCTCCACCTTTCACAGTCTCTCTGCCCTGCCCACTAGGGGAAGAGTGCCTGGGCACTACAAGAATTTAGTACCAATTGCCCTTCCTTCCTTCCTTCCTTCCTCTTTCCCTTCCTCTTTCCCTTCCTTTTTTCCTTCCTTTCTTCTTTCCTTCTTCCTTCCTTCTTTCCTTTCCCCCTTCCTCCCTCTCTCCCCTCCTTCCCTGCCTTCCTTTCTCTCTTCATTCCTTCCTCCTCCCCCCTCCTTCCCCTCTTCCTTCCTTCCTTCCTTCCCTTCTTCCCTTCCTTCCTTCCTCTCTCCCTCCCTCTTTCCCTTCCTTCTTTCTTCCTTTCTCCCTCCCTCCCTCTCTCCCCTCCTTCCCTGCCTTCCTCTCTCTCTTCATTTCTTCCTCCTCTCTCCTCCCTTCCCTCCCTCCCTTCCTTTCTTCCTTCCTTCCTCTCTCCCTCCCTCTTTCCTTTGCTTCTTTTTTCCTTCCTTTCTTCCTTCCTTCTTTCCTTTCTCCCTCCCTCCCTCTCCCCTCATTCCCTGGCTTCCTTTCTCTTTATTCCTTCCTCCTCCCTCACCTCCCTTCCTCCCTTCCTTCCTTTTTTCCTTCCTCCCTCCCTCCCTCCATCCCTTCCTTCTTTCCCTCTTTCCTCCCTCCCTCCCTCTTTCCCTACCTTCCTTCCTTCTTTCTTTACTTTTCTTCCCTCCTTTCTTTCTTCCTTCCTTGTCTCCCTCTCTCCCTCTCTCCCTCTCTTCCCTGCCTTCCTCTCTCTCTTCATTCCTTCCTCCTCCCTCCCTTACGCCCTCTCTCCCTCCCTCCCTCCCTCCTCCCTGCTCCTGCCTCCTCAGCACCCTGTTTCCCGGTTCCCTGGTCCCCTGGTTCCCTGGTCCCCTGGTTCCCTGGTTTCCTGGGTCCCTGTTTTCCTGGTTCCCTGTTTTCCTGGTTCCCTGGTTTCCTGGTTCCCTGGTTCCCTGGGTCCCCTGGTTTCCTGGTTCCCCTGGTTTCCTGGTTCCCCTGGTTCCCCTGGTTCCCTGGTGCCCTGGTTTCCTGGTTCCCCTGGTTCTCTGGTTCCCTGATACCCTGGTGCCCTGGTTCTCTGGTGCCCTGGTTCCCTGTTGCCCTGGTTTCCTGGTTCCCCTAGTTCTCTGGTTCCCTGGTTTCCTGTTTCACTGTTTCCTGGTTCCCTGGTTTCCTGGTTCCCTGGTTCCCCTGGTTCCCTGGTTCCCTGGTTTCCTGTTTCACTGTTTCCTGGTTCCCTGGTTTCCTGGTTCCCTGGTTCCCCTAGTTCTCTGGTTCCCTGGTTTCCTGTTTCACTGTTTCCTGGTTCCCTGGTTTCCTGGTTCCCTGGTTCCCCTGGTTCCCTGGTGCCCTGGTTCCCTGGTTCCCTGGTGCCCTGGTTTCCTGGTTCCCCTGGTTCTCTGGTTCCCTGATACCCTGGTGCCCTGGTTCTCTGGTGCCCTGGTTCCCTGTTGCCCTGGTTTCCTGGTTCCCCTAGTTCTCTGGTTCCCTGGTTTCCTGTTTCACTGTTTCCTGGTTCCCTGGTTCCCTGGTTTCCTGGTTCCCCTGGTTCCCTGTTTCCCTGGTTCCCTGGTTCCCTGGTTCCCTGGTTCCCTGGTTTCCTGGTTCCCCTGGTTCTCTGGTTCCCTGATACCCTGGTGCCCTTGTTCTCTGGTGCCCTGGTTCCCTGTTGCCCTGGTTTCCTGGTTCCCCTAGTTCTCTGGTTCCCTGGTTTCCTGTTTCACTGTTTCCTGGTTCCCTGGTTTCCTGGTTCCCTGGTTCCCTGGTCCCCTGGTTCCCTGGTGCCCTGGTTCCTGTTCCCACGGCTGCCGCATCTATTATGCCCGCGCCCCTCCTGTTCCATGAAGGTAATGGGTGCTCCTCCTCTCTTGATCTTTCTTTGCTCTTCTCTTCCAAAAAAAGTGGGGGGTGCATATTAAACAAACACTCATCACAGTCTTCATTATTTTGGCAAGGAAAACAAATGGAAATCAAGTCATCTTTTTCCTGTCAGGGTGCTGATGAAGGAAACGTCAATAAACCGAACAACGTACTGTGTGACTGCCTGGCTTGAGATCTTCGAGTACAATAAAATAAAATAAAATAAAATAAAATCCTAACAGGGAGAAGAGTTTCATCATGTTCTGTTTCAAACTCCAGGCTACACTTTCTTGATGCTACCCAGTCCTCACCTGACTAACACGAGCTGAATAAGAATGGACATTGGCATGCTCAGGATCTAGAGGCAAGATCCCAGCAGCCCGATGCCCTCAGCCCCAGCCCCAGCCCCAGCCCCAACTCCCTCATGTCATGCAGCCACACACAGCCCCACACAGCCCCACCGCCTTGACTACAGGCATGGTCAAGGCACGAATGGTTGATCTCAAATATCTCCAGGCATTGTTACTCACCGAGAGAGCTTGGACACTCACGTGCAAAGTCAGAGACAGAGAGAAAGACAAAGGGGTAGGGGGAGATGCTTTTGAAAGAGCATTCAAGGATGTTCTGAGGAAGACATCCAAGCATGCAAGTGGCCTGTTAGCTCTGATGTGACCTATACACTTGCTTCAGCAGGAATCCACACAGGTCCAAGCATCAAGTGACCTGTTAGCCCTACTGTGAACTAGTACACTTGTTTTACCAGAAGTCACACAGGATCCTTAAAGCATCCTCATTCTTTCTCCGTACAGGTTCTGGATGGAGGTCTCATGAGGGATTCGGGCAGAGGCTGATGAAAACATAAAACAGGCCAGTCTCCAGATTCAAGGGAGAGCTGGAGACAGCATTCATAGCTTGACCAGGCAGCTTTGACCAGGTGTGACAAAGGAAGCCCAGATGTCCCAGTCTATTCATGTTTCTATCACAAAATGCCTTTGAATTAGTAATTTATAAACAATAGAAATTTATTTCTTATCGTTCTGGAGGCCGGAAAGTCCACGATGAAGACACCAGCTGGTTCCCAGCCGGTGGGTGAGGACCCAGCCTCTGCTTCCAAGATGGCACCTCTGGGCTGCATCCTCACGTAGGGAGGGGGTGGGAGAAGAAAAGGGGCTGGGCATGCCCTTCAGCCTCCATTATAAGGCACGGATCCTGTTCACGAGGGAGGAGCCCGCATCACTCAGCCTCCTCTCAGAAGGCCCCACCTGTTAACATCACACGGGGCTTAGGTTTCACTGTACGTATTTGAGAGGCACCTACATTCAGACTATAGCACAGGCCAGCCCCCCACTGCTTCCCATACTGCCAGAGGCTGGGGCAGCTCCCCGGCCACCATGTTCCGCCAGCAGGATGGCTCCTGTCAGCCAGGTGTGCGGGACCTGGGCACACTGGCAAGAAGCAGGGAGGGCAGCCCAGACCCAGCCGCCCCATGGCTGCTCCGGGAGACTGTGTCCCTGTTGGAGACTGTGATAGATCCACGATCCGTCCCAGCCATTGCTCCATCTGTCTTGTCCATCAACCCCTCTGCCAGTATCATATGGTAAATAGTACCATGAATACTACAGTTCCAGGCACCCAGGTCACATCAGAGAACTGACGAGTTAGAGTTTAACGACACAGTTTGTAGCTGGGGGGGCTGCTTCAGAGCTGATGACTGGGTGGCATTGCTGCCTGGAGCTGGTGACTGGGTGGCATTGCTGTCTGGAGCTGGTGACTGGGTGGCATTGCTGTCTGGAGCTGATGACTGGGTGGCATTGCTGCCTGGAGCTGGTGACTGGGTGGCATTGCTGCCTGGAGCTGGTGACTAGGGTGGCATTGCTGCCTGGAGCTGGTGACTGGGTGGCATTGCTGTCTGGAGCTGGTGACTGGGTGGCATTGCTGCCTGGAGCTGGTGACTGGGTGGCATTGCTGTCTGGAGCTGGTGACTGGGTGGCATTGCTGTCTGGAGCTGGTGACTGGGTGGCATTGCTGTCTGGAGCTGGTGACTGGGTGGCATTGCTGCCTGGAGCTGGTGACTAGGGTGGCATTGCTGCCTGGAGCTGGTGACTAGGGTGGCATTGCTGCCTGGAGCTGGTGACTAGGGTGGCATTGCTGCCTGGAGCTGGTGACTAGGGTGGCATTGCTGTCTGGAGCTGGTGACTAGGGTGGCATTGCTGTCTGGAGCTGGTGACTAGGGTGGCATTGCTGTCTGCAGCTGGTGACTGGGCGGCATTGCTGCTTGGTTGTTGTCAAGCCTCCCCAAGGTCTAAGGTCACCAGCAGGAATGCCCCGGAAGGAGAGGGCATAACTGTAGTTCTAGGAGTCTGAGGCCGTTTAACCTTTTCTCCATCATTTAGCAGCTTAGAAATTCATGTCATTCCCCATCTAGGCCTCAATTTCTCTACCTGTAAAATGGGATGTTTGACCCGACTTCCCTTTACCTGTGAAATCCTAGGACCTCATCATGTCACTTTCATGCAGCAGAGGCAGCGACCACTGGAGAGGGACACTAAGGACTGCTCCTGGATCTTGTTTAAACACAAGGAGCTGGGTTTCGAAGACTCCACGAGGGACTTTAGGACCCTACGTTACTTATCGACATAAAAAGAGGAGAAGATAAAGCCTCACAATTCTTCCTCCCACTTCCTCAGGTGGCCAATGCTGCTTTTATTGTGGAATGGGTTTGCCACAAAGCCTCAGGCTGATAGATAAGACTCGGGTCTCTGAAAAATGACAGCTTGACATCAAACCAACAAAATCAATTTCCAAATTGATTAAAACCATTCTCAAATAAAACTCCGCTGGCTTTTTCGAATCCCATTGTAAAAGGTCATCTGGGAAGTAAGCACCATATTTGTTTTAAGTTAGCAGAAGCCCGCAGCGCACTTGAGGCCCTACAGTTTCGGGGCCAGGCTGGGCTGACTGGGCCCACACACGCCTCCGCCCTCACCACAGCCGCCAGCTCCAGGGTGCCCACCAGAGCCAGGGCGGGAAGCCACCTCCAGGCTGGCCCTTCGTCTTGGCTCTTTGAAAACCTTTGGGTGAGGTGTGTCTCTTGGATCAAATAAACAATCAACAATTGGCTGCTGTCATTAAGGGAGAGGGTTAGTGCTGAGGGAGACATATCCTGGGGGCATTTTGTGTGATTATGGGGTGATTTATGATTCATAGAGATCAAGCGATAAACGTACTGAAATGCCAAGAAAGAAAATTGGAGAGAAAAATTGCTACAAATGTTATTCTTATTTTTTAAGGAGATTTATTTTATTTGCAAGATTTGTAATTGATGCAAAGCCTGTAAATGCAGGTGCCCCACTGTCAAATCCTCTCCCTTCCAGACCCTTCGTAAAGGCGTGACCTGCTTCAAGAAACACGATATTTGAAAATATGAAATCTACACATCGAGACACATTAAGAGTGACTGTTCGCATGACAAAAGGGTTTGCCACTTTACAAAAGATTCATCCCAGTGTTTCTTAAAGAACCATACAACTGTGATGTATTTTAAATGTCTTTCAATTAAAAGAATTGACTCATGCTCAATTTTGCTTCAACATTATTTCAACTTTATTTCACCTTAAATATCATACAATAAAAACTTATTGTACTGATTTTTATCCCGGGGGAATGTGTCTTCCCCTAGGTTTGATGGAGGAGTCTGGCTCTGAAGGTTGCACAGCAGAAAACCAGCTCTCATTCTATTCTGCCATTAACTGGTAGCAGTGAGCACGGTCCCTTGGGCCTCAGTTTCCCCATCTGTAAAACAGGGACAAGCTACTTGCCCACTAAGCCTATGTTTCAAAATGATCATGGGTTTAAAAACACAGAAAACAAAGGCGCCCAGTGCTTACCAACATGAGGTGTTAATATTCTGTCCCCTGGCCACATCTTAAACAGCCCACCAACCCAGGATGGCTGCTGGACCAGTCCCGGGCAGCGTTATTAAGCGCCTCCAGCTACCTTCAGGCTGTTTCCCTCCTTGTCCATTTCCGACTTCAAGGCCTTCATGCCGGGTCCCGTTTCATCCTCCCTCTGAAACGAGGTTAACAGGAAAGGATCCAGTGCCTGTCCGTTCACCTCATGCCACCCAATGTCCATTGATGCCAGGACACCAGGTACTGAGCTCTTCCCACAGCCTGCCCAGGCTTCCACTGGCAATCGGGTCCCACTGTGCAGATGAACAAACAAATCCCCCATCTCAGGGACTGCCCACAGTCACACAGCCGGGAACACACAAGGGGCCTTTAAAGTTAGTCTCCTCTGCTGACTCCCATGCTCTGCCCGCAAGTGAAAGGCCTTCTCCACCATCACCGCACCGAGGGGGAAACAGAGGCCATCCCGGGGCAGTTGGCCACCCCACAGCCTGTGTGCACATTGGAAGCTGGGCCTGTCATTTGTTTGGGCCCACGAGAGGGACACGGGGCAAGGGAGATGATCTCCCCACTGGAGACCTGTGGCATCATTCAGGCCCTTCTCTGCCCTCTCAGCCAAGGCAGGGTGGCACCAAGTTCTTCACCTCTGAGGGGTGAACTGGCACAGACACCTCTGCAAGCCAGAGCCCTTCCTCCCAGGTCTGCAGTGGCCAGCACCCCTCTCATTTGGTGGTTGGGTCACAAATGTTCTTCCTAAGAATCTCTGCCACCAATGAAGTGTCCCGGACAGCCGCCGTGAAAGAGACCCAGGGCAGGCTTCTGGGGAGGGGCTGCCCCAAAGGGACCATGAGTCCCTGAGGGTCTTGGTGGATGAGCTCAGCTGCAGATGCCAGGCCAGGGGAGCGTGAGCCAGTGCTCAGGAGCTCTGGATGCTTCTAAGAAGGGGCGTCTGTGCAGAGATGCGTTTCTTTGCGTCGGCATGAAGGGGAAAGGGCAAGCGGAGACCACCGTGGTGTGCCATGCTCCAGTGTCCAGAGGACCGTCACATTGCTCAAATCCGCAGCCAGGTGGCACCTCCGCAAGCTGGGCGTGTGATGCGGTGGCGTCTTAGTGACAGTTGGCTTGGCTCCTGGAGGGGACACTGAAGGGTGAAGTGGGGGCTTGTCCAGATTGCTGCCCCTCGCCCACCCAGCACGTCCATCTCCATTCCCCCATCCCACCTGGCACAGGGAAAGCTGAGCTGCTGGAAACACACTGTCCTCAAAGCTCCCTGGCCTCAGCAGCATTAGCCTGGGTCTCGGGCGGTCCTCGAGACTCTGAACTGCGAAGGGACGCAGAGGCAGGGCTTCCACTCACAGGCTGGCTGTCCACTGGCCGCCACTCACACGGGACACGCGGACCACAGGGGTGCCTTTGATCTTCACTCCGCAGCTCCCACATCTGAGTCCTGGGCACTCACCCCTAAAAATCCTCCTCTCTAAGCAACCAGCGAGGATTCCATGGATGACAAAGGGGTGGGGCGGTGTGGAGAAGGTACCACCTCCCACAGCCTCCACTGCAGGCGGGAGCTTTGCTGCAGCACAAAGGACCCGAGGGGCCTGCCCTGCTGGAGCCGGGCCCACCTGACCCCAAGGACCCCGTGGCAGAGCCGGGTGTGGGGGTCGCCATTCATCCTAGAGCTTCCGTCCCAAATATCTCTGCTCAACTTTTTCCTTAGCTTCCCTGCTGACCAAGCATCCCTAACACATGCCTGTGTATCCACACCAAAAAGCCCACTGTGTGCCTAATGTCGCTTCACGAAGGCTGTGGGGCCTTCCAGAAGAAATGGAAGTAGCTATGCAGGCTGAGCAGGAGTGGGCTCCCATGGAAGGGATCGCAGAGAGGCCTCTGGGAACGGAATGGGTGAAGATCCACGCACTTGAGAGAAATCACTGCCAGCAGGAAGAGCAAGTGGGTCCCTCCTGCTGGCCTCCTTGTCCAGTCCTTTCTGCCAAGAAGACAGGAAGCACAATGCTTGTCCTCTGTCGTTTTATCAGCAGTGTCCCCAACGTGAGGACGTAGCAGGCAGAAAACAGGGGCTTTGTGCAGTGAAGTCCTGAGGCTCAGGGGAGCCGCGATGTACTGGGGAAGTGCCTGCCAGGGCTGTGCAGCTGCTCTGAAAACTCAGCAAATTCGGAGTCAGTGATGGACAAACGCCCCCGTGAGCAACAGAGCTGTCAGGCCCTGAGCACACTTTCCTTAGGGGACCATGCCCCCGGGCAGCACCCACGAGCTGCTGAACACACCACACCAAAGACTGGGATTCCGCACAGCCCCGCGGGGCATGCCAAGGGCAAGTCCAAATCTACGTGTGAGTGAGGGGACCTCCACCCTGCCCTGGGTTAAACTAACAGCTAAAACACACACAAACACAGACACATGTACATAAGCACACGCACACATATGCACATGCATACATGCACACAAGCACATGTACATATATACAAACACACATGTGTGCCCATACATACAACATGCATGTGCATGCATAACACAAGCACACACACATACACATGTGCACACACATATATGCACAAGCACAAACACGCATGCATGCAATCACATGTGCCCCATAAGGCAACATATATGTGCATGCACAACACACACACACACATAAGTGCACACCTGCATATGCACAGCACACACATGGGCATGCACTAGTGCACACATACACATGCATGCACAAATGGGCACACATGTGTGCACACACAAACACACATGAACACACTATGCCCTGTGGCTTCCTTTTACAAATGTTGCTGCACTGGGAGACCACCTTCTTCAACTTCCTTTAAAACACCACCCAGAAATACTAAGAAAATCCCCCTCACAGAAGGTGATGGCCCTATTGATTAAAATAAAATTCGATGGAATTATTTTGGAGACATGTCCTTCATCAGTTAAAACGTATGTTAAATTCATTTGATGGTTTCAGAACAGACATTAGGAGTCGCTGGGGAAGCCCTGTTACAAATGAAATCTCTCAAAAGCCACATGTGGCTCCTTCCCTGTGTACTGCTCTTCCTCCTGTCGACACGGCACACGCACACACACAACTAACACACGCACACACGTGCACGCTGTCAGATGTTGCAGTGCGCACTCCATTTCCACATTCGTGCTTTGTAAGGTCTTCCTTTCTGCTTGGCTGTGGCGAGGCTCAGATGCGCAGCTGGCCTCCAAGCTGTGGGTGAGCTGTCCAAAGCCCCGTGCCCTCCAGGAGCTGGAGCTGCCGTTTTGCATCATTTTTTTCTGTTTCCACCGGTTCTTCCTCTCTCCTTCTCTAACCACACAATGTGTAAATACCCCCGGACCGTGCATTGCCTGTTTATTATGCTGCCTCTGAAACACAGATCCCATTATGTGGGGAGAAATGAAAGGAGAACCTGCACGGATCTATTTTTAGCAGGTGGTTGGAATACTATGAATTTTAGGGTGTTTTGCCTCCCTGCCGCTCCTTAGCCCCTTCAATCTTGTCAGCTGTAAAATGGGTCTCTGTTTAACCCCTCATGGATCCTCATGGAGATGAAAGGTGCGCTCATGAATTACTGGTGCTGACAGCCCAGCAAGGCCTCGCCGCAGGGGGTCCCCTTTGTTCCGTCCACTCTGACCTCCCGCGCCCTGTCTGTCTGTGGGAACCGGACCAGAAGAATGTGGGGAGGAGTCAGGAGCACAGAAGCGGCAGGCCCGCTCCTGGCCAGGGAGAGCTGCCATTCTTCTGCTGCAAATATTCTGACCTCATCTGGGGCACACCTCCACCCTGATGCGATCCATCGGTGACCTCCTTTGTGCTTTGCAAACCGAGACAATAGGTTCTGCTCCAGAATCGTCCACACAAGGGCAGGAAGGGTGCTTTTCCTGAGCGCAGAAGTGTGTTTCATTTTCTTGTGTGTGTGGGAAGAAAGTGGCTATGCGCTGAACCCTGCTCTGAGGAGGGGAAATCAGAGCTGGAAGTCCGGCGGGAAGCAAGTCTTCACAATGCACAAAGATCATTTCAGGTTAAAGCCAAATCATAGTTGAGAAGTGACCTGTTGTTTCAAAGGAATGAGGCACCAAGCCTTCCAGCGGGAGTAGAGATTCGTTCAGCAGTCGCATCTGATTTGCAATAAAGAAAGTTCAAGGAAGTATTAAAAGCCATGAATGAACCATCTGTCCAACCTGAGAAAGTGCACCCGCAGAGGGAAGAGGGTCTCTCTCATCCTCTAAGCACCTTGAGGCCGCCCTCACCATCCCCCGAGGAAGTGCCGGAACACACAAGCTCATCAAGTTTCCTAGAATAATGAAAAGCGTTTCCGAAAATAACCTGAGGAAAACAACATTTGGTAACACTGAAGTTTGGAAAAGAGAAACTGCAACACAGTGTGAATTTATTTCGTGAAGTTTCTACTTCATAAGAACACATGTTTTAAGTTCAAATAACTAATTCGTGTGTTTGTGTTCATTTATTTGGAATACTAATTTAAAAAAATCCTTGTCAAGGCAGAACAGTACCAATGACAATCCCCAAATTAATAAATAAATAGGAGCTTCAGATGATTTAATACAGAGCTTTCAGACAACAAAAGGTCACTCTCTGTTGTGAGAGCAAAATGTCCTTTTCTCCCCTTAAAATAAAAAGGTGTTTTAAAAAATTAACTATAAGTCACTTTACTTTAAAAATAAGAATGCAGCCATGGCCCTGGGTTCCTCAGGAGAATAATCATGTCCCCCGTGTCTGTGGGACAGATAATGGGTGATCGACATGCACTCTGCACCAGGAGTGGTTAGAAGATCCGCCGAGCTTCCTTACTGAAAGTGGCTGCTGCGGGCAAGTTCTGTTTCCGCCGAGCACTCTTTGTGTTGCCAATAAACAGCATAATTCTAGTCTGCTTACAGGTACAATTTAGAGAGAAATTGAGTGACGAAAGGCGAGGTGATTTCTTCCAGATGCCTGCTGGCGGAGCAGGACGCACCTGACAGATTCCCGGTTCACACTTTTATTTTGTATGAGAAAAAAGCAGGTTTTAATAAAATTTCTGTGTGTAAATAGTTTTAAAACTAAAACCACTATTCCCACCCATAGTCTATGTTCTTGTTCCAAACGCTCTTCTGCTACAATGGCAGTTTTGAAGGCTTTGTTCTATTACTTATAATTTGTCACAAAAAGCACAAGGCAGTGAGCTTAGTTTTGCGTAGGAGAAAGGCAATTATCTCGCATATTTTCCGGAAAACCTCTAAAATAATCTTTAAAAGTTTATGCCTTGTTTTATGAAACTTAAAATACAGAGTACAGGAGTGTATTATTCTCTAACAAAACTCATTTTTGGAAGGTTTTGCAAATATATCATCATGAACAGTTTTCCTTTTTAAAAAAAGATTCAGGAATTGTATTCATCCACATTAAATTTTCTTGTACTTCTTCAAACTCAGGAGAAGTTGCAAACATTATTTTTTTTATCAATGCTACTTCTATTGCAGGAGGTAATTTCTTAGGTTTACTGTTAAAGAGACTAGAAATACTGAATGAAACCGAAAAATGCACCCTTAACATTTTGCTACTGAAGCTTCTTGTTGGTTTTTTTTACTGGTTGTCTTTCTCAACATAATCTCAGAATTTCAGTGTTCAGAGCTGCTATCTATACACGGGAAAACAAGTTTTAAAATTCAGGGACAGAGAAAAATAGAAAAATAAAGATAAACAATAGAATTAGACAAACTAGACGTTTCTTTCATTGATGATGCAGGTTTTCTTCCTTTTTTATTTTTTATTTTTTTATTATACTTTAAGTTCTAGGGTACGAGGCCAGGGAGAAGGAGAAGCCACCCTGAGGAAGGTGCGGAATGTCGCGTGGAGCCCGGCTCTCTGCCTTTGAAGCAGGATTTTCATGCACTCGCCAGCATGGCTGGCTTTTCAGACTGGCCAGATTTAACTCGGGACCGTTGTATAGAGGATCAGGTTTGAGCCTGCCTTCCAAAGAAAGCAGAAGTCTCCAGAAACAAAGCCTCCCAGATCCAGCTTACAGGCTGATGGCTGTGAAGGAAGAATTTGAAGGGCAATTAAGTGTGCTGTGAAACATAGCAAGAAAGGCATTAATTCCTCACTCTCTTGCTCGTTAATCTACTTTTGTGCTGACTTTTCACTAGTACAGTTGGGGTGCCCTTGTCCACAGCGGCGTTTCTAGAGGGCTTCTAGGCATCATCCCCACAGATTTTCTAAGCGTCATATTTAGGTAGATGATATCATTTCAGAGCCTTTGATATCTTTGGGGATTTTTTTATTCAAATGAACTGAAGTGTTAGTTTTAAGGGCTTTTTCCATGCTGAAAATGCCTCTGTTTTTGGGTACCCACCCAACTTCCCCAGAAAGTCATCCAAATAAAGTGAGACCCCATGGAAAGTAGGGAGGAAATGAGAGGGGGTGCGGGGTAGCGGTCAGAGAAGAGGAGGCTACGCACAGCACGGAAAGGGAAGGCAGCAGCCACATGGACCTGGGCCCACGGCTGGGCCCTGAAGCCTGCAGACCGTCGTCTCTTCCCCTTTCACTTTCTGGGTTTCATTTCACGTCCAGCAGATGGTGTGAAATTCCGGGTCATCGTAAATGGACAAAGAATATTTTTAAATACTCCAAGGAAAGCCATGGTTATGTTATTTTTTTCAGTGTTATTGGTCACCCTTTCTGGGAAGAATTCTCACTATAAACGTGTAAGTCTCACCGACACCGACAGCCCTGCGTGCCAATTCAGAGGTTCTTGTCTGGCGCCCTCACCCAAAGAAATGTTACACTCTGCAGCTTAATTCCCATCCCAGCTTCGCCGACCACCTCCCGGTGGCGTCTCCATCTGTAACTTCCTTTCCCAGGCTGGACTGCGTCCCTCTAAAATCCACAGTTGAAGTCCGAGCCCAGGCAGCTCAGAATGAGGCTTCACAGTTCTTCCCTGGCACTCGAAGGAGACTGGTCCAAGGAACCCCTCAGGTGTAAACCCATGGATGCCCAAGGCCCTTGTATAGAATGGCATGGTTTTCCATATAACCTGTGCGCCTCCTCCTGTGTGCTTTAAATCAGCTCTGGAATACTTACAGTACCTAATACAGTGTACATGATGTGTCAATAGTTGTTGCTTTGTGTTAATTTTTTATCTGTATTATTTTTATTGTTGTTAGTATGTTCGATCTGCAGCTGGTTGAATCCATAAATGCAGAACCTGGGGATAAGGCGGGAAGTGTATTTGGGCATAGGATTGCTGCAGAGGTGATTCATGGAGATGCGGTCATAGTGGAGTAGGATGGGCCCTAATTCAATATAACTGGTGAATTCATACAAAGAGGAAATTGGACACAGAGGAGAAAACCATGTGATGTGGGAGGCAGAGGTTGCAGGGGTGCAGCTACGAGCCAGGGACCACCAGGGACAGCAGGCAGCTCCAGGAGCTGGGAGAGGCTGGGGTGGACACTTGGAGGCCCCACAGGAGCTGGGAGCTGGGGGAGGCTGGGGCAGACCCTCGGAGGAGCTGGGAGCTGGGGTAGGCTGGGGCAGACCCTCGGAGGAGCTGGGAGCTGGGAGAGACTGGGACAGACCCTCGGAGGCCCCACAGGAGCGGGTCGTGCCCACACCCTGGTCTTGCACTTGGGGGACCTCCGGAGCTGGGAGAGAATCAAACGCTGCTGTGGAAGTCACTCAGTTTGTTGTTACAGCACCTCCTACATCTCCTTAATTTATTTAAATTTAGGCTCTGCTTCCTCTCCTCTAAAATGTGGTGGTTACTCACTATGGTTCCCCCTAATATAGAACATGGTGTAGGAGATCCAGTTTTGATATCATAAGCATTTACCTTTGGGTAAATTTCAGGGTCCAGAGTGCATATGGGTCGCGGGGGCGCAGGGCAGACAGACCCTAAAGTGGGGCTTTTAATGACTGCAAATTAGGGGCAGATTACACAGAAATGTCTAGAATAAGAATGGTAACTTGGGAGTGGTCCTGGTGTTGCCGTGGCGATGGTAAACTGACACGGGATGGGTGGGCACGTCCCGTGGAGAGGTGCTCTTGCCTCTTCCCTATTTCAGCCAGACCTCAGTCCAGTCCAGAGTCCGGGTCCCCACCTCTGGGGTCGAGTCCGGCCTCCTGCCTCTCCAAGGCCTGGCATTGCCACCTTCCACGGGCTCCCGGGGGCATCCCCTGTCTCGACTGTGCATGAGAATGGATGGCTCTGAGTGAGGGAGCCCATGGCAGCTTCTCCTTTCTTGTTTTAACTGAGCCAGTTGCTGAATGATGTACCCAGGAGGCCCTGGTCTGAGAACACAGGGACGCACTAAGCTGGCTCCAAAGAACGGCACGGGGAGAAGCAGTATCGGTGGGAAGACCCCAGAGCCGGGGCCCCTGCAGCGTCTGGAAGATGACTAAGAGGGAGCGTTGGAGATGAAGGAGACCTAGTGGGGTTCCTGTGGAAGGCAGGCAGGGTGCAGGTGGGGTGCAGGCAGGGGGCAGGCAGGGTGCAGGCAGGGGGCAGGCGGGGTGTGGGTGGGGTGCAGGTGAGGTGCAGGCAGGGGGCAGGTGAGGTGCAGGCGGGGTGCAGGCAGGGGCAGTTGGGATACAGTCAGGGGGCAGGCGGGGGACAGGCGGAGTGCAGGCAGTGGGCAGGCAGGGGGCAGGCGGGGTGCAGGCAGGGGGCAGGCAGGGTGCAGGCAGGGGGCAGGTGGGGTGCAGGCATGGGGCAGGTGGGGTGCAGGCAGGGGGCAGGCGGGGTGCAGGCAGGGGGCAGGTGGGGTGCAGGCAGGGGGCAGGCGGGGTGCAGGCAGGGGGCAGGTGGGGTGCAGGCAGGGGGCAGGCGGGGTGCAGGCAGGGGGCAGGTGGGGTGCAGGCATGGGGCAGATGGGGTGCAGGCAGTAGGCAGGTGGGGTGCAGGCAGGGGGCAGGTGGGGTGCAGGCAGGGGGTGGTTAGGGTGCAGTCAGGGGCAGGCGGGGAGCAGTTGGGGTGCAGTCAGGGGGCAGGCGGGGTGCTGATATCACCGGGAATGGTGGAGGCAGAGGAGGCCCAGGAGACATCTCAGACATCGAGGGTGGAGTCCTTGCTAAACTGACTTTGCAGGGATTTTTGGCAAAACTGGATTTTACAAGGAAGCGCACGGATGGCCTAGGAGAAGGTCTAGGAGCCTGGCCACTGCTTACTCATGCAGAGACAGTCAGGGCCACGCCTCGATGAGTTCTCCAGCTGGGCTTGACATTGTGCTAAATTCCTAGCAGTGCCACGGCTGGTGATTAGTTACTTGATAAGGAAGAAAGTGATGCTACTAGCTCGGTTCCTGTTGCTTACAGTGGGTGATCTGGGCAGGTTCTTGGGCGCCTGAGGTGGGCAGTGGTGGGCGTGAGCCTGTGGGGTTGAGTGCAGGGACCCCCAGTGTACACAGAGGCACCACGCAGACAGCACGCCTGGGCATGGGTGTGAGGCAGAGATATTTACGCCGTGTGAGAGTCTAGAGTCAGAAACGCTGGTTGAAATAAAAGCCTTGCATCCCAGACCAGCACTCGGACAGGATGACCCTCAACAAGTGTCTTTAATGTTTATTACAGAAAAAGCAGGCGTGACCAAAAGTAGAGAGAAAAGTACAAAAAAATTCACGCATACTCATCACCCAGCGTCATAATTACCATCTTATAGCCGCCTCCTTCGACTCTACTCCTACCTAATTCTGCTCCAAAGCCTCCTGTGTTATTTTAATAAAATCTCACACAGTATTGTTTCATCCATCAACGTTATGGTACGCATCTCTAAAAGTAAAACACTCATTCACACACACACACAGAGAACCTCGGAGATGTAGTACCTACACTACCACCAACAATATGATCACTTAAAGACACTGTTTAAGATTCTGTTGCAGTTCTTTTTGTCCTTAGAATGTATCCCAGTAGGGATGCCACAGTTAAATTACTGACTGTTAAAGTCACTGGAAAAGGCCTTCTCTCTGTGTGTGGTGGTGACTAACTCAATACATACACATGCTCATCTGTTTCATTTTGCTTTTGATTTTTAGGACTTTTAAAACTTAATCATGTTTGATAATTATGCACAATCTTTACATAGTTCCAAGGTCAAATAATGGATTTGGTTTTTGATTTAAGGAGGCGCGGCTGGGCTCGCAGGCTGTGTCCCTGCTGGCCTGAGAATGAGTGGGGCCTCCGGAAACCTCGCCCCTTCCCAGCACTGTCTACACAGCAGGGTGTTCTGAGAGAAGTCCAGCCTCTGC
Organism: Homo sapiens; assembly: GCF_000001405.40. Taxonomy (NCBI): domain Eukaryota; kingdom Metazoa; phylum Chordata; class Mammalia; order Primates; family Hominidae; genus Homo; species Homo sapiens. Next base: position 112,211,590 of record NC_000013.11, read on the forward strand.
TTTCGACCTCTCTACCCTATTTCCACCACCCCCTGTAAGTAATCACCTTGAAATTCTACGTTATGGTTTAATTCTTTCACTGGGTTTTTAGTATAAAACAAATATATCTGCATTGGTCTGCGTAGCTGCCTCCCCTCTCGTGTAAATGGCAGCAGATTGGGCATCCTCCGCTGTGTCCAATGTGTGAATAAATACAGCATCTTCACACATCCCCTCCTGATGGATATGAGGGTGGTTTACAGGTGTGGGTTCTTTGTTTTGGCTTTTTGTTCTGCTTTTAGTGTTTTGCTGTTACAGATAGTGTGACAAATAAGCCATGCCTATGGCACTTTTATTTTTGCCAGTCTATCTTCGAAACAGATTCTTAGAAACAGGGCATGGGATTTTCCAAGAACCTGCCTCATTCACTCCACAGTGGTTGTGCCATTTCGCCATAAGCAATGTGTGAGCAAACAGAATATGTTTCATGTGTTTAAATTTGTATCTGATAGATGAAAAATGAGATCTTGGTATGGTTTCATCAAATATTTGTTAAATAAATGTTCATTAAACGTTTCCAAAGAATGGAACAGGGTCTCCAGGCTGCTGAGCAATGGTCTAGTCTAGAGGCCAGAAGTCAAATTGAACTTGCACAAAAAAGGGAAGTTTAATATACACGATGGCTACTTGAATCAATGAATGAGTGAATGCTTCAGTGACTGAATGGGTGTTGCAACAAAAATCAGTGAGGGCCACGGTGTGTTGGCTGCAGATCCAATGAGCCGGCATTCACTCTCAGAGTCTGGGAGGGCCCGGGGAATGCCATCAGCACTATGGCCCAGGCAGACCACCTGTGCACACCACTGCGCTCCAGCCCTCTTCTTCTTTAAGCTCTATTTTATTTTTAATTGACACATAATCATTGTACTTATTTATGGGGTACAGTGTGATGCTTCAATCCATGCAAACGTTGTGTAATGATCAGTCAGGATAATTAGCTTATGCATCATCTCAAACATTTATTATATCTTTGTGGCGTGAATATCCAAAATCCTCTCTTCTAGTTATTTTGAAACGTACAACACAATATTATTAACTATAGTCACCCTACCATGCAACAGATGAATGAACAAAAAACATGTGGTCTGTATACCCAGTGGAATACTATTCAGCCATAAAAAAGGATGAAATCCTATTTTTTTGCAACATAGATATAACTGGTGGACATTGAGTTAAGTGACACAATCCCCCTTTTTAATCATGATTTTCAGTTGCATTTCTATAATGGTTAACGGACAGCTAATTCGTGCCAGTCACTGGGGATCTACCTGCTCTGACTTTTGAATTAATAGGAAGTTTTCTGAAAATCATTCTTTTTATATTGAGCTGATTAGAGGAGTCTTGGTTTAAAAAACTTAAGGGAATGGTGTGAGGCTTTGACTATATTTGCCCCCCTATTTGCTTTAGGGAAAGGAACCTGGATTAGGTGGGTCCTTGGGAAATTTTCATACCTGAGATTCCAATTTGACAGGTGCCGGTGATTAGGCAGCGGTTTCCTTGTTAGAAGCAACTTTGAAGGACGGACACTGGATCCTGAAACGTTTTCCCCTGTGGCTGCACGACTCACCTCCCACAGCACCTGCAGCCATGTCCACCTGGCACCTGCTCCATTCCAGGGTGGGAGCAGGGCAGCAGGAGGTCAAGTCTGAGAATCACTTTACCCAGCAACACATCTTTAGCCAGGGGAGAAATGCAGAGAAAACAGCCGGTCAGGTCCATGACCATTCGCAGGTGAATGTCTGTAGCTTTGAGTGCTCCCTGGCACGGAGGCACCCTCAACACCAGCCAGCGACCTCTTTCACAGCACCACACTCATGTGGATTCAGGGGAAACAGAAGGTGCTGTTATTTTGCTGCTTGAGAAGGGCTGACGTTTTCCTTCCAATCATTAGCCCTTCCTGGATAGCACAAGGGAAATGTGCCCACACATCCCTCAACAGCAGTGTGCGATGTGTGTAAATATAATAGCATTAACTGGAATTTGATCTCAAATGAATGACGCCATCAAGGTTGACATAAGGCGCTCCTGCCTCATGTCAGTCACTGCCCCCTGCAGGTGTGGGGCACCTGCCAACAATGACCTCAGTCCTGCCGGGCCCTGCGGCTGCCACCACCCACTGTGTCTGATGGGAATGTCCTAGACGGAGCCTCCCTCATGGCACATCATCCATTGCCTCGCCCCACATGTGCCACAGACTGCATTCGGCCCCAAAGACCACAGAGCAGGACGAAAGACCGCCGCTCCTGCCTTCCTTGCCTGGCCACAGCCAGCCAGGGGCTTCAGGGCCACTGCGATGGCGGGGCTGGGTTCCATCAGGCTCTCCTCGCAGGCCCTGCCATTGCTTTCTCCATGCCTCCTTTCCCCGTGCAGACGAGGGCGAGGTGGGGTCCAGGCTCATGCCCTGCGTGCGCCCACACTGTCACATTCTGGATGCAACCTCCGCACTTCCGCGGGGTATTTCTGAGCTCCCATGAAAAGATGGGCACAGGTGTGCCTTCCTTAGCTCCACAGGGAGATGGGCCCATGGGCTCACGGACTCAGTGGCAGAGCTGGGACTTAGCCCTGGTGGGCTGACTCAGGCACCTGTGGTCTGAGCTCCTTCCCCAAATACACACCTGATCCAAACATGTAGACATATAACCCCAGTCCTCACCTTCACCAGCACTCCGTTTAAACCCCTCTGTGCAGAAGATTCTCCAATGTCCACAGAGTTTAACTTAATTGCATTGTTCCTGAGTCAGCTGCACAAATAAAGTAAAAGATAAAATCAAGTTCTGCAGAGCTGAGGCCTGTAGGAGGCCATCAGAGAGCCCAGAAACAGGACCAAGGGCACTGTGCACAGAGCTCAAAGGAACTGTTTCACTCAATTACCAATGGGGGTTTCAGATACCTGAGATACACACTTACCTCTCCATTACATACAGCTGTCTTTTGGCCTGCCCAGTGTTCCAGCAGATCCTGAAGGAGAGGAAGGAAGGGAAAGGCGAAGGCTGGAGGGGAGGAGGGGGATGGTGAGGGCTGGAGGGGAGGAGGGGGATGGTGAGGGCTGGAGGAGGGAGAGAGATGGTGAGGGCTGGAGGAGGGAGAGAGATGGTGAGAGCTGGAGGGGAGGAGGGAGATGGTGAGGGCTGGAAGGGAGGAGGGAGATGGGGAGACCTGGAGGGGAGGAGGGAGATGGTGAGAACTGGGGGCGGGGAGAGAGATGGTGAGGGCTGGAGGGGAGGAGGGACATGGGAAGAGATGAAGAGAGGAGGGAGATGGGGAGGCCTGGAGGGGAGGAGGGAGATGGGGAGGGCTGGAGGAGAGGTGGGTTATGGTGAGGGCTGGAGGGGCGAAGGGAGATGGTCAGGGCTGGAGAGGAGGGAGATGGAGAGGGCTGAAGGGGGGAGGGAGGGAGATGGTCAGGGCTGGAGAGGAGGGAGATGGAGAGGGCTGAAGGGGGGAGGGAGGGAGATGGTCAGGGCTGGAGAGGAGGGAGATGGAGAGGGCTGAAGGGGGGAGGGAGGGAGATGGTCAGGGCTGGAGAGGAGGGAGATGGAGAGGGCTGAAGGGGGGAGGGAGGGAGATGGTCAGGGCTGGAGAGGAGGGAGATGGAGAGGGCTGAAGGGGGGAGGGAGGGAGATGGTCAGGGCTGGAGAGGAGGGAAGTGGGGGGGACTGGAGGAGGGAGGGAGATGGGGAGGGCTGGAGGGGAGAAGGGAGATGGTGAGGGCTGGAGTGGGGAGGGAGATGGGGAGGGCTGGAAGGGAGGAGGGAGGGAGATGGTCAGGGTTGGAGAGGAGGAAAATGGAGAGAGCTGAAGGGGGGCAGGGAGGGAGATGGTGAGGGCTGGAGTGGGGAGGGAGATGGAGAGGGCTGAGCAGGAAGCACTGAGCTGTGCTCCTCTCCTGCCTTCTCTGTACCTTGCTGGGTGTCTGACTGTGGAGTCTCAAGGCACCCTAGCTCTTCTCTGGTGGGGCTGATTTTTCCATCCCCGTTTTGTGAATAGGGAAACACCAGTGACCAGTGTCAGGTGGGCCTTGTTCCTTTCAGGAGCGGGAGAAAAAGAGCTCCTTACCCATGTGTCATTTCTCCTATTGCAATGTTCAAAGAAAAAAAGGCATGTTCTCATCTCCACCGCCACCAGAACCCATTAACAGGTCCGTTCTGGTTGATTTCTGGAGTCTGGCTTCCAATGCCATTGTTTTTCACTCTTATTTCAAGTACATGCAGTTTTTGAGAGGCGGGGCTGATGAAGTCAACATTCAAATCTGTACAAATCTCCCAGTTTCCAGGTTATCTGCAGAGAAAAACCGAGTGGCACGCCAGCGGGATCCTTGGAATGGCAGCGGATCCCCTGCACGGGTACATCCACTGCTTGCTGTCAGGAGCCGAGGTCCGGGTGCTCCAGGGCCTGCAGGCCCTTCGGAGCAGGAATCTGACTCCCTCCTGGGGTCTCAAGGACGCCTTGGCCGGGCGATGGGCCTCCCCCACGCATTGTGTCCAGGAGGTTCTGTTCAGAGCGTGTGCTTCGAAGCTCACGCTGAGGCTAAGGTGATGAATCCGCTTATTTCTAGGGCCCTGCTGGGGGAGAACGAGGCCCCTTCCCGGGTGTCAGGGAATGCAAGCCTTCACAGCTGACACCACAGTGCCTTCGAGATGGAATCAGCGTCCCAGTGTGGGTGCCCAGGGGATTGTGGGCCGGGGGATGAGGGAGTGGAGGACCCCAGGACCTGGAGGAACCGTTCTCAGCTGGGTCCTGAAGTCTCTGCAGAGTTGGTCAGGTGGAGGACAGGATTCCAGGTGGAAGAGGATGGTACAAGCCGAGGCAACGGGCTGAGAAAACACATGGCGTGAAAGGAGCAGGAGACATTTCTGGAAAGAGAAAATGCAAGCAGGGAAGTTCCTGCTGAACCCACGGCCTCGCTGGCCGCACTGAGAGCGTCTGGTCCACAGTGGCAGGAGAGACAAACGATTGTAGGAGAAAAATCTGGGTTTTTTTAATTGTGTTATTTTTTTACATTAAAATTACTGGGAGAGAAAAGTAATGGATATCCTTTAAAATATTGGGAAAAATACAGAAAAGTACATAAAGAAAGTTACTCATGCTTATGTCACTTTTGAGCTCCCTCAAGTCCCCAGGCATTAGACGGGGAAGAGGAGGGGCGAGGCCACAGAGCAGGGAGAGCATTGAAAATACCCACAATGAGGGTGCACGACCAACCATTGACCTATGGGCCCTTGTCAGAGCTTCGCCTCCTGAAGCTAATTGTTCATCCAAGTGATTCTGTCAAAATTATATGCTGTTAGCAAATAAAAATGATTCATAAACATGTATGAGCACCCCAAATCCTGCACTTTCTACTAAGAAACAAGTCCGGCCAATTCTCTCTCTACTTCTGACATGGTGAGAGGTGTCAGAAAGTGACGGGGTGAGTTTGACATTAGAAATGGAGGGCAAATAGGAGAAGAACTGACAAACTGGAGGTGCCCCTTCTTTCTCTGGTCATTGGCCCGTGCACGGAGCTTAGCCCTGAGAAAAGACTGATCCCCAGTGATTTTCCTTTCGTGTCTTCACTAACAACACGGAGACTATTCATGAGATTAGACTGCTGTCAGAGCAAACTGGCATGTTCAGTATCTGCGAATTCTCAGAGAATAGATACTAAGTGTAATGCATCATTTTCATTTCTCTGGAAAATAAAGATATTAGCAAAGAATGACCTGGTGCATGCAGCTGCAGTTTCTCCACTCCAGCAAGTGTGAGTGAGTGTGCTGCTCCCGACCTGCTCCAAGAGGGAAAGCTGAGCTGGAGACCCCGGCAGGTCATAGAGGGTTTCCTATCAGGGTGTCTTGCACACGTGTGTTTGCAGGTGTGCACACATGTGTACACACATGTGCTGATATGCGTGCAAGTGCGTGTTTGCATGTGTGCACATGTGGGTGCATGTGTGTGTTGGTATTCATGCACTTGTTTGTGTCTGAATGTGTGCATGTGTGTGCATGTGTGTTGATATGCATGCACATGTGTGTTTGTGTGTGTTTGCATGTGTGCACGTGTGGGTGCATGTGTGTTGGTATGCATGTGTTTGTGTCTGCACGTGTGCAAGTGTGTGTGCATGTGTGTGTTGCTATGCATGCATATATGTGTTTGTGTGTTTGCATGTGTGCACGTGTGGTGCAGGTGTGTTGCTATGCATGCACGTGCATGTTAGTGTGTGTTTGCACATATGCATGGGTATCTGGGGCTCCCTGACAATATGAGGAAAATTGATGAATTTTTCTGGAAAATACTAATTACCACGGTAACCACCGTGGTCCGCACACTGTGGAAAGCTGAGATGCCAGGACTTTTTTGTGACTGTCATAAATCTTGTCAGTCAGCGCTTCATCTGATTAGGGTGACATTCACACAGCCTCCACGAAGTGGTTAAAAATTGCTATTTCCAGTCACTTAGTTGACTATTTCTCAATAGTCAACGCCACAAGTCAAATTCACGTCTCCACGTTTGACCAAAACATGTAGAATTTGAACTTTGAGAATAAAAAATGAAATCATATGCAAAATATATATTTCAGGGGTGGGATAGAGCCATTTTAGGCATTGAAAACTGCCTGAATCTATAGAACAGCATATAAAACAACTTACTAAATAGAACATAAATAACAAAGAACAATAACCTATCATTTTGTAAAATCGCAGATCTTCTTCACCAGTTTCCTTCTCTTGGCAGCAGAACAACACAAAGTTCAGAGGCCCTCCTCTGCCAGTGGTGTGGGCAAACCCCTCAACCCATTCAGGGCAACCCCATAGCAGCACTGTCTTCTCCCACCAAAAGTGGATTCCTTTTCACCCTGCTGGGTCCCTGTTTCTCCGTTTAAAATTTACAGAACCCTCTGTTAATTGAACTAGTTGCCAAAGAGAAGCAAAGTGCTCGTTCTGGAGCAAACGCCTCATGGGACATGGATGTTGCCAGCCAGGCCCTGGCACCTCCATCATCTTCACAGACAGCGGAGCAGGAGAAAGTCCTTTCCCGAGAGGCACCAAGTTCACTTCATGTTCCCAAGGACGACTGCTCAGAGAGTGGCCACATGGAGCCAGAATAAGAAAATGTGGAAAGTCTTTTGTATGACTTGAAAGAGAAACTGTCACCCAAACTGGAAAAGTTAAAAATAAGAAGGATAAAGGATGATAGAAAGAAAAAAGAGAGAGGAGAGGAGAGGAAGGAAGGAAGGGAGGGAGGGAGAGAGGGAAAGAGAAGAAAGAAAGAAAGAGAGAGAGAGAGAAAGAAAAAGAAAGAAAGAAAGAAAGAAAGAAAGAAAGAAAGAAAGAAAGAAAGAAAGACAAAAAGAAAGAATTAGCTGCAACTTCTCTGCATCCTACTAAAGCGTGATTCAAGTAGGATCCAGACCCGACAGCCAATTACTTCTTTCATCTCTGAATATCTCTAAAACAATAAAAGGCACTGTGTTTGAGTAGCTAGTCAAATCCAGTCCCGAGGTCAGCGCTGTTCTAATTAAAGTGACCTCACCTGAGACAGGAACAGTGTCCGTCTTAAACAAAGCACAGCTGAAAGCAATCCCCAGGACAACTAAAAACATCATGAATTTGGTCTCTAGGTAAGGAAAAGAAAACTTGCTTAGAAGCAAGTCTTTCCCATCTCCTTTCGCCTCTCTTGTGTTTAGTGAGATTTTTGTTGAAAGTCACAAGAAATCCTATTGTCTTCCTCTTTCCTCTCTTTTCCCGCTACAGTTCCAGGAGGCAAGTTTCACCTGACTCAGAATCCATCCCTTTTATAATGGCATTAAAAGATGACTTCAGGGTGTATCATTCCTTGATGGATGGTTTTTTTGTTTTTGTTACGACGAAATATTGCTGAGTTTCCCCTAAATTTGACCGGGATTTGCAACTGGGAAACATATAACTACCAGCCATCGTTATTAGCATTCGTAATTATCACCAGTAATTGTTACCACAGTTTTCTAACAATTACCGCTTTGAGCAATAGAATCCGAGGACAGTGCCATTCATTTAGCAAAGCAGTGTGGAGTTTCCATTTAACCAGACTGTCCAAGCATGAGCAGAAATGAAAACCAGAAATGCTAAATCTATATTTAAATGCAGACAAAAATCCTGTGACAAAGTCGTTCTTTCCCAGCTCAAATCAAAATTTTAAACAGTTTACCTCCTTTATGTCTTCCCAAGAGTTTTATGCAACAAACTTTCAGTGTCATGACTAATAGCGGCTCTTGCCAAGGCTGACTCTTAAAGCCTCTCCTCCGCCTTGTGATCTGCAGCGCACGTCTTATTATGGGGTGCATTATGCAGACGCCAGCCCTGTGATGGGACAGGCAACCCCGCTGTGAGAATGCCTATCAGAGCTTCTTTTAAGGCCCTTTCTCAATTGTCAGCAAAGTATTTTTTAAGGTTAAAAGGTGTAAAATTATTCTGAAATGCTTTTCTGACCTGTCGCCTATCACTGCAAAGAGCTATAGTTCATTTTTTTTTCTAAAATTGTATTTTTTGAAATGCAGTAATATTATAAGAATAAGCTTCATATGAGGAAAATAGTCTCCTGAAATGTTCGTGGTATTTTTTTTTGCATGCCTTCTTCTCCAATGACTGCAATACTAATCATTGTTTTATGCTTAGAATTATAATTTTGATGCAATTTTTCTTATACCAAGCCACCATTTCTGTGGTGAAATTAATATAAATGACCATTACTTTTTGCATCTCTTTCTTTTTAAAAAACAATTCCTGTTACAGTGGTTGCTTCATATTCCATAATGTCAAAGTCAAATTCACCACTGTCATGAGATGTAATCTCATTATTGAGAGGCGTACAGGCCGACGAGCTGTCATTCTCAACGCCGCACCTGCACGTTGATTGAAACCACCCTGGAAGTCAGCGGGAAAACCAGCAGACGGTTTGGCCTTCCTGCCCTCATCTGTTTCGCAGCTCCCGAGACTTGCTTGGCCAGAGAAGTTGCAAGCGTGGCAGATAACGTAGGGTCAGCAATCCCATCATTGTAGATGCCTGGCCTGTGAGGCCCCCAGCTGCTGTTTTCTATAGGGTGGAATTCTGTTATTTTGCACTGTTTATGCTCCAATAAAATGTCTGGTAGGTTTTGGAATCTATTTTTGGGTCCCAGGTATAAGGAAAATCAGTGGAGAAGCTCGCCCCAGGGAGGACAGCAGGCCTGCCTCACTCAGCTTGCAGCAGGCATGAAGACGGCACCAGGGCCAATGTGAGGGGAGCTAACGTGGAAGAGAACTTGCTGTATTTCCGTCTGCCCCCTTCATGCACATCAAACAACCTGCGTCAGAATTGGGCTTCCTTTTGTTGCTTTTTGCTTTTGCACTGCTCCTGCAAAACGAATCTTCCTTCCTTGTGCAGCGTTCAGGGACTAGGTAGAAGATGCTCTCTGAACTTGTGACATGTGCCTCGCTAGAGCACGCCGTCTGATGACGCTCTGTGGATGTTCCTGTCTTGGTTCAGGGACTAGGTAGAAGACGCTCTCTGAACTTGTGACGTGTGCCTCGCTAGAAAACGCCGTCTGATGACGCTCCGTGGATGTTCCTGTCTTTCTCATTGATGGAGCGGTTCCCTTTAGCTGCATTTGCAGTCATGAGGGATCATGACCTTATGCTTGTTCACTAGTTAGCAGTAGAAAACCACCTGGCATTTTACAGAAAAGCAACAGGTAAATTTACCTTTAGAGCCAATGCTCTTTGAAATCCAAGGCATTTTATGAGCCCTAAATTCTCTGACAAGAGACAGAGGGACAGGGTACAGCACACTTTACCCGACAACCTGTGTTCTTTCCTCTCTCCTTTGTCCTCCATCTTCTAAAATGAGCATGGGAGAGGAAGATAACCCTTTCCCTACATTCCGTTCTCCAACTTCTGTGTCATTCTTCTTACTGAGAGGTGACAGCGTGCTGGCAGTCCTCAGAGCCCTCGCTTGCTCTCGGCACCTCCCCTGCCTGGGCTCCCACTTTGTGGCATTTGAGGAGCCCTTCAGCCCCCCACGGCACTGTGGGAGCCCCTTTCTGGGCTGGCCAAGGCAGGAGCCCACTCCCTCAGCTTGCAGGGAGGTGTGGAGGGAGAGGCGCGAGCGGGAACCAGGGCTGCGTGCGGCGCTTGCGGGCCAGCTGGAGTTCCGGGTGGGCGTGGGCTTGGCGGGCCCCGCACTCGGAGCAGCCAGTCAGCCCTGCTGGCCCCGGGCAATGAGGGACTTAGCACCCGGGCCAGTGGCTGCGGAGGGTGTACTGGGTCCCCCAGCAGTGCCAGCCCACCGGCGCTGCGCTCGATTTCTCGTCAGGCCTTAGCTGCCTTCCCGCGGGGCAGGGCTCGGGACCTGCAGCCCGCCATGCCTGAGCCTCCCACCCACTCCATGGGCTCCTGTGCAGCCCGAGCCTCCCCGACGAGCACTACCCCCTGCTCCACGGCACCCAGTCCCAACGACCACCCAAGGGCTGAGGAATGCGAGCGCACGGCGCAGGACTGGCAGGCAGCTCCACCTGCAGCCTCGGTGTGGGATCCACTAGGTGAAGCCAGCTGGGCTCCTGAGTCTGGTGGGGACGTGGAGAGTCTTTATATGTAGCTCAGGGATTGTAAATACACCAATCAGCACCCTGTGTTTAGCTCAAGGTTTGTGAGTGCACCAATCGACACTCTGTATCTAGCTGCTCTGGTGGGGCCTTGGAGAACCTGTGTGTCCAAACTCTGTATCTAACTAATCTGATGGGGACGTGGAGAACCTTTGTGTCTAGCTCAGGGATTGTAAACGCACCAATCAGCACCCTGACAAAACAGGCCACTGGGCTCTACGAATCAGTAGGATGTGGGTGGGGCCAGATAAGAGAATAAAAAGCAGGCTGCCCGAGCCAGCATTGGCAACCCGCTCGGGTCCTCTTCCACTTTGTGGAAGCGTTGTTCTTTCGCTCTTTGCAATAAATCTTGCTACTGCTCACTCTTTGGGTCCACGCTGCTTTTATGAGCTGTAAGACTCACCGCGAAGATCTGCAGCTTCACTCCTGAGCCCAGCGAGACCAAGAGCCCACCGGGAGCAACGAACAACTCCAGACACGCTGCCTTAAGAGCTGTAACACTCACCGCGAAGGTCTGCAGCTTCACTCCTGAGCCAGTGAGACCATGAACCCACCAGAAGGAAGAAACTCCGAACACATCTGAACATCAGAAGGGACAGACTCCAGACGCGCCACCCTAAGAGCTGTAACACTCACCACAAGGGTCCGCGGCTTCATTCTTGAAGTCAGTGAGACCAAGAACCCACCAATTCTGGACACATTACCAGTATGGGACTGCATGTGTGAACCAAATAAAAGACTCCACATCAAAGGAAGTCGTGGGAAACACTGCCAGGATCAGGGCTGAGACAAGAGGAGACTCTGGGGAGTGGGGCACAGTAGCCACACCGCCCAGAGGACGTGGTGGGCTTGGTGTCACCGAAGCTGGGGCGGATTTGCAGGAAGCTAAGGAAGCTTGAGCCCACGCGTCCATCGGGCCGAGGCCGTGTGCACACAGCCCCATGGGATTCCACAAGGCACAAAAGTGTGGCAGCCGTAATGGATAGGGTCTGTTTCTTCCCACCCAGTCCCCCACCCCCATGCCACTTCCCCGTGCCAGGTGAGGACCACAGGGCTGCTGGCACATCTGGGGCCCAGCCATGGTGACATGGCTTCGAAGATTCACACCACTTAGATTGGCAGGATATTCTGTGAGGGCCACGATAAATTCCGAGATGCATTGATGGCAGATTGGTGATGAGAGTCGGCAACTGAAGGAATAATTGGGATTCCTCACAGAATGGGAACATTTTAAATTTCCTGAAAACTTACAGCTCTTTACAGGAAAGAAACTCGACAGAGGTTCTCCCCAAATTTGCTAACAATCTTTAAAAAATTTAGGAGATGTTCCAAGAGCTGGTTGTAAAACTAAAAGAAAGTTTTCTAAAGGATCAATCATTAAACACAAATTCTGATCCACCAGAAGGAGTAGGCTAATTTGTATTTTTCTCCCTGTAGGAAATATCAGGGTCTTCAGCCAAACAGTGGGGAAAGGGTGTTAGAGCGGGTCAGACACTTCATACCATCCCCCTGATTTCATGGTGTCTTAGGTATTTATCAGTGTTTCAAAATTTATAAATTGCTATGATGTCTTTTCTCGCTCTAAACAAATGCCATTTTCATACCCACTTGGGTCTCACTTTGCTTTCTTTTTCCTAAAGAGAACTCTGGAGTCATGGAAACTTCAGCTCTCAGTCTGGCTCTGCCCACCTCATGCTAATCAGTTTTACACCCAAAGATCACTTTTTTTTTTTTTTTTTTTTTTTTTTTTTGGGATGGAGTCTCGCTCCGTCACCCAGGCTAGAGTACAGTGGTGTGAACTCTGCTCACTGCAACCTCTGCCTTCCAGGTTCAAGCATTTCTCATGTCTCAGCCTCCCGAGTAGCTGCAATTACAGGCTCCCACCACTACGCCGGGCTAATTTTTATACTTTTAGTAGAGATGGGGTTTCACTATGGTGGCCAGGCTGGTCTCGAACTCCTGACCTCAGGTTATCCACCCACCTTGGCCTCCCAAAGTGCTGGGAATACAGGCGTGAGCCACCATGCTGGGTCTCCAAAGAGCACTTCTAATATGACTTGAAACCCTCACTCTTCCTTCCGTGGGTAAAAATAAAGGCGATTTTGTTCTTCTCTGTGTTAACTTGGAGTCTCACTCTGTTTAATGGGTGTCCGACACCACCAACGCTCTGGCCATTGTTCTGAAGGAAAATAAATAAAACTTCTCTATGACTTGTTAAAAACAAAGATCAAATTTTGCCAATGTAAAAAAATGTTACTCAGTGTTTTTTTTAAACATTTAGCGTGCTATGTAATTCTGTTTTTTTCACTTCTCTAATTCAAACACTTTGTGTCTGTTGACAGGTCACTGCTCATTAGCACCCAACTTGCCACTTTCATGGAACATTGCTGGAGGGGGTGTATTTGTGTATATGTGTGTGTGTGTGTGTGCATGTTTATGCATGTACATATATGTGTGCATATGCGTATATGTGTGTGTATGTGTGTGTGCTTCTGGGATATGCGTATATGTGTGTGTATGTGTGTGTGCTTCTGGGAGACCGAGTCTGTGTGCCAAGGCTAGCATCTTCTTAAGATTCCACTGTTATGCGTCTTATGGGTGTGTTTTTCTGTGTATGTATGTATGCTTATATGTGTTTATATGCATGTGTATATGCATGTATGTGTTGTGTGTGTTCTTTATGTGTCTGTATGTGTGTTGCGTATACATGTGTTTGTGTGTGTGTGTGTATGGTTTTGTCTTATACTCATAACGCACATTTATTTATTTATTTATTTATTTTTATTTTTTATTTTATACTATACAGGGTCTCACTCTGTCACCCAGGCTGGAGTGCAGTGGCAAGATCACAGCTCACTATAGCCTCAACTTACCAAGGTCAAGTGATTCTCCCATCTCCGCCTTTCAAGCAGTTGGGACTAAAGGCACTCGCCACCACACTTGGCTTTTTTTTTTTGTTTGTTTGTTTGCATTTGTGTAGTAGTACTGGGGTTTCGCCATGTTGCCCGGCTGGTATTGAACTCCTGGACTCAAGAGATCTGCCTGCCTCTGCCTCCCAAAGCGCTGGGATTACAGGCATGTACCACCACACCCTGCCCAAGCCCATTCATTTATAAGCCCTGGCTGCGACATGTTCTCTTAACACAAAGTTGCTGCTTCCAATTCTGATGTATAACGAAGGAGTCATAAAAAGACACTCGACTCGGCACACAAGGACAAGCCCTCCCAGTCACCAGACCACACGACCTGGAAGACTTCACTTCCCTCCAGGGTCCTCATTTACAGTGTGGTGACCTCATTACCCACCTCCCAGGATAGTTCATCATTAATAAATGAGCCGTCGCTAGAATGCCAAGTGCTCCCCACCTGCAGGGGCGCTCCTGTCACCAAGGCCTGAGCTCTGGAGCATTTGTACATTTCATGTGTGGCTGCATATGGCAGAAGAATGTGAGAATTAGCACACAATCTTCCAAACCAGACCTAAATATGTTTGCGTGTGGTGTCACACAGTTATGTCTTTTAAGGTCTCAATTTCCTTCTTTGAGAAATGACGAAAATCACAGAGTCTGCCCCTCATGGTTGTTGTGAGGATTTAACATGATCTTGGACACAAAGTGCTCAGCACAGCACCTGGCACACGGCGACTGCTCAAAGGTGCTGACTGGTGTCCTCTGGTCATAAGTCACATGAGCATTTGGAAACACTGTGTTCCATTCATTGATCTACCACCCTGGAAAAAGATTTAAAAATCAATCAACAAACTGTTCCTGAAAACTTACCATGGCTTGGCCCTGTACTGGAAGCCAATAAGACGCACGAGGCGAGGCCCTTGGGCAGTGGCTCAGGCTGTGCAGCACCCAGGCGAACTCCAACCGATGTGGCCCCAGGGACTCATGGGGTTAGATTGCAAATGGCAGATCCAAAATCATTTTGTATGTTTTTGGAGGAAACATTTGTCCCTGAGATCATCACTAAAGTGGAATTTCATCAACGGTAATTGCTGGGTACGTCCTTGATAGACCAGCAATGCTCATGCGTGGGTAGCCATTGTCCTGTGTATACAGCATGTGCAGGACTCTTACTTGCTCCCTCCTACTCAGTCTTCATTGAGAGGGAAGAAAGCGCCCTTGGAGAAGGCCAGATTTGCAGCCAGATGCGTGTGAGGCATGGCTGGGGACCCAGGCATGGCCGTGTTGGGATGGCCTGGAGGGAAGTGCCCAGGAGAATGACAAGAGTCACTTCATCACTGTCACAGCCAGGAAGTCTCCCTGACCCCACGGCATGCAGCATCCCACTATCATGGTGATACATCTCTGCTGGTTACATATGTACCTCCCCCACAGTCTTTGATCCTGAATGCACAGCTCTCCCCTAATCACTAGCCAAGAGGACTCTGCCTGCCTGGTGCTTGAACAATGTAAGCAATTTTCCAGACACACTGCCCTCTGAAATAATTGAATGTCACATGAAAAGGCCAGGATGTGTTGATGAGGGCCCAAGTCAACCCCACCATGGCCAGCAGAATAACGCATGGTTATCTTGGTGACATCTACCCTGACGTGTCAGTCATCTGCACCCATAAGCCAGCACTGGGCGGCTGAAATACAGACCATGGATGATCCTGTCTGGCCGTTCCCACTACAAACAAGGGACACACGCCCTTTGCGTAGTATCATCAGAGTCCTTTGCTAAAGCCATAATTGCCTTAAATAGGAACTGGCAGAAGTGAGGACACATGAAATATGATTTGAGAAGGTGCCTGGGTTGGGGCCTTACTTGGGGAGAAGAAGTTGAGTTCTAGATGCTTTAGTGACTTCTGAGTCTGTGTCAGTGTCAGCGCATTGTCCTTCTCCACTCACGGAAGCTCACAGGCCCTAAACTAAGCTCAGGTGCTGCTGTCCATCCAAACCCTCCTCACTCCTCTCCTCCTCCTGCCCCTTTGGTCTGACCCAGATGCGCTCACAGCATCTTGCCTCACCCTATCCCTATGGATCCTAGGACTGTGAGTGAAACGCCAGTGGCATCTGAAAGCATTTAACATAGAAGCTAGAGCTGCACAGCCGGCCTCGATTCACACAGCACAGGCTGCTCCGTGGGGTCACACAGGGCCCTCGTGATAAGAATACAACCAACAACGGCATGGTCACCACACTGTATCAGGAGGGAATGACTCAACGGTGACTTCCGAGGGTTTGCGGAGGGAGCTTAAACCATTTCCCAGGAAGGGGGTCGATCGTGATCCCAATGACACAATCCCGAACTCCATAATCCCGAATGTTGACATCCCGGAAGATCAAAATCTCAACAAGGTACTTCTGGAAAAAATCATTTTAAATTATTTAAGACAATACTTATTACATTTTAAAAGGGGATTTATAAAACATGACAGAACACTTGATGCAATGAAACGGCCCCTAAGAACATGCATATTTTTGCGAGCACAAACGCTCAGGTATCTAAGGACTGTTGCCTGAGTACAACAGCTATGAGCAGACGAACCGGATTCATGAAAAAATAGGTGTAAAAGGGAAATGTGTAAACAACGTCACTGTCATTGGTCACTATGTGCACCCAGCTTTATCCTCCAGTCACCTGAAATACTGTGGCCAAGAGCCTCAGCCTTTGACAAGACCCATAAAAAACGAGATGGGTCATCTCCACACATGCGGTCACCCAAGGAGCTGAGATCTCGAGAAACTTTATCCTTCACAAACACAGATGCACAAAAAGGACATCTCTTCATTTACGGAGGAAGTTTCAGTGTTTCTGTGTACACACACACACACAGACACACACACACAGACACACAATGCTTACACACAAATTCAAGGTTATGATCACGCACTTTCGTGGAGTCAAATTTGCAAAAGATGCATAAAACAAAACTTTCTAAAAGTCTCCACACAATTTACACCTCCGGTATTGAAGTGATGTGAAGGTGAAATACACAGCATGGCAAATTGTAAGAAATAATGCTGACAATTTAAAATGGTGGGAGAAACTAAAAAGAAAATTCAACCTATGGAAAATCATATCACAGGGATGGACTATTGGCGATTGCACACAGGTCGGAGTCCGTAAGAGCTGGCCGGCTTTCACGATCATTAACTACGTTTTGAATTCTGCGTGGTGATGAATTGCTGCTTTTTTTTCTTTCAGGACATGGTTCTCCTCGGAGGATACGTTCACATTCATTTCCATGTGGCTCTGCTCTTCTGGAATTCTTCTGTGATTCAACACACAGCTGCATGAGCCCTCTTCAACCTTCACATCTTCTGTGCCATGCGTCCACATTGTTTTAGGTATGAGGAAATCCATCTGGATGCTTTCATACGCAGACCGTGGATTGGTGGGAACCGCGCTGGCGACAGAACGGCAAAACCGTTGTGTAGGTGTCTTCTTTTTTTTGTTTTCTTTTTTTTTTTCTTTTGAGACGCAGTCTTGCTCTGTCGCCCAGGCTGGAGTGCAGTGGCACAATCTCGGCTCACTGCAAGCTCCGCCTCCCGGGTTCATGCCATTCTCCTGCCTCAGTCTCCCGAGTAGCTGGGACTACAGGCGCCCGCTACCACACCCGGCTAATTTTTTTGTATTTTTAGTAGAGACGGGGTTTCATTGTGTTAGCCAGGGTGGTCTGGATCTCCTGACCTCATGATCCGCCTGCCTCGGCCTCCCAAAGTGCTGGGATTACAGGCGTGAGCCACGGCACCCGGCCTGTGTAGGTGTCTTCTTATCCTACAGTGCACATAATTATTTTTGAACCAGTCGGTAACTTCGCCAGCTTCTTCAGGCAAGTGTGGCTTTAATTCATTAACATCTCCTGGCACGTCATCAGCCAGAAGGAATGTCACTGCAGGCACGTGACGAATTTTTAAACCAAGGATTCTGTCAGTGCTGTATGGCAGGGCCCATCACTCATCTGAATTTCCGCCAAATGCATCTCCTTAAACCATGCTTAATTTCCAGTGAAGACCGTAACAAGGTCATCGTCCCACCTGACATGATGCAACTGTCCTGCGACTGTGGTTTCAGGATTTTAAATGTCAGGATTTTAGACTGTGGGGATTTAGATTTTAAGGATTTTGATTTTCCGGGATTACAGCATTTGGGATTGTTCTTTCAGGATGATGATCCAGGTCCCACAGGAGGTGCCACCAGGCCTGGGCTTCTGCCTTGGAGGGAGCTGGTTTTATGCTACTCTAAGCAGAAAGTGCCTTCTCCCTCAAAATGAGGTAAAAAAAAAAAAAAACCATTTGCCATTGATACGGACCTTAGAGGAAAGCTGTCCCCAGCAGCCCTGCAGACTTGGCGCCCCCGAGACAGGGGCAAAGACCGCAGCATCCTGCAGCTGCCTCAAAGCAGTGAAGTCCTGAAACTTTGAGTGTCAACCTCTGCACCGTGCAAAGGCGACCAGGAAGGACTCCAGAGAGGGCCAGGCTCGGCTGGACACCAGGGCGACGGTCACTACCGGTGTTTTGTGGGGAGAGCCAGTGCTGCCGTCTGCCGCCTCAGGCTGCCCTTGCACCTCCCTGCTCAGACCCGTCACGTGTGAGCTTCCTCACAGAGGCGGCCCCATTGCTGAGGAAGAACCATGAGCATCTCCACCCTGGAACAGTTGCAGAATCCTCCTAAAATCAAGGCCAGAACTTCACAGCCAAAACGCCTTACTTGAAATTTTTAGCTTAATGAAAGGAAACATAGTTGTATGGTAAGTGGTTTGTTTTATTGTATTTTAACGAAACATGTAATAAACATAACTATGTTTTCATTGTTAGACCAAAAGAATCAATCATATATACATATCTTTCTGGGTGAATTTTTCTCTGACAAGATTAGACAGCAGCCACCTAGAATGCCCTTGACATGTGACTTTGGCCTCCGGCTGGAAAGGAGCATTGCTCCTGCAGAAGTTCAAGGGCTCCGTGAGCTTTCCCGAGGGCTCCCCCTACTCCTGAGTTCACGTCATTTCCTTTCGCAACTCCTGGGTCTACCTGCGTGACCAATTTTTGCTAATCAGTTCACCTCTGACCAGATCACTTCTGGCCAATAACTCTACAAGCGTCATCAACCCCAAAATTCTCTGCCTGCTTCACAATTTCCACCTTCCTTCTACCAACGTGCTTTGTATTCGCTTGTGTCTAAGCAACCCTGACCAAAGGCCGTGTGGTTGTGACAGTGACAGCCGAGAGCTACTGCTGTCCAGGGGGAAGGGCATTTGAGTGGACCACACTTTTGTAAGTGGTCAGTCCATAAGTAATCATTTTATGTGTGACAGTATTTACTTCCCTTCACAATCTTCAAGTAACAAGGACTAGGGTAATTGACGTTACACAGTGAGAAATGCGTGCAACCTAGATTGACAGGATCTGCTCATTCAGAACCTAGATTCAGTTGCTGGGAGAGGAAACAGCCAGACATGAGACACTCCCTCTAGAATTACAGAACATGAAAGGCAGGTCTAGCTGCAGAAGAACATGCTCCAAAGGGCAGAGGGCATGAGTTCTGTTTTCCAAACGTCATCAGATGAAATTGGAAATGCTGGGTCACACAGATTACAGAGGACAATTTTCTTTGTGTGGGTTTTTGTTATTGTTGTTTAAATGCAGAGGTTCTCGGAGACCTTTTACACATTAATACAGAGCGTTTAAGGAGACATAGTCTGAACGTTCCCCATTAATTTGACCACAAAATCTTTTGTTGGTGGTATCTCATGATGTTCCCCAGAAACTTGGAAATGCTGAACTAGATACAAACACACAAACCAGTTGGAGAGCACGTAAACATTTGACTGCTGTGTCTGAGGCCAGAAGATAGTATCTGCAGCTTCATTTTAGAAGGACAGAGGGTGGATGAAGACGGCCAGCCATTAAGATGCTGGGTGTCAACCGGGACGACGTGGGGATTACTGCACCATGTGAATACCTCACTGCGCGTGAAACATCAGCCAAATAAAATAATGGCTTAAAGCTGGGACAGGAGCTACTGTGAAGAGCAGAATTGTGTCCCCAGAGTTCCTGCTGTCTGGAGGAATGGAAGTTTTAAAGTTTTAAAGATAAAATGTATTAGGTGTGAATATGAGATCTAGGATGCAAAACCCAACCACATACATCCTGACTGGGGAGTCTTCGCACCAACACTTGTAAAAACGCCTTTAGGTTTCAATCGTCAATCTACTTAAGATAAGCCAACAGGATGACTTACCCATGATCCATAGAATCCTAGGCTGTATTGTCCGAAACGCCCTGCTGGGAGGAGGTGAAGGACCCACGCCACTCTCAAGGAGTCAGACTTCACCAGCAATGTCGCCTTCCATCGTGGGTGGCACCTGGAGAGGAATGCAGACAACTCCAAGCAAGTTCAGAGAAAGACGATCAAGACACCGAGAAGACATGGCATTGCCTCGGGTGAAAGGCAGCGGAAGAGACTGGGTTCCATGAGAAGAGAATATCATTGTCCTCAGATGCTGGGACACCTCTTGTGGGAAGATGAGCCAGTGCTGCTCCTCAAAGCCCAGGGGAGGAGAAGTGCCGTGCCAGCGGGTGAGAGTCGCAGAGATGGCATTCCTGCTCAGCCAGAGGAGGCAGACGCCGGAGGAAGAGGGAAACCTCAGGACAGGCTGTGTTCACCTTTAGCAGGCTCAGACCACGCATCTAAAAAGACTGTTATCCGAAAAGTGTGTGTGCCCTGCGTGTAAGTCATGACGTAATAATAAGATGAGCAGTTGAGAATCTGCACCCTAATCTGGGTGCTGGGCGTTTCCAATACGGAGCACTCTGCGGTTGTCCTTTCCCAGATGTGCCTATCCTGCTGTCACTGCTGCCAGCAATAACCATTGTTCCAAGCTTTTAAAATCATTTTTAATCTCAAGAGCAATCACTGGCTTTACAATAACTAACATACAGGTACATATATATACAGGTATATACAGGATTTAGACCACACACTTATCCCTGGATAACAAATCCTACTCTACATATGCCTCTGCAAGTCACTTTCTTTTACTCAGAAACATTCCCGAGATTGTAATGGTGCACAAAGCTCTCCTGCATTTGCCGAATGCAGTTCCGCTGCAGAACGTGTTGCCACCTCCACCTCCCACCCTTCAGGGGAATTCACAGCTTTCCAGTGGCTCACACATACGTACAGTTTTGTGAACATCCTTGTAAATGTTTCTTGGTGCGTATGTATGAGAACTTCTCAAGGGCATACATTTAGAAATTGCTACGTTGTCAGGGGTACACATACTTAATTCTAAAATCTTCTCCAAAGTGGCTGTACCAATTTGCACACCCAGGAGCAGGGCGTGAGACCACCCACCTGCTCCATGCCCTTGCCAGCATGGGATATTGTCAGCCTCTGTGGGTTTTGCCTGTGTGAAATGGTATCTCATGCTTGCCTTGATTTGCTTTTCAAAGATCTCAGTCAATTTAAGGGTCCTTTCATTGTTTTTATGCCATTTGGATTTGCTTCTTTGTGAATTGGCCGTCTGTATATTTTGCTCATTTTATAACCATTTGGTCTCTTTCTTATTGATTTGTTAAGGCTTCTTTACACCTTTTAGATAGATAATCTTTTGCTGGTTGGTTGTGTTGCAAATATCTTTTCCCAATTTCTGGCTTGTCCTTTTACCCTCTTTTGGTAACTTTTGACAAAAAAAGAAATTTGTTAAATTAAATGTAGTTGATTTTATTAATCTTTTCTTTTATGGTTAGTACTTTCAGTGTTTTGTTTAGGAAACCTTAGATTGTAGAGTTTGGCCTTTGACACCTGAACCTTCCATCCCTCTGGAATAAACTCTTGTTTATGGTGTGAGGTTTTTACTTTCTTCTGTTTTTTTACATGGAGAGAAATTCTATTTCTCGAGGTATTGACCTTTTGTTGAATAGGGCCTCTTTCTCTCGTGATCCTCCTGAGGTCCACAGGTCTCTTTCTGGGTTTGCACCCTTTTGTCTTTTTCTCCCTGTGCATAAGTGTCCCACCGTCTTAACTACTCTAACTTCGTACTGAGTTGGGGGTTGTTGCACTGCATTTGATTGGTGGGGCTGCTAAGCTGGGGCTGCATTTCCCAGAACCCCCACCCCGTACAAGGTCGCGGTGAACTAGGAAGGCAGAGCAGTGGCCGACACCCCACAGGCCCACTGGCCAGGTGTGGTGCCGGACAGACCCTCAGGTGTCGGCTCTGCCCAGCGTCCTCTTCCTCAGGGTCGGCCCTGCTGACAGCAGCCCCAGGCTGGCAACCGGACGCTGCGCTGGGACCTCCGGGAACGATCTCGAGGCACCCTCACCTCCCATGAGCCCCCCAGCAATCCTCGGTGTGCAGCTCTGCAGCTGGTGGCTCCAGCTTCCAGCCCCTCCCAGCTCTGACCTCCACACCTGCTCCGGTGCTGCCGCGGTGCTGACTGGTGACTTTCCTCTGAATCTACAGCTTCTGCTCTGAACCCAAATGCCTCCGTTTCCCCCACAAGTGCACGGTCTTACTGACTGAATAAATTCCTCATCTCACAATATTCACGGAGGTTCTGATTGCACCATGACTAATACCTAAGTCTTGATGTGTGGCTGGGCTGTTCCAAGCCCTCACCATTATGTTTCTTGTTTAGAAACATCTAGGTTCTTCCTGCTCCTGGTCAGTCTCCTCAAATGTCTGTGTTGAGGTATTCATTAGAAATGCATTACATCTATAGAGCCAAGTGACGTCACTGACACCATTGTGATACTGAGTCTTCAAATGGTGGATGTTTATTTAGGTTTTCTTAATGTCACTGAACAGAGTGCTGCAGTTTTCTGCCGTAGCCGCGCATTGCTTGTCGGTTTATTCCCGAGAACTGTGCTATTTAATCCAGGCTAAGTCACACCGTAGTAACTGCTGTGTCAGAGCTCAGTTCTTAAAATGATAAAAGTTTATCTCTTGCTTTAACTGTGGGCTCCACTCAGTTTGTGACCCACAGTGACAGAGAAGACACCATCTCAATTGCTAGTCGCAATTTTATCCAGAAGGAAAGGAGCCTTCAGACTTCCGCCTGGAGGTGACACATGCACTTCCACTCACATTTCCTGGGCTGACGCCCGTCCCGGGGCTACCCCTGCTCTGCCAGTGTGTGTGGAGAGGGGAGGTGTTTCGGTTGGCAGCACTAAGCCCTAGCGATCCACACTTCTGGCCAGCAAGCACTGGGTCCCCTCCCTTCCTCTGTGCAGCCCAGCCCCATATCCCAGGGTGGTGTCCTGTCTCTGCATCCAGGGCTGAGTCCAGGATCTTTGAGCAATGCCCGGTAGCTTCTTCATCAGGCCCAGATCAAGCCCCTCAGAGCCCGGGGATCTGTGACCCAGCAAGTGTAGGATGTGTGCCCCTAACATCCAGTTGGCCATATAGGCAACCATGATGAATGGCCCCACTCGGAGCAAGGAGGACAGGCCGGGCCACAGTCACTGGTCTACAATAACCAGGCAGATGTGGTGTGGACCCGCTCCGGGCTGTCTCTTGATGAGGTCCTGGTCCTGCTCCTGGGGGTGGCTTGCTGCTTGTCGCCCTTCAAGGCACTGGGCCCCTCCTCTTGGGTGGTTCTTCTTTGGCATGGTTTGGACATTTGTCCCCTCTCAATCTCATGTTGAAATGTAATCACCAGTGTTGGAGGTGAGGCCTGGCCGGAGGCGATGGGGTGGATCCCTGATGAACGGCTTGGCACCATTCCCTTGGTGATGACTGAGTTCACGTGAGATCTGGCTGTTTAAAGTGTGTGGCACCTCCCCCTTCCCTCTCTTGCTCCCACTCCTGCCATATGAAGCACCTGCTCCTACTTTGCTTTCTGCCATGATTGGTAGCTCCCTGAGGCCTTCCCAGAAACCAAATAGATGCAGGCATCATGCGTGCACAGCCTGCCCAACAGTGAGCCAATTAAATCTCTTTTCTTTATCAATTACTCATTCTCAGGTCCTCCTTCATAGCCATGCAAGAGTGGCCTAACAAACACATCCCTTTTCCATTCGCCTCCATGGCCACATTCACTGTGGGCATCAGATGCACTCCCTCCCAGACCCCTTCTTGTTTACAGATGGTGGATGCCAAGGGTCACTTTCATTCCCTAAAATCTTAGTCTCTCTTAGCCACAGTGTGTGGTTCTTTGGCAGTAAAGTCTTCAAGAGCTTAGTGAGCTGCTTCTCTGTTTGGTTCCACACAGCACACACATCAAGAGCTGCATGCTCAGCGACTCTGTAGGTCTTCCTAGTAGACTTGCCACGTTCCCTGGCTTCCTTACTCCTGTGGCCCTCAGCAGATAGGACTGACCTGTCTATTGGTATCATGGGCTCTGCTGGGAGGCTGAAACCCTTGCCCTCTTCCGGGAGCCACTTAGTCCTTGCTAAAGGAGTCTCTAACCAAGGCAGCCTTTGGGGTTCCCTCATGTGCTAGTCTATTAAGAGATGTTAACAATGAGTCTAGGGACCAAGCACTTGACCAGCCTTGCCTGAAAGGCTGAGATCCAAACAGTCGTGGCAGTTCAAAGCATTTCCAAGTTTACTTTTTACGCTATCAAGGGAGAAGCAACTGTCTGTTCCAATCCTACGAGTCCCTGAATTTGAGGGCTCTCTGCCCCTCTGAGTCCTGCCTGCCACTGACAAGCTTATCCCTTTCTTGTAATACTTTGTTGTACAGACACTGCCAACTGCTGTGGCTAGAACTGTGTCCCCAAAAAGATATGACCGAGCCCTAATTCCCAGTATCCGCGAATGGGATTTTTTTTGGAAATAGTACCTTTGCAGATGTAATCAAGTCCAAATGAGCCACATGGGATTAGGGTGGGCCTAAACCCAGTCACTGGAGTTCTTATTAGAAGAGACGCAGAGACTCTCTGGGAAGATGCCACATGAAGATACAGGCACGGACTCACAGGGAGAAGGCCTTGTAAAGAAGGAGGCAGAGACCGGAGTGGGGCTGCCACAAGCCGAGAGAGGCCAGGTCCCTCTGGGAGCCTCCAGAAGCTAGGAAGAAACACAGAAGGGCTCCCCCAGGTCCTTCTGTGGCAGGGCGGGCTGCTGGCCACACCTTGATTTTGGACCCCTGGCCTCCTGAACTATGAGAGAATACATGTCTGTTCTCGGAGCCAGCCAGTGTATGGTACTTTTGCTACAACAGTGCTAGGAGACCAGTGCACCAACCAATACCTGGTAGCAACACACATAACACACACGTGACCTGACTCTCTGGCTCCTCCAGAAGGACCTTCACCAAATGCTTTCTTCAGCACGATGTAGATGGCATCTTCTCAGCCTTCAGTAACAGTTGCCGGTCTTCAACTCACTACTAAGACAATGCCAGGTATTTGAGGATTATTTTTTACCCTAGCATCTTTCTTCTATTTCTAGACTAGTGAGGATAAGGGTAGATTTCACTGCAGTAACAAACAATGCCAAGTCTCAGTGACCTCAAGCAACAAATGCCCACTACGCATCTTTGCTTCTGAATACACAGGCTGCCTGGTGACGCTGCTCCAGCCAGGACCGGGGCTGATGGGGCAGCCCCACGTCAAACCTGCTGCCACTGCAGCGGGAGGCTGAGAACCGCTCACTGCCTCTTAATACGCACCCCTTCTGCTCATGGGGCCACACTAAATTCAGTGGGGAAGGCCCATGTGATCCCCTGTGTGCTTGGCAAAAGAACTGGAAATATTTAGTGAACATCAACAATCACCACACAAATTAATGATTTTGTTGTTGCTGCTGCTATTGCAAATGGTTTCTTTGAAAGTGGTATTTTCTACCTGTATTTTGCTGGTGAGTAAAAATGCAGTTGACTTCTGTACTGTGATCTTGATTTTGATTATGCAACCTTGCTTAGCGCTTGTGAAATATAAATATTTGTGCATTCTGCTAGGTTTTTTATGTAGATAATCACATTGTCTGCAGATTCCGACGGTATGTTTAAAAATTCTTTTCCTTATTAGCCCGTAAATCTTTTCTTTCTTCTCTTGACTGAATACACCAGGTAGGACTTTAAGCAGCACATTGAGTGGAGTTGGTGATAGCTGGCATCCTTATTTTATCTCTGATTTTAAAGGTAACATTTCATAATTGTTTACTAAGAATGACCATTGTTGAAGGCTTGCAGTACAGACCCTCAATTCAGGTGAGGAAAATTCTTCCTATTTTTAATTTAGTGAAAGGTTAGCATTATATGATGTCGACAATTATCAAAGACTTTTCCTTCTCTATTGCAATAACTGTACTTTTTTTAAAAGTCTGTAAGTATTACAAATTAAGCTTATATATTATCTAAAGTAATAGCTTGCTTGGATCCCTGAGTTAAACACGGCTTGGTCAAGATGGATGATCACTTTACACACTGCTGGCTTAGGTTTGCTAATGTGCCAGGCCCAGGGAGGGAGCTTGCTGAGGCACCGGATACACTTTCTTGAATAAAACTGATGCAGCCTCATGCTCATGGCTCCTATGGGTTAAGACATTGTTAATTACAAGACACAGCATCCATTTCATAACCGATTTTCAGGGGGAAACCCTTGCTGCATTACATATACATAATGCTTAATAAGACACATTCTAAGCATGGATGATGTAACCGCTGAGGAAAAGCAGATGCACACAGATTATTCAATTAATGTAGTTTGGGGAGTCACTTCCTAATGTATTGAGCTTTAGTGTCTTCATTTGTCAAAGGAGGGGATGGATACTCTCTAAGGCACCCTCTGGATTTAAAATTCTATGATACCTTCTCCTCAATAATCCTAGACCGGAAGAACAACCCCACAGCCTCCTGGACCAGAGCCTTGAACTGTTCAATTTAAAACAGTAGCCGAATAAGCTCCCACGAAAAGAGAAATGACAAAGTCAACAAGAGACTGTTCACAAATGTATGAGTTCATTCTCGCATTGCTATAAGGAAATACCTGAGACCGGGTAACTGCTAAGAAAAGAGGTTTAATTGGCTCATGGTTCTGCAGGCTTTACAGGAAGCATGGCAGTGTCAGCTTCTGGGGAGGTCTCAGGAAGCTTCCAATTATGGCAGAAGGTGAAGCAGGAGGGGTGTCTCTCGTGGCCAGAGCAGGAGCAAGAGTGAGAAAAGGGAGGTACCACACAGTTTAAACAAACAGATCTCACGAGAGCTCACTATCATGATGACACTACCAAGGGGGATGGTGTTAAACCAGGGAAACCACCCCCATGACCTCATCCCCTCCCACTGAGGCAGGAAAATAGGGTTTGGAGGCAGGGAACTTAAGGTCAATTCAGACTTCAGCTATGACAGGAGATATCCTCTCCACAGAGCCTACACTGTAAATGACTTTGTAATGAGAGGTGACTACGTGCTAGCAGCCCTCCCTCCGCTCTCGGCACCTCCTCGGCCTCGGTGTCCACTATGGCCACACTTGAGGAACCCTTCAGCCTGTGGCTGCACTGTGGGAGCCCCTCTCTGGGCTGGCTGAGGCCGGAGCTGGCTCCCTCTGCTTGCCGGGAGGTGTGGAGGGAGAGGCGTGGGTGGGAACCTGGGCTGCTCCGCAGCATGAGTTCCTGGTGGGTGTGTGGGCGCGGGCTCAGCAGCCCTGCACACTGAGCATGGGCCAGTGCCACCGGCCCAGGGCAGTGACAGGCTTAGCACCTGGGCCAGCAGCTGCAGAGGGTGCACTGGGTCACCCCCCAGCACTGCCAGCCCACCTGCACAGTGCTCAAATTCTCACCGAGCGTCAGCCGCCTCCCCGCGGGGCAGGGCTCAGGACCTGCAGCCCACCATGCCCAACAACACTCCCCTAGCGCCCCCCCCCCAGTGCCCCCCCCAGCACTCCCCCATCCCCCATGGGCTCCCATGCAGCCTGATCCTCCCCAATAGGCACCGCCCCCTGCTCTGTGGTGCCGGTGGCGCAGGGTTCCATCGACCACCCAAGGGCTCAGAAGTGCAGGGGCACAGGCAAAGCCAGCTGGGCTCCTGAGGGGGGTGGGGACTTGCAGAACTTTTATGTCTAGCTAGAGGCTTGTATATGCACCAATCAGCACTCTGTGTCTAGCTCAGGGTTCATGGATGCACCAATAAACACTCTGTATCTAGCTAATCTGGTGGGGACTTGGAGAACTTTTATGTCTAGCTAGAGGATTGTAAATGCACCAAACAGCACTCTGTGTCTACCTCAGGGATTGTAAACGAACCCATCAGCACTCTGTGTCTAGCTAAAGGTTTGTAAACGCACCAATCAGTGCTCTATGTCTAGCTAATCTAGTGGGGACTTGGAGAACTTTTATGTCCAGCTAGAGGATTGTAAATGCACCAATCACCACTCTGTGTCTAGCTCAGGGATTGTAAACACGCCAATCAGCACCCTGTCAAAACAGACCAATCAGCTCTCTGTAAAATGGACCAATCAGCTCTCTGTAAAATGGACCTATCAGCAGGATGTGGGTGGGGCCAGATAAGGGAATAAAAGCAGGCTGACCAAGCCAGCGACGGCAAACCGCTCCCTCCGTTTCTGAAGTGTGGTGGGTTTGTTGTTTTGCTCTTTGAAATTAATCTTGCTGCTGATCATTCTTTGGGTCTGCACTACCTTAACAAGCTGTAATACTCACCAAGAAGGTCTGCAGCGTCATTTCTGAGGCCAGCGAGACCACGAATCCACCAGGAGGGATGAACGACTCCAGACGCGCCACCTTAAGAGCTGTGACACTCATCGTGAAGGTCTGTAGCTTCGCTGCTGAAGCCAGCAAGATCACGAACCAACCAGAAGAACGAAACTACGAACACGTCCAAACATCAGAAGGAACAAGCTTTGGACACATCATCTTTAAAAACTATAACACTCACCACGAGTGTTTACGGCTTCATTCTTGAAGTCAGTGAGACCAAGAACCCACCACTTCCGGACACACACCCAGTCCCCACCTCCAACACTGAGAATTGTAATTGAACATGAGCTTCAGGTGAGGACACAGACCAAAACCATGGCAACAATGTTGCTGAAGAGCCAGGGAGAATGGGTTCTGAGGTCTGCTTCCTAAGGAACAGGACCTTTCATCCTGAAGGCTCAGCCCCCAATGGACGGCAGACGAAGAGGCCTGTGTGGGAACTGGCTAGCTGTGGGCGCTCCACGCGGTGGCTATGATGGGTGAAGCCCCCCAGCCTGCTTGTCTTCAGAAGGGCAGGAGGCCTAGCAGTTTTCTTCCCCGTTCTTATTCATAAAACTACTTGTACATGTTTACAGTTTTTTCTTTAATGGTGAAGTTACACCTCAGTGTGTTCATTATATTATTTCTGCATAAATAATAATGACCTTTATTGACAATAATTCTGTTTTGGACTAGAGGATTAATAATTTTCTGATGTTTAATGTATGAAAAATTGTATATGATAGTTTTAATCACGTCTGACTTTAAAAATATTGTGCTTAGGATTGAAATTTGAGCACATTAACTTGCCTCCTCTGTGTAAACAATTCCAAAACAGTCACTGTGGCACAAACTTTTTTTTTTTGGCTATTTGAAAAACACTCATATACAGGTTCTCAAATCTAAAAAAAGAAAAAAAAAGTTTATCTTGAGTATAAAAATGCATTGTGCCAGTTTTAGAATCTAATTGTTTTAATCTGTTTTTAAATGAACCTGATCTTTCACATTTAATTTTCCCTATTGACAGCAAGATTCAATGCCCTGATTTTTAGAAGCTTATGAAATGGGGATAAAAAGCTTTCTAAATATCAAGGAGTACTTACCAAAACCAGAATGTAATAAAAAGCTTTCTAAATATCAAGGAGTACTTACCAAAACCGGAATGTAAATGAAGTCGATGTACTGAAGAGCTGCCTTTAATTTTATCTGACGTGTACTTGGGTTCTCTTTTTAAAAAATGGATCAAATATTTGGGACATGATTTGGGCTGTGCTTGGAACTGAAAGGCTCAGAAACGGCGAGGGCGTCCTCGGCCGTGCACACGCCATCAACACGCAAGCCGCTGCTGAGAGCCCCGGTGCTGTCCTTCATCCTGGAAAGCCTTTCCTAACCGGAGACTTCCAAATTGAAAATCGCAACGCTCTGTTGAAGAGAAGACAGAGCCCGTTCTTAGGCATTACAAAAATTATCCAACCTACTTTTAACATCAAACTCAGCGAACCAGCCCAGAAACGAAGTAGGCAGCCGAGAAGCGGGCACACACCGTCCGTGCCTCTGCAGGTGCACTCGGGGCGCGAGGGAACAGCACCTCCCTCCAGAGCAGCCCCAGGCTCCCAGGCCTCACCCACAAGATTCCCTGCGTGCTCCTTGATTACCACCCCCGGCCCCAGCACACTCTTAACTTTCAGAAAATGGCTTTGTGACAATCCAGGCGCATCTGATCTCACAGGAGAACCACTCGACAGCGCGATGCTTGCGGTATTTACTCAGCATCGCTCTGCCCCACCGCACGTCGCCAGATAACACCAGACAAGATTAGAGATGAGTCACAGAAAACCCTGGAGGATAAATTAATTACACTTTCTGTGTAATTCCTTTTGGCAAAAGAGAGCTCTAAATGCTGTGACCGTTTCTAACATATAATAGTATCTCTAGCTGTGATGTTCCAATTAGCAAAAGTAGTGAGGAAGAATTGTTCAAAAGTAGTGAGGAAGAATTGTTCAAAAGTAGTGAGGAAGAATTGTTCTACAGCATCCAGACAGAATTTCTGTTTTCTTTCTCTTTTGACACACTTCAAATCTCATTTAAAAGAGCCCACTCCCCATGTTCCAAACAAAAATCACTTACTAATTATTATAGTGATCTCTTATTCAAGTGACTTTTAAAGATGGGTCCAAAGGAAAGACCTTTAGCATCAAAAAGTACTACAGAATTTCAGTGTTCTCAAGGACACGACTGAGGTTCTGTCCACAATGTTTCTATGACTAGGAGAGAGAGGAAAGGAGGGAGGGAGGAAAGGAGGGAGGAAGGAAGGGAAGGAAGGAAAGAAACAAAGAGGAAGGGAAAGAGGGAAGGAAGGAAGTACAGAAGGAAAGAAGAAAAAGGGAGAGGGAGGAAAGGAAGTAAAAACAGAGGGATGGAGGGAAGGAGGAAGAAGGAGGGAGGGAGAAGGAAACTTTTCTAATTAGATATTACAAAGCAGATTAGCACCAACTTAAATTATCTTGTCCAATAAAACTCATGTTTTATTTTATGGAACAAAAATATTTTGATTATATTTGCAAAAGACAATAATGAGTACATAAATATCCTATAACTGTAAAAACTAATTAGCAGTTTCTTGTTAATTGGGCATTTAAAGTATTTAAAATTGCTGAGTTTAGTTGTGGTAATTAAATAATATTACATAGTTTTTAATTTCAGATTTGAGGTAAGCATCTATTGTTACATTAGATTTTTTGGTTTTGGATTGTTTTTTATTTTTGTTTTTACTGAACCCCCTAGAACAATGCTTCTCTAGTGATCTCTGGGGAAGTGCCAGTTTGTTTTCTAACTTCAATCCATTGACGACCCTACATTGTAAGATGAAATAAAAATAAATTACTAGAAAAATGAAAAACAGAAAATACAAGTTCTAATCAAAATAAATGTAATATGACAAATCCCTGAAAAGCTGTCTAAGCTTTCTCTCAATTTCTGCACTTGCTGTGGAGTGACCAACAATTCGGGTCCCAACCCATCTGAAAGCCACATGTTGAGCCGTGTAGCCTAGAGTTGAGAGTCGTGGAGTGTGTGTGGGGTGCCCAGGGTGTTCCCTGGCTCAGGAGAAGCGCAGACGGGCCTACCTCTGCTCTGCCACAGGCTGAGCATCAGCTTGAGGTACTCACAGTTGTCGATATCAGATTGGACTCCCTTCCTCCCAATGCTGACAGTTTTGCAAAGCTGGCCTTTCAGCAATTGCTGTGATAAGAAGCAAGTACTGTACAAAAGTCAGGGTTGCACAGGAAAGGAATGTGGCAGTGCCAGGTTTGATCCCAGGTCCCAAGAGGCCGGTCAGTGCCCAGGAGACACACACCTATTAAGTGACTGTGGTCATTTGAAAGTAAAATCAAAGTATGGCTTAGTCTTTCAGTTTCATGTATGCTTATTGTTTGGACCTAACTACTTAATAAACAGACTGTTCAGTATCTTTTTTTGCCTGGAGCACTATGAAAAAAATTATTGCATTGCTAACATCACCCCAAAAGATTAGAAATGAGTCTTCTTTGTCTTTGAATCCTGAGGGCCTGGCTTATATTTAAGTGCTCATTGTGAAGTCAACCAGTGAATTAATGAAGGAGGGGTCAAGCCATCCATCGATTCCCCCTCCTCCATCTTTTAAATTTAGAGACATTGAAGTAACGTGGCACTTCCTTGCAATCCACCGGTTGACATTTCTGTTGAAATCGTGAAGATGTCATAAACGGTTCTCAGATAATATTCCTTCATCTTCTACCTAATGTTTGTTTCTGAGTCTTAAACTTCCAGATGAGACCATCTTCTCTTCTGGGACTCCTCCCAACAACGTTTTCAAGTACCATTTTGCGCAGAAAGGCAACCGGGGTCTGGGTGGAGGGCTGGAGTGAAAAGCATGATACCCTGTTGCTGGACTCCTACTTCTGTGGAGAAGGAGCAGGGCAGGCACCCACTGGGTACAGAAGTTGTGCACTCAGAGCAAGGTGAGAACCATGAATGTTTTAAAATAACGGAATTAAAACAGAAATGTTTAAATCTCATTTGGATTTCTTCTTTCTCTAAATCATTCATTACTCCTGGATGTTTTAACTAATGTTTTCCTCATGTGACATTTGGACCCACTAGACTTTTAAAGTCACAAATTGTCCCTAATAACAGCACAAATTATGTAGGCTGTTAACTATCACGGCATTTTTTAGCACTTTATCTTTTGCATGCTACAGTGCAATCATTTTCATTAACCATTCCTCATATCCAAGCAAGGTGGCAGCTTAGCATAATAATAAAGCAATTTCCTGCTCCGTGATGTTGACATGGAAGGCCGAGGAAGTGACACTCTGTGGCTGAAGTCACAGCGCAGGGGAGTGCTCAGTCAGAGAAGAACTCGACCCCATGGGTGCCAGTGACCACCCAGTGCACGCAGCTCTCCCACCGAAGTCTCCTGCTGGCCACCGGGCGTGGGCTGGGCTTGCAGGACTGGGGTCTGCCACCTTTCCTTATTCTGCGGAAGAAGCACAACTAGATGGGGCTGAAGATTTATTTCTCTTCCAGCCACCAAGATGCATTTCTGCTGGCCTTCTTAAAGACTATTAATCGCTTCTCTGGAAATTAACGTAAGACCACTCAAGAGCGAAATTGAGTAAGAGAAGTTTTTTATTTTCAAAAAAGAAGGAAAAGAACAAATGGAATAAGTTGGTAATTCAAAAGAGAAGAAGAAATCGATTAAAAATCAGTCATTATGGCCATGTCCACAGAGACATCCACTGAGCCTGGTGCCGTTCCCTGCTGTCCACGGAGGCATCCGCTGAGCCTGGTGCCATTCCCCACAGTCACGTAGACGATGCAGGTGACTCCTCCACAAGCCCAGGAGTGGGGCACATCCTGACAGCAGCACCGCTGCCAGATAGGGGCCAAGCTGGGATTCACAACTCAATCCCCCACAACGGGAGCAGTGCTCACTGGACAGCCAGGCCTGGCCTCCAGTCCCCCAAGGTCCTTAGACATAGCCCTCAAAATGCCGTCTTCCACCAGCTTTACTAAGTCACTGCAACCTGTGGCATCACAGAGTTACTGCAGACAGAGGCAGGAGCCGTGCGGTGATTGCCAAGGCCACTGGTCAGAACCATTCCTGCCTCTTTCCCTCCATGCTTCAGGAAGCACAAGACGCTCACTGTGGCTGCAGAGTGGACATCTAAGCACTAAGGAGGCGCTGGACCTGGGGTCTGCCACATGTTCTCCCTTTTAGTGGCGTGTAAAAGAGGTGGCATCCTTGATAGGCTCAACCCCTGACCCCCGCCCTCGTCAGGAGGAATCTTTTCACTAAAATCTCTTTGCAAACCATTTGAGGGAGTCCAGACTTCTGCCAGGCCGCTGACTGATCCATGAGTATGATAGTGACTTACATCAGCCACGACGACGACGACGACTGATCCATGAGTATGATGGTGACTTAACATCAGCCACGGCGATGACGCCAACAGATCCATGAGTATGATGGTGACTTACATCAGCCACGACGGTGACGCCGACAGATCCGTGAGTATGATGGTGACTTACATCAGCCACGACGACCACCGTGACCCAGAGCCTTTGGGAAAGGGTCACCACAGAGCAGACAGGCCCCAAACCCTGGGCAGGGCTGGAGACTGCTGCACACACCCATGCAGTCACTGGGCACGGGCATTTCCCAGGAAGACTGTTCTGCCTGGAGAAGCAGAAGGTGGGGACAGAGCCTGCATCGCCCATTTGGGGAACAAAGACCTATGTTTGCACCGGCTCCAGGCAGCCTCCCTGTGTCCACAGCCCTCGCGTGCCCTGGACCTGTGAGCTCTGGATCACACAGCCGGGCCTCGTGCTGGACACGGGATGAGGATTATGAGCACTTAGTTCACAGTTTGGAAGGGAAGCAAGACTCAATTTTTACGTTTCTTCCTCCTCCAACTGCCACCTCTTATTTCTTCAGTTTCATGGAACAGGAATTCTACAAGGCAGTGGAAAGAGGAAGGGAAAGGAGGTGAAACTCATCAGCTAAGTCTGCACTGTATTCATAGTAGGTCCAAACGGAAATTAGTTGGGAATCGTGCTCAGAATGAACATTTGGGGATTCCCTTTATCCATAGTCCCGTGTTTCTGATGACCACAGGTGGCATGTTGGCTGTGCCTGCTGGAGAACAGGGCTATGGACCTGGGCTCATGGACACAGACAGCCCCGGCCTGCGTCCAACTGGACCTGAGGACACAACCCCCTGGCCAGCCTATGGCCCCCACCCCCACCCCCCGCTGGGCTCTGGCAGGCGGCTCTCACTTCTCTGTTCCTCAACGCCTCCTCTCAAGTCCCCTCAGTGCACCCCCGGGCCACGTTCAGCTTCCTCCCACACCCTCGCCCCACTCTGGAATCCCCAATGTCCTCTTGTCTGGGCCCACCCACTTTTCCAGGGCCAGCTCAGACCCAGCATTGCCTGGCAACCCTCATCCCATTCCAGTCAGCCCCCTGGAGGTGCTCTCATCTCTTCTTTGCGGCTTCCTTCATGGGAGTGATTATGATTTCCCTTTGATGATTTTAAGTTTATGCAGAACAAGGCTTAGAGCTCCTATTTCTCTTTATCCCCTGTGGGGCCAACTCAGCATTGGGCCCACAATCAATCACATTGAAAGACATCAAAACATCTAAACATCAACGTGTGGCCAACTGTAAAGATAATACCTTATTTTTATTTTCTTTGGTTTTATATTTTTGTACTTGTTCAAGACGATTTAAAAAAAAAAACATGTCTTTGAATTTCCTTTTTTTTACATTTTGCAATTCATTGCGTGAGAGTTAACATCAAGGCTGATGAGTGGTATTTTCCAATGCGTTTTTATAAGAATGCTCACAGGTGCTTAGAGGGCATTATTCAATTGCAGGTATTTAAATTATACAGCACTACTTATAATCTTATGTAATTCACATGCGTTTCTCAAGCTCCATGAGCCCATTCTCAGGTCTTAGTGGTTCTGTGGACTCCAGGCGTGGCCACTGCTGTCGTGGGTGGCTCACGTGGCCACGTTGGATGTTGTTGAGCATGACGATGTCACTGTAAAGCTGACGGCAGGAGGCCACAGGACCAGACGCGCCTGGAGTGTGTGTGTCCAGGCCCATGCGGGCTCCCTCTTTGCTCCTGTCATTGGGACCCCACACATTTTATGCCCCAGCCCTCCTTTGACCGCAGACCCCAAGGTCTTTGCGTATGGAGCATCGTCTAATACTGAACAACCCCGTGAGGGGAAAACTATCACCACTCCACAGACGGGAAAATGAGAGCTTCCATCGAGCATCAGCCAGGTTCTCCAGAGAAGCAGAGAAGCAGGCCAGTAGGAGATTCGTTGTTTCGTTTGTTCAAAGAGATTGGCTCCCGCGATTGTGTTGGGCTGGCAGTTTCCACGCAGCAGGAGGCTGGAAACTCAGGCAAGAGCTGGTGCTCCCATCATGGGGCAGAATTCCTTCCTCGCTGGGGACCCCACTTTGCTCTTAAAGCCTTCAGCTGACAGACAAGGCCCATCCACACCAGAGAGGGTCCCCTGCTCACCTAAAGTGAGATGACTGCAGTGTCGGCCATGTCTACATGGCATTTGTGTAGCTGCAGCCAGCGTCTGGTGAGATCACTGGGCCCTGCAGCCAGGCCACGCTGCCCACCGGGAAAGCTCTACCCGAGCACGCCCAGCACCAGGGGCACAGGGCCAGGTGGACAGGCCTGTCTCACCCCTGTCTCTCCCGTCCACTCGTGGCTTGGCCACTGGACCCACGCAGCAGTGCCAACGTGTCCCTGGATGGCAACATGCCTCAGCCATCGGGTAGGGCTGCTGTCACCTGCAGCCCAAGTGTTCCTCCCGCTCCCGTGTGGCTCTACGCACGTCCTCCCTGTCAGGGCTGCTGCCACCCCCAGCACCACAGCCCCGCTCTGCCCACCCCCCCAACCCTCGCCTGGGTCAGAAGGAACTAACTTCCTAATTTGCATTCTAAATACAAAGGAGAACAAAAGAGGGAAATACCAACAGCACCCGGAGAGGTGGTTTGGGAGCTACAGGTGAGTTCAATTTGCAAGTGATGCCAAGGAGCGTCGCGCCTCAGCGTCGACCTCCTCCCCACGCCAAGGCCTGCAGCGAGCGAGCCATGCAGAGGGGGCCGATCCCACCTGGGCCACAGTCCCTGCTGGCCCAGGCTCAGGAGCCGGCTCAGAGCCAGAAGGGAAAAACCCACAACCCTCAGGGACAGAAAGCCAGGACACCAGGAGAAGAGAGAGGATCCCCCTGGACGCTGCAAAGACCTCTAGTGGCCCCTGAGGTCCCATGACCGTAGCCAGGCCAATCAGAGCTGCCCAGGAAGGCCCTGCCTGGCCCTGTCCCTCCCACCTGGCTGCATCGGCCTCTCCAGAACTCACTGAGGAAGATTGGAGGAAGGAGGCCCCCAGGGACAGTCAGGACTGCCAGATCAGCACGTGGCCCCACAAGCCACCAGAACGGAGCCTGGACACAGAGCCAGCAGGCTGGGCAGCCACCCAGTCCCCAGGGCACTGAGCTGGGCCTGCATCTGGACACCTGGAGGGTGTGAGCTGGGCCTTAATAAGGGAGGCTGCCCCCTCTGCCTTCATAGAAGGCTGGTTGTTCCAGGTTTCTTAATTACTTGGCTACAAATCTC
This sequence comes from Homo sapiens, assembly GCF_000001405.40. NCBI lineage: Eukaryota > Metazoa > Chordata > Mammalia > Primates > Hominidae > Homo > Homo sapiens. The sequence goes on from NC_000013.11 coordinate 112,248,508, forward strand.
CCCTCTAGAGAAAAAGGCTAGAATGGGCACTAAGGCTTCAGTGCAACCACAAATATTGATTTTTCGAGGGCCAATGCAAATACCAGGCAAGAGCAAGCCCTTCACCGGGGCGGTCACTGGCCTGCCCTCTCTGGCCAGGGACAGGGGCTCCGCCAGGAGCAGCATGATGTGCCATGCGGAGCACTCTCGAGCACGCCCATCATGCTTCTGTCTTTCCACAAACCCGGGGGTTGCCAGCTTGTTGTAGGAGAGGAGGAGTGCTTTTTCATTTCTTTCTCCCTTCCCCTCCTTTTTTTTTTCTTTTTGTGAAAAATGGAATTTTAAAACAGCCAGCAACTAAGGCAAACTCCCAGGATAACAGTCTTAACAATTTACATAATGCAAGCGTTGAAGAGGAGGACGTAAAGCAGGCCTTTTAAGTCGCGTGACACAGTTTAAAACAGTGAACCCTGGCTGGCATTAAACCGCAGTCCTCTGAAGCACAATTAGAAAGCACTTAAGGCTGCTCAGCCAATCGGGGGCCTTGATTGGCTGGGCATCCCTAACCCTGTAATCTTCCATCCCGGGGGCCAGCGCGCCGCCGACAACTGCCGGTTGGACTGTTCCACTGGGCTGACTGTCAGGGGCAGCTAATGCTCGTTTTAGGAAATATTACTTTTTGTTGCTTTGGTCCATGTTCCCAAAATGTCAATCCTCCATAATGGGACCCTTTGTTCCTGCCTAATCGCGCTGATTACCGCAGGGGCTGCTGGTGGAGAAGGATGCTGGCGGAACCAGGGGTCTGAACACCAGGCCTAGCCGCAGCAGCTCCCAGACTCATGGCAGTTTTGTGGGGACACGTCTGCCAGCCCCTGTGTGGATCATACTTTTGCGGTGTTTGTTTCTTTATTGCACAATGGGGATGGTGGCACACATCTGTCAGGCCAGCCAGGGTAAATGAATAATGACTTATATTTGGAAATCTGTGAACAACGCACACTCAAGCCAAACGTCCGTTGATGTATTCATTTAGCCATTCAGTTGGCACTTACTGAGCACCTATTTAGTGACAGCTCCACGTCAACACTTGGCTTTCGGGTATGGCTTCAGCACCTCCAGAGCTCATTGTTCTGTGTGGGAGACACAAGTGTACACCACACGCACACGTACACCACACATGTGTACACCACTCACGTGTACCGTGTAACATCACACTATGCTGCAATGCGGGCTATACTGAAGTGATGTGAAAACGTGCTGGGGAGTCCGGGCATGGCTCCCCCACAAGAGGCCCCGTGAATGTCACCGGCCTCGCCGGTTCTGCATCCTACCTTGTGTGACCTCAGGGCGCTGCACTCACCCCGCTGAAACTCAGTTACTTGACCTGTGAGCTGGTGGTACAGGAATGCCTGCCTTAGAGAGTTGTGGGGATTAACTGAGCTCATGCATGCAAAGTGCCTGGCCCACAGCAGTGCCTGACCCAGCCGCGAAGGCTGTCCTTACGTCATCCTCGTGCCCTCTATTGGCGATGTCGTATCAGCAACACCCAGGGGACGCATGCATCGCCCACCTCCATCCGAGGGTCTGCTGCTCCCAAACATGAGCCAGCACAAAATAGTGATGTCAGAGGCACTGGTCGTGCCCTTAGCGTGTCTGCACCAGAGCGCGTGCTCACACGAGGATGGCCACTGATCGGTGAATGTGTGTCTGCTCGTAGGAGGGTTTGCTTGAATGATACTTGTGAGTGAAGGGAGCAACAGATGAAAGGTCGTGTCCTGTCATGGTCCTGCAGGAAGGCAGAACCACTTCAAGTCCTTAACGCAGAGAGCATCTCAGGTAGTTGCAGGAGGCTGGGGAGTCGGCAGGCAGCTCGGTCAGGACTGGATTTGGGGCAGTGGGACCAGCGTGGGATCTGGACAGCAGAGGAGATGCAGCCCCGCTCAAAACGCTGCCCAGCGTGCAGAGGAACCTGGCTTCTCGTTCCTCCCTCCCCAGGCTCCCTCCAGGCAGAAGGCAGAAGGTCAGGCACCTGGAAACCAGCCCCTAAGGGTCAGCTCCTCTGCACGCCCAAGCAACACAGAGCAGAGCAAGGCATGGACCCAGGGGCATGGGGCTCTGGACAGGCACGGCTCACAGAACTTTTTAAGCTGGAAATTTACCCTGGAGATGACTTATTTCAACTTCCTCTCATTAAACCTGAGGACATTGAGCCTGAGATTCTTACGTGAGGTCCCTGTAGTCAGAGACTTTTTAATAGTTATGAACACTCGTACGCCTGCATGCAGCCCACACCCACACACACAGGCACACACATAGCTGGACACTCATACTCACAGGCACGTGCTTGTCAGCTCAGTGCATACACAAGAGCACACCTACACACGTACACATATACACACACAGATGCAGGGCCTGCACATACGTGCACGCACACATGCATGTGCACTTGTGTGCTCGGCCCTCAGTTGCATTCTGCTCCTAACAGAAGGGGCACCCGAGGCTTCCCCAGTCCCTCAGGAGTCCCACTTTCTGCTTTCTTTTCCCAGCCGAGCCACTTCCCACCAGCGCTGGGCAGGCTTAGCCTGGTGCTTGACCTGCTTCCCCCATCTACATGATGCGGATGATCAGTGCTCACACGGGAGGTCCCCAGCCATGTGCCTGGCACACACTGGGCCACAAAAATAGAACATATCATTACTCCCGACCCTCACCCTGACTCCTTCACCAGCCCACACACAGCCCACCAAGGCCACGCTGGGGGACAGGGCTGCAGCCTCCATTTCCTGGCCCCCTCGGCCAGCCGCCTAGTGCAACCCTCTCCACCTGGCAGCATTTGGGGGCCCGTGATGTTATCTCCTGTGCCCATGCGATGGCTCCAGAGCTTCAGCCCACATAGCTCTCGGTTTTGGTGACACGTGCCAGCCTGCACGGGGAGTGAAACGTACGTCCCATCTTACGCATTTAGGTAATCATACGCCGATGCCTGGCGAAAAGCACTTTCTTCAAAAGTTAGACTACAGACAGACTGGGCTGTGTGGACTGTGCCTTTTCCCTGTGGAACAGGGATCTCGCCTCCCACTTACGTAGGAAAGGCGCTGCATGGCCCCGTCTGCACCAGCTCCAGGATCCTCCATGGCACACCCTGGGGTGTGGGATTCTGATTTCAGTGCTAAGCTGTGAGTACTAAATGCGCTGTCCCCTGACAGCTTCATAATGTGAATGCTGCTGCCCTGTGCATCTTACTAGAGGCCCACACTGCCTGCCTGAGGTCGGAAGCATCTTCTCCATGCGCCCTGACACATGGTCTCAGGTGCCAAGTTTCTGCATGCTAATGTCTATATATTGCAAAAATACAGTATAAACCCAAATTATAGACCTCTGCACACAAAACCACAGCAAGCACAGCTTTGTGTCAGGTCTAATAGGCACCCAGTGAACACTTTCCAGAAAGCTTCCATTCTTCATTACTGCTCCCAAGGAGCTACCACAACGTTGGAGAAAAAAAGCAATCAGTGCGTCAGGATCTGCAAACCTGCATACACTGAGAGCATTTGGAATTTCACACTCTAGCATCGTCGGTGCACTCAGCAAGCTGGAGGCGGGGCGTGGGCGAGCGGTGGAGCACGTGCGGGTGCAAGCCTTACCGTGGCCCCTGCCACCATGGAACATCAAGTGAGCGTCTGCTTTCTCTCTGCAAGCCAACGCAGAGAAGTGAGTTAGCTACTCTCACCCACAGAGTGGACAGAGACTAGACCGGGCATTAAGGAGCCCAGGATTTCGGGTCTGACTTTGCTGTTAACTCAAGTGGAGCCTGGCAAGCTGGGCATCAGCCCGGGCTCTCATTCCAGGGACAGGCACTGCTACGGACCCAGGTCCGCCCGGGCTCTCATTCCAGGGACAGGCACTGCGACGGACCCAGGTCCGCCCGGGCTCTCATTCCAGTGACAGGCACTGCAACGGACCCAGGTCCACCCGGGCTCTCATTCCAGTGACAGGCACTGCAACGGACCCACGCTCTCCACACTTTGCAGAGCAGACCCAGTCAGTGAGTTGCAAGCAGAATTTAAGGAAAAACTCATTTTAAAAATATTGAAAATAATTTTAAAATGCAATAGAAAGGATTAGGATAAAGTTGAAACTGTTGATGTGCATCACATGTGAAGTTTTGATTTAGAAAACTTTCGTTTGGGCTGTGGGTGCGTGGTCCTGGATGCTGCTGAAAAATGCTTTTCTTATTGTGAGTTACAGTTTAAAAGGTGAAAATACTATAAGACAAGGTGTGAAGTGCCCGTTCATGTTTCTCACAGAAAACGGCATTTAGAAAGTCGATTACCCCATTGGTTCACAGTCGCTTTACCATATACAGTCAGATCTGCAGGCCAGCCGTGTTCGGTACTGACCGCCAGAACTTTTGTCGACAACACGTCCCTGGTCCCCACTGGCCCCCTCATTGCCCAATTCGAGGCCGGCCTCCCGTCGTGAGTCCTGCAGCCCCCTGTTGCTGACCCCGGGTTGTGACTGCCCGGCACGGTGCTCCCACCCAGACATTGAGAACAGCGAGATCGGTGCCTGATGGCCTCGTTCCTGGCAGGCAGGGCCCCTCTCAGGGCCCCTGTGCTCCTGGCATGAAGATCCTGATATGTTTCTTGCTCCTCAGACACTGGAGGTCCCTAGCCCCTCTTAGAGTCATCTGTAAGCATGTACGGCAGCCAAGGCAGGACTTCTTGTGGTGGGCATGCTCCAGCCGTTGCCCCCTTGGCAGAAGCACAGCTGTGGGGCAGAACCCTGATGTCCCTTTCCTGCGGAGACTGACAGGCGTCTGCAGCCTGGTATGTGCTCCACTTCTTTCCCAAGTGCAAGTTGCCCCCGTAAACCATGTTGTAGCTGCGCCTCAGGTGTTCCTGGTGGGTGAACGGAATCCTCGCGCCTGTGGTTGCAGCATCGGCAGAGCCAACCCCCGTCCCTGGTCTCAGTAAGGCAGAGTCTAAAGGAAAAGAAATGGCTAGCTGGTGGGATTGTCCTTTCTTACAGCTCTGGAACCAACAGCGTCTCAAGATCTTTCTTCAGGTCCACTGCCCTTTCCTGAACAGGACAGGACAGGTCCTTCAGGCACACACAGCCCATGTCGGGGTTTTGAATGTGATTGGGTCCCTTGGAGTTCTTCTCTAACTGGACAGTCTCTTTCTAAACATGCCAAGGTAAAGAAAGTATTGGGAAGACTCAAGCTAAACTCACTTGGTAGATACCAAAACCGACCACAGGCCACGTGAGACGCCCTGGACTCAGATCATATATAACTGGCCCCATGAGGGAGAGTGAAGGCGTCCTGAGAACTGGCCTGGCTGAAGCTGGCAGGACGGCCGGGCGCACAGTCTGACTCTGCAACCCTGGCACCGTGGAGCCCTGGTCGGGTCAGGCTGCACGCCTGCACACCGACGCCGTGAAAACGCAGACCCAGCACACGCTCAGCTCCAGCCAGGCGACCTCCCACTGCAGCCAAGCACAGCAAAGGATGCCAGAGAGTGACGCTTATCCTGGTAATTTTTGTTTATTTGCTTTTTTGTTTTTGAAAATAGGTGACGGGAGAGAAAAACACACACAATGAATGAAATTTTGTGAGAAGTCCCAGAGGGCATTTCCACAGCACCCCGGTCCTGTGGGTAAGAAGCTGCTGCAGTTCTGAGCGTCCTAAAGGCCCCTCCAGCCTGAGGGATGCACGCACACCCATCCCATCTCCACCCCACAGAGGGAGATCGGCCCAGGGCAGGGCACCGGCTCAGGCACTGGGGCGTGGAGAATTCATCGGGCCAGTTCCTCCTGGGGTCTCCCGTGGCTGTGCTCAGAGTGTAGGCTCTGATGATAAAGACTGAAAAAGAGAAAAACGGCTAAAACTTGGCAGAGAGTTGTAAGGGGGAAGGATAAAGTACTGGCTTGACTACTTAAGATCAGGTGCCCTGAGAACACCACGTTCAAGCTGAGAGCATTCCAGCCAGGGCCAGCCCCGGAGGGGAGGCGCTGAATGCTAAAGGAACCCGCGGCCGGTGGTGTGGCTGCAGCTTGCAGGCTGAAGGGCGGGTGGGAGCGCCACAGCAGCTCGCACCAAGAGTGGGGTCTCAGCCCAAGAGAGACAGGAAGCACGGAATGGTTTTAAGCTGGGGAGTCAGATGATAAGATTCACATATTTAAGAGACGGTTCTGGCCGGGTGCAGTGGCTCACGCCTGTAATCCCAACACTTTGAGAGGCCAAGGCAGGCGAATTGCCTGAAGTCAGGAGTTCAAGACCAGCCTGGCCAACATGATGAAACCCCGTCTCTACTAAAAATAAAAAAAAATAAAAATAAAAATTAGCCGGGTGTGGTGGTGGCCGCATGTAATCCCAGCTACTCGGGAGGCTGAGGCAGGAGAATCGCTTGAACCTGGGAGGCGGAGATTACAGTGAGCTGAGATCGTGCCACCGTACTCCAGCCTGGGCAACAAGAACAAAACTCCATCTCAAAAAAAAAAAAAAAAAACAGAGACAGTTCTGATGTGGCAGACAAGTGGCACTTGCACAAGGGTGGAGGCAGGTCAGCCCTAGGCCAACTCTGAGTGAGTGTCAAAGGCTCGGGCTGTGGGACTGGTGGGGAGATGGGGAGCGTTGGGCTTGCTTGGGGTGCAGCTTGAATCTAGAGTTGACTGAATGTGTTGGTGGGTGAAACGTGGTGGAGAAAGAAAGAAAGAACGCTGCCATAGGTGACTTCTAGATTTGGGACGTGAACAGTTAGAATGACGATGGAGCCATTTGCAGAGGCGAGGACGGCTGGGGCAGAGGATTGTTTCAGGGACAGATGGACAGATGGGAAGTAAAGGGTCCTGTTTTGGACAAATTAAGTGAGATGCCTACCAGCCGTCAAGCACAGAGAACACAGGTGACAGCTCTGTGAGCCCAGAGTTCTGGAAGAGGCCCAGCTCCGAGAGCTGTGGTGGTGACCGCAGGGCGTGTGGCCTTGAACCAATGGTCTGTGATATTTAGGAATGGGCACCTCTCGTCCAGCATGGTGTAGACTGTGGTCAGAGGTGTAGACCACAGCCTCCTCTTATTCTGGCTCCAGGCTCAGGACCAACCCACGTATGTGCTTCCACATGTTAGTAGATCAAAGAACGGAGTGCCACGCACAGGCACAGGTATTCCATCATGAAGGAAAATGGCAGCTGTCCCCACTGCTCAGAGGCGGGGGAGGATGGATCAGCTCCGTCTGATCACCCTTGAGTCTCCGTCACCCAACCCTGGAAAAGTCACCCCAGCACAAGCCCCGTGCCCATAGAGGACTCAGGTGCCCACAGGTGAGGCCAAAACGCCGAGGGGCCCTGGAATTAGCGGGCTGGACTACCACAAATGACCTGTTCCCATCCACGGGACCCACATACTCACCCATCCCCACCCACCGCCCAGGGCCAGTCCACAGCCCACCTGCTCCAGGAAGGAAGGGCCCCCTGGAACACCGGCTTTCATCTCCAGGTTCCCTGCGAGGGAAATTGGGAGCTTCCTGGAGCAGAACATCTGTGATGCGCGATCCCAGCGCTTCCTCTGCTTCCTGGAAACACGGTGTTTCCGGAGCTCAAGTGACATTCCAGCTCCTCCAGCCTACAACCCTCTGCTCAAAAGCAAAGGAGAAAGGTGCCTCTGCCGTAAGATTGAAATTGTTTTGGGAAACTCTCTCCAGTCCGTGCCTGGAAACAAACCAATGGATGGTCATCTCAACAGCACAGGGCGCCCTCTGCGGAAAAATTATAGGGTTCAGGCTGTTTAGCCAGTAGCAAAATTGTGTTGAAAATCAAAAATTGCTTTATAATGTACTTAATAGAGTTTTCTGAGAGAATGCATGGGCCTCTGTACTTTGAGATCTTCTGAAAGATCTGGTGGAAGCTTTGTCCCATAAATGAGCCATTTTCTTTCTCATAAATGTGTCAATACAGGGGGAGATGCTTTTGCTTAGTCCAAAGAACAAATACAGTAGTTTCCCTGATCATCTCATGCTAAATATATTATTTTACCCTAATCATAAGGAATAAAACAGAAGGAGTTAGCTGACTGATTAAGGGAATTCAAATTACTTTTGAAATCTGGGAGTGTTCAGGAGAAAGAGTTGGGGCTCGTACAAGTGAGAGATTAGAGAAATTCTGAAAGAATTATCTCTCTCTTTCTATAAATAAAAATTAAGTTTATTTTCAAAAAATTCAACACAGAGGTTGGTGTTATTTGGTGTGGGGTGATTTAATCAAAGGGTGCATGTTCAGGGTGCTGGTAACTGGAGACTTTTGCAATCCCCGCCTTGCCAGCCCATGTTGGGGGGACCCTCAGGAATTAGGGTGCCCCACAGCCATGTGCCCGCAATCTGAGCTACCTGTCAGGAAGCAAGAGGTACTTAATAGAGGAGGATATGCCCCGCACCCACACCAGGCCCTGGGGACAGCCGCCCTAATTGCTACAGATGACCCGCAAGTTCCTAAAGGGCTGATTTTGTAGACTCACGTAAGCTCTGGGTAGACCCGGCTGATTTTCCCAAGCCTCTCAGCCAATCGGCTGCCTCATCAAGTGTACAATGTAGATTTGGATGAATTTTCTGACATTTTCCCTGCGAGTTACATGAACAATACAGGCATTCCCATTCATGATGTATGTAAATGGCCCATCCTCATCTCCCAAATGTCACTGTGGTGGCCAAATCAAAAAATCAAAACTGGTTCTTTCTCACCAGGTCCCACCACGTGTGTGTTGCCTGGTGGATTTTTGGGGAGAGGACTCAGGAAGGAGAGACCTAGACAGACACATTGACACAGCTCCCGGGCCTGGGGTGGGTGAGAAACCAAACCCCACCACACCCAGCACCCAAAGCCCAAATCCACCCACACTTTGAGGCAGGTGTGGGGAGAAGGCCTGCCTGCAGCCCCTCTTGCCCCCAGCCTCACCACGGGGACCCCAAGCTGGGCTCTGGAAAGAAATTTGGTTTTCAGACAAAGTGGCTCCCAGAGAGTCGGGTGGGATGACAATGATAAGAGCCACGTCCTGAGATTTCCTGGTTAAGCTGCTAATTTCCCAGGATAAAGGAAAAAAAAAAAAGCATAAAACTGAAATAAAAAGAAGAAAATTTTATAAATTTAATAATTATCTACAAAAGAAAGATATTTGGTCTGGTATTTAATTCTCAACTGCAACACTAAATGAAACATAGTAATAAAGCCAACTTTACAGAGTTTTAAGGTTAAATTATTATGAATTATATGAATATTTAATTATTGTTCAACTGTAAGGGCAAATAAAAGGAGTATTTGGAAGTGCAAGGACTCAGAAAAAATAAACTTTTCTGAAAGAATTACTCAAGAAGACACTCCATACAACTGAAAAATGAGTTAGAATAAAGAACTTAACATAAAATATAGAAAAAGTGATATTAAATAAACAGTAAAACTTATAATCAAGTCTAAATAGCTTAATGATACAGTTGTAAAGCTTAATGCAGTGGTTAAGCCCATTGTTTTGAAAACTGTTCTTTTATTGTTTTTTCTTTTGAGACCGAGTCTCGCTCTATTGCCCAGGCTGGAGTGCAGTGGCACAATCTCAGCTCACTGCAACCTCCGCCTCTTGGATTCAAGTGATTCTCCTGCCTCAGCCTCCTGAGTAGCTGGGATTATAGGTGTGTACCATCACGCCCAGCTAATTTTTGTATTTTTAGTAGAGAGGGGCTTTAACCATATTGGCCAAGCTGGTCTTGAACTCCTGATCTCAGGTGATCTGGCTGCCTTGGTCTCCCAAAGTGCTGGGATTACAGGCATAAGCCACTGTACCCGGCCCTGAAAACTGTTATTTAATATAATTTGTGTGATTTTTTTTAGTTGGTTCAGGCTAAATTCAGTCCCTGCTACTCCGTCTTAACCAGAAGTAGAGTTCAACTATGTCTTCTTATAGATTAAATTCTCTAAATGTTGCTGGTAGGCAGAAATGCAATTAAAAAAAATACTGGTACATATTACTCAATATTTAAGCATGTCTTATGTATCCTAAATGTTTTAAAGTATTTGTGGGTGTACTCTTTATATAATCTAGTCATCTAAATAATGACAGCTTTGTATGTTTTCTTTTTAATACTCATACCTTTCACATTTACTTGTCTTTTGTGCTAATTTAATGTTGAACAGATGTAGTGGTAGTTAGTATTCTTCACTTGGATATGTCTTACTATTGACAGTGAAATTTGTTGTGATTTTTTTTGGTAACTTTGGTTTTTATGGTTTTCTGCTGTTGTTACTTAGAGATTTGTCGACTTTAAAAATTTCCTTCCATTCTTATTTTAAGATTTTTATCAAGGATACATACTGAATTTTATCAAACACATTTCTTTCTTTTGAGCAGATCATACAGCTCTTCTCCACTGATCTGTAAAGATGGCAAATGACATGAAGAGATTTTCTACTGTTGCACCAGCTTCAAATCAGCCCACCTGGGACGGGCTCTCCAACATATTTGATGGACTGCTAGGTTCCGTTGGCTGAGCCATGCACTCACATACGTGAGTGAAGCCAGCCTGTGCTTTTCATAAGGAGTTATACACTCTCACAGGTACCAAAGTGTTTGTTGAATCTACGAACATTTTGAAGTAAAATCACAACCAAATTTGTGGTTTCCCTTTTCCTCAACACATGATGATCCTGCCATCTTTTGCTTTCTAGCCACAGTAAGAACATTTTTCACTTAGAAATGGGACAGATGAAGAAGGAATGAAGAGAGCACGGTTATGATGGAGGCGAGTGGTAAGGAAGAAGGTGAGGCAGGTGCTCCTGGAGGGAAGAGAAGGTGCTCCACAGAGCTCATCCCTCTGCAGGGCGAGAGGCAGGTGAAAAGGATGGGCACCCAGGACACGCAGGTGGAATAAGCAGGAGAAGGCAGAATTTGGTTTGTCCTCCTCTGGGCATGAAACCTCATTTGCAATGAGTCAAGTGAGGTTCAAATCCCTTTCTAGAGTTTTCCACAAAAAACCCAAACTCCATGTGATAAAAATCATGCATATTTTCCATTCCGGTTGACTCAAGCATAATAATACACCGACAACTATAAATGCCACTCTGTGAGGCTCAGATTTCAGCCGCCAGCCTCATCCTCACCTTCTCACTGGGTGTCTGGGGAATCGCCTCTTTTCTGGTCTGTCCAGATTCCTTATCTCACCCCGTGCAGATCCTCTTGATCCTCCTGTGCTCCACACTAATCTTGTCTTAAGCTGGTCTGTGCAGGGATATTGCTTCCCTGTGTCAGGGACCTTGTTGCTATCTGCATAAAATTCTTGGCCTCTCCATCTGCAATTACTCAAAGTTCACATTAAGTACCACGTCTCTATCAATTACTAAAGAGGCTTTGCTCGCCTCTAATAAATTCTGCAGCACAGAACGTGCTTCTACTGCATTTGTGTGGTTCCGTAGCTTTCTCTTTCTTTTTGAGTCCTCTCTAATTTCTGGTCAAAGGTCTACATGTGATGATAATAATAATCACAATAATCACGATAACACTAAAAAGAAGTTAGCATTCATCCAATCTCATTATGTGCTGGACACTGCACTGGAACCTTATATACATCGTCTCTAATTTTCACAACCTAATGAGACCTAATTTTACAGATAAGAAAACTAAGCTCCCGGCACTGGCTGGCGGCAGGAGGGACGTAGGCGAAAGGCTTACCCCCAGGGCTCTCCCACACAATCCTACCCGTCCTCTGTGCCTGCAGCAGTGCAGGGACCTCGGTTCTGGGCCATTTCACACCCGCTATCTCTCTGAGGTGGAGGAAAGGAGGTGGGAGAGAATTGCTGCAGGAAGAGGCGGCCACCACCCGCCACAGGGACTCGTGACACTGCAGAGGAGCAAAGGCTCCAGAGCGCAGCTCCCAGCACTGAGCCCTCACTGCTGGTGCACAGGGTGGTCTGGGCTCCCCTAGGAGCCACGGGAAGCACGAGCTCGTGGAGTCTGCATCATCCGAGGGCCGGAGCAGCTCTTACTTCATCTCCTTCGTATCTGCACGTCTAAGCCCACTTGAAAATAGTGTCGGCAGGTGGGATGGTGGAGCAGATGCGGGTTCTTGGAAGCAGATCCAAGACAGATGTGTGTGCAGGTGGTGTAGTGGGGAGTGCTGTCAGGAGTAACACCTGGAAGGATTCAGGGAAGCAGCATTGAAAGAGAGGAAGGTAAGCCAGGGTGCAAAGGCAAGAGGCTTCGGCAACCCCATGTGGAATCCCATGCCAGGACGGCCCTGTAGGCACATCCTGAATTGAGGGTTGAGAGCCGAGCCTGTGTGTCCTCCGAGCCGCTCCTGGGAAGGGCCACTTAGGTGAAGCAGCACCTGTCAACCAAAGGCACCTCCGGGGGAGGTCTTGGCTGGGAGCTCTCAGCAAGCAGCACCCCAGATTCTTCCCCCATGGGGCCAAAGGTTGCAACCACTGGCTCAGAGGGCAGAACTGTGATTCGCCGTACGCCCCAGGTACTTGTAAGTTTGGTGTTTATAGCTTCAAATCTTTAAAAATATAGTTTTAATAGCAAGTGATGAAAAATGCACGTTACATTTAAAACAGCAAAATATAAAATAAAGATTTTTTTCTGGCAAGGAAGTCCAGGGAGTCATCAATGCAGATCCCTCCACTGCAGAGCACTCTGGCTCCCCACCCAGCCCCCAGGTGCAGAGAGTCATCCATTCAGGCCTCCACTGCAGAGCACCCTGGCTCCCCACCCAGCCCCCAGGTGCAGAGAGTCATCCATTCAGGCCTCCACTGCAGAGCATCCTGGCTCCCCACCCAGCCCCCTACAAAGCAGGCCAGCACCTGCCAATTAGTGGTGTGCCTGCCCCTCATGAGCCAGGGACCACGGTGGCAATCACACCCAGCTGAGATCAAGGATTAGCAAATCAGCATGGCCCCAGACTGCAGACACTACTGAAGCACTGCAGGCACAAGCTCAGTAGCTGTGCTGTTTTCCTAGGTAAGTAGAGAGTGCAGACTCTCACTGCTGTTCACCCTTGCTCATCCATCAATATGGGCGATTAAGATGAGCGCTGATTCACCATGCCACCCCTATCAAACACCAGCAAATCAACACTCACATATCACCTCTCTTAGGATCTTCATGACTGCCTCCTCTTCTCTTAGAATACACTGTATTTCCTTACTGTTCTCCCAGAAGACTGGATTTTTTTAAAGTCAATCCAAACCCTGCCCTAAATGGGCACCTGCTTGGAAACAGCCCTGAGGAGGCACTGACTTGACCCCATCATCATCCCTGGAGCTGATTCTGCAGCTGCTGCCCTGGTTCCCAGTGCTCTGCATTGGAAACGCATTGTCGATGCTTTAACCAGCACTCACAGAGTGCAGGCAAGAGGCTTCCTTCCTTGCCTGGCACCTGTCCTGTCTGCTCTCAGTCTTACCTGAAGAAAAGTCACTTCCTTCACCCCGATTGACTGGCATAGCAGAAGCTGAGACCTTTACTGCAAGAACAGCATCCTCGGCTCCCAGTGGACCTTCCATGACCTGAGGGCCACCCGGGAAACAAGTGACCCCATGAGGACAAGATCACAGGCCTGAGGGCCACCTGAGAAACAAGTGACCCTATGAGGACAGAGCACAGAGGTCAGCACAGATGAAAACAGCCTGTATTTACCTGTCTTGAAATGCCCAGAAAGCCAAGCTGAAGAGCCGTGGAGAGTCCAAGCTGCCCTGGCCCCTGCAGCCGGGACTGGGGATTCCTGTCTTGCGCTGGTGCAATCATGCATTCGTAGCTTGGGGAGGCTGAGCTTCAAGCCTTCTCTGATTCTGCTTCACCTGGGCGGGAGAACGTGGGTTCACTTTTTTCTAAGTTTGCCCCGTATTTGATTTCTAATGGACTCAAAGGGAAATGTGTAGCCTTTGGGTAGCTCTCCTTGTCTCCTGGGCCATCAACTTAATCAATATCTATCTATTGGACACTCTGTGTGCAAGACACTAAAACCGGGTGAGAAGAAACAGATGAGGAAAAATGAGCCACTAACACTTGGTCAAAACTCTGGTTCTTCAGAGCCCTAGACTTCCACATCTCCCTGTGAGATGCAAGGATTGGGTAGGGCTGAAGGACACAGCTGCAAACAGAAGTGAATGAGTGATCAAAAGGTGGTCTGGGAGGACCCAGGGAGCTGTGAGCACCTTAGCTGCCCAGCTCCCTTTGTGACAACCCCTGAAATGAAGACAGAATCATCCCAGCACTTATTACCAATGCTGTCCTGGGGCCCCAGGGAGGGCTCAGAACTTTGATACAGTCCTTTCTTCATGTTGTTTGTATCAATAACCACATCACAATAGTAAATAAATGACCTGGACAGAAAGGTAGAACAAGAGGATTAGAGTTTTCAAGTGGAACTGGTATCATTATCCAACGTTTAGAACAAATTAATTCAAAATTCAGTAGCTTAGACAAGAAACACCTATTACCTCACCTGGCTTCTGTGGGCCAAGAGTCCAGAGAGGCCTAGATGGGTAGTTCCAGCTTGGTGTCCTTCAGTCACAATGTCAGCAGGCTGCATCATCTGAAAGCTTGACTGTGGCAGGAGGACCAGACCCCCATGACCCCTTCCACCTCCAGTGCTTGCCATGTTGACCTCTCCGTGGGCTCCCTGGGCATCTTCGTGACAAGGTGAAAGTCTCGGTGCCTTTTAGGGCCTGGATTTGGAAGTAACACACCATCACTTCTGCTGTGTCTTATCAGTGCTGAAGAGAACTGTCAGGGAAGATTGCTGGGGCCATCCTGAAAGCCATCACAGTCTGGCCTCAGGCCCCAGTGATTCGCGTTCTTCCTACTCACGGAATACATGTGTCCCCTTCCACAGCCCAGTAAGCCTCATCCCTTCGCAGCTCAGCCCAAAGCCCAGAATTTCAGCACCTAGGTTAGGTCCGGCTGTGGGAGATGGGCCTGGTTTTGCTCTTTAATAAAGAGACAAGTTATCTGCTCAGCTTTAAACTCCCCAGCCACATCCAATATACAGTGGTGAGGTAAGCATAGGATGGCTCCTTAAGACATTCCTATTCTACAACCGATTTTGAGTTAATTTTTGTATGAGGTATGTAGGTCAGGGTTCTTGTCTCTTTTTTTCATGTTTGTTCAATTGTTTGAGCCTACAGTTTGACATAACTATTCTTTTCTGTACTGAATTGCCTTTATGACTTTGTTTAAAAAAAAAAAGCTGATCCTACTGTGTGAATCAATTGATCTATGTGTCTGATCTTTCACAGAACCATACTGTCTTGATTATTGTAGTATTATAATAAATATTAAAACCAGGTTGTGTAAGCCTTCAACTTTATTCTTTTTCAAAATTGTTTTGGATACTCTCATTCCTCTACCTTTCATGTAAGTCTTAGAACCAACTTGTCAATATCTACAACATCTATCTCTATCTATCCATCTCTATCTCTCTATCCTTTATGTGTGTTCTCTCTATTAGTCGTCTGTCTCAACTTGGGCAGAACTGTTATTTTAGTAATATTGAAGCTTCCAATTCAGGAATACAATATATCTTTCCATTCTTTTAAGTTATCATTGGTTTCATTCATTAGCATTTTGTACTTTTAAGCACACATGTCCTCCACATTTTTTGCTGTACGTACATCTAAATATTTCTCTCTTTTTTGGTGCAATTGAAATAGTACTTTTAAAAAATCTCAATTCCAATTGTTCATTCAGAAATACAATTGATTTTTTCATATTAAATATGTATCCTGTGAACTTGCCAAACTCACTTATTAGTTATAGGAGCCACTAAGGTGCCTTTGGAGATATTCTGCATAGAAAATAATGTAAGTCGCAAGTGTTTCTTTCCAACCTATATGCCTTTTGTTTTTTGGGTTTTTTGTTTGTTTGTGGGATTTGTGTATGGTTTTTTGTTTGTTTGTTTGTTTTTTGCCTGATTGCACTGAGACTTTCTGCACCATGTGGACTGGGAGCAGTGAAACCTGACATTCTTGTCTTGCTTCCCACCTTAGGAAGAAAGCTCTATCTTCCACCACCAAGTGTGGGGTCCAATGCAGTTTCCTGTAGCTGCCCTTTATTGAGATAAGAGACTTTTCTAAGGTTTTTGAGCATCTTTATTATAAATGGACATTGAGACTTGTCACATGCTTTTTCTACATTAATTTTTAATGTTGAGATAGACTTGCATTTCTGGGATAAACCCCACTAAGTCATGGTGTATTATCATTTTTACATATTGCTAGAGTTGATTTGCTAATGCTTTGTTGAGAACTTTTGCAACTATGTTCATGAGGGATATTTGTAAGAATCTCTTTTTTTAGAATATCTTTGTGTAGTTTTTGTATAAAGGTAATATTTATTGAGCAGTGTTTTCTCTTCTTCTATTTTCTGGAAGAGATTTTGCAGAATTGGTATTATTTCTTTCTTAAATGCTGGTGGAATTCACCAGTAAAACAATCAAGGCCTGAAGTTTGCTAATTAGGAAGGTTGTAATTAAAAATTCAACTTCTTTAGTAGATATAGGACTATTCATGTTGCCTGTTTTTCTTGAATGGGCGTTAGTAATTTATGATTATCAAGAAATTAGTCCATTTTATCTGAACTGTCAACCCTACAGGCAGATAGTCATTTGTGGTGTTCCTTTATTACCCTTTTCATGTCTGTAGGGTCTACAGTGATGCCCACTCTTTTATTTCTAACATTGGAAAATTGTGTCTTCTTTCTTTTTCTCATGGTTATTCTCACTAGAGTTTTATCAGTTTTATTATCTTGTTAGAGAAACAGCCTTTGGATTCATTGATTTTCTCTTCTGCTTTTCTGTTTTTAATTTGACTGCTTTAGTCTCTTACCTTTATTATTATATTCCTTTTACTTACTTTGGGTTTAATTTACTCTTCCTTAACTAGTTTCTATAGGGGAAAATGTGATTATTGATTTAGGAGTTTTGTTATATTCTAATAAAACATTCCATGTTCTAGATTTCTAACACAACATTTTATGTCACAAATTTCCTTCTAAGCTCTGTTTTAGCTGCATCCTACAAAGTTTAATATGATGAATTTTTATTTTCATTCAGTTCACAATATTTTCACTAATTTCACTTGAGAATTACTAGTGATCCATAAGTTATTTCAGAAGTGTGCTGTTTAATTTTCAAGTATTTGTGTATCATTCCAATAATATTCCATTATTGACTTCTATTTTATTTGTTATGTACCAAGAACATGCTTTGAATGATTTCTTTTTTAAGTTTAGGCTTTACTTTATGCTCCAGAACATGGCCTATCTTTCAGAATGTTCCATGTGCACTTGAAAAACCAATGTGTATTTTGCTCTTTTGGGGTGGAAAGTTCTATATATGACAATTAGATCAAGTTTTTTGTGTTGTTTGCATCTTCTATATCCTTCATTTTATGAAGCCAGCATCATCCTGATACCAAAACCAGGAAGAGACACAACAAAAAAAGAAAACTTCAAGCCAATATCCCTGATGAACATAGATATGAAAATAATTCTCAATAAAATACTGGCAACCCAAATCCACCAGCACATCAAAAAACTTGTCCATCATGATCAAATTGGCTTCATCCCTGGGATGCAAGGCAGGTTCAACATACACAAACCAATAAACGTAATCAGTCACATAAACAGAACCAAAGATAAAAACCACATGATTATCTCAATAGATGCAGAAAAGGACTTTGATAAAATTCAACATCCCTTCATGTTAAAAACCTCAATAAACTAGGTATTGATGGAACATATCTCAAAATAATAAGAGCTATTTATAACAAATCCACAGCCAATATCATAATGAATGGGCAAAAGCTGGAAACATTCCCTTTGAAAACCAGTACAAGACAAGGATGCCCTCTTTCTCCACTCCTATTCAAAATAGTATTGGAAGTTCTGGCCAGGGCAATCAGGCAAGAGAAAGAAATAAAGCATATTCAAATAGGAAGAGAGGAAGTCAAATTGTCTCTGTCTGCAAACAACATGATTTTATATTTAGTAAAACCCCATCATCTTAGCCCAAAAACTCCTTAAACCGATAAGCAACTTCAGCAAAGTATCAGGATACAAAATCAATGTGCAAAAATCACAAGCATTCCTTTACACCAACAATAGACAAGCAGAGAGCCAAATCATGAATGAATGCCCATTCACAATCACTACAAAGAGAATAAAATACCTAGGAATACAGCTAACAAGGGACGTGAAAGACCCCTTCAAGAAGAACTACAAACCACTGCTCAAGGAAATAAGAGAGGACACAAACAAATGGAAAAATATTACATCCTCATGAATAGAAAGAATCAATATCATGAAAATGACCATACTGCCCAAAGTAATTTATAGATTCAATGCTATTCCCATCAAACTACCATTGACATTCTTCACAGAATTAGAAAAAAAAAAAACTATTTTAAATTCCATAGGAATCAAAGAAGACCCCGTATAGCCAAGACAATCTTAAGCAAAAAGAACAAAGCTGGAGGCATCACGCTACCTGATTTCAAACTATACAAGGCTACAGTAACCAAAACGGCATGGTACTGCTACCAAAACAGATATGTAGACCAATGGAGCAGAACAGAGACCTCAGAAAATACACCACACATCTACAACCATCTGATCTTCGACAAACCTGACAAAAACAAGCAATGGGGAAAGGATCTCCTATTCAGCAAATGGTGCTGGGAAAACTGGCTAGCCAT
This sequence comes from Homo sapiens, assembly GCF_000001405.40. Taxonomy (NCBI): domain Eukaryota; kingdom Metazoa; phylum Chordata; class Mammalia; order Primates; family Hominidae; genus Homo; species Homo sapiens. Next base: position 112,267,213 of record NC_000013.11, read on the forward strand.
ATGCAGACTACTGAAACTGGATCCCTTCCTTACACTTTATACAAATATTAACTCAAGATGGATTAAAGACTTAAATGTAAAACCCAAAACCATGAAAACCCTAGAAGAAAACCTAGGTAATACCATTCAGGACATAGCATGGGCAAAGACTTCATAACAAAAAAGCCAAAAGCAATGGCAACAAAAGCCAAAATTGACAAATGGAATCTGATTAAAATAAAGAGCTTCTGCACAGCAAAAGAAACTATTATCAGAGTGAACAGGCAACCTACAGAATGGGAGAAAATGTTTGCAATCTACCCATCTGAAAAAGGCCTAATATCTAGAATTTACAAGCAACTCCTTGCTGATTTTCACTTGAATCATCCTATCAATTACAGAGACAGATATAATGACATTTTCAAATATAATTGTGAATTTGTCTATTTCTGTATTCAGTTGTATTTCTTTCACTTTATATATTTCGGAGCCCTCCTAGTTATTGACCCTGTTACCTTTATGCAATACCCCTCTTTATTTCTGGTAATTTTCCATGTTCTAAAGTCTACATTGTCTGATATTAATACAAGCAATCAAATTTCTTTTCAATAGTGTTTGCATTGTACATCTACTTTTATTCTTCTACTTTTAACCTATGTCAGCATATTTAAAGTTGTTTTCTTATAAACAACATACAGCTGAGTCTTTGTTTTTAGCCCAATCTGACATACTCCATTATTTAATAGGCGAGTTAAGACCATTTATATTTCATGTAATCATTGATTTGTTTGTATTTAGGTCTACTATATTAAGATTTGTTTTTTATTCGTTCCCTCAGTTTTGATATCTCTGTTCCTATTTTCTTGCTTTCTTCTTAATTATTTGGATTGCTTTAGTATTGTATTTTTCTGTTATCTTTTTTGTTATGGCTTCTTGTTTGTCTTTTGTTTGTTTGTTTTTCTTTGTTTTTTTAGTAATCGCTCTTGTGATTACTTACTCTTGTGATTATAGACAAATATCCCTCATAAACATAGTTGCAAAAGAAGTCCTCAACAAAGCATTAGCAAATCAACTCTAGCAATATGTAAAAATGATAATACACCATGACTTAACATTTACCTAAAATTTTAGTCTAATTATATTTAATATTTTACCACTTTATTCAAAATATGGAAGGTTTACAAACATGTAGCTCTGCTTGTTCTCCCCTTTTATTTTATAGCTTCATAAATATTATCTATCATTATTGAATACCACCTAGTAAATGTTATAATTTTTGCTTTCAGAGTGATGTTTAAGAGGGAAACAAGAATAGCTTGATATATTTACTCATATGTTTGCCTTCTCTCACTCTTCTTACTTTTTGAAGTTCCAGGATTCCTTTTGATATCATTTCTCTTCAGCGTCAATAATTTCATTTAGTATTTTCTCAAGAGCAGTTCTGCTTATGAGTTCTTTTTGTTTTCATTTATCTGAGAATGTCCTTATTTTGCTACCATTCTTCTGCATATTTTCACTGGTATAGAATTTTTGGTTGGCCATCATCTTTCAGCATTTTAAGGATATTGTTCCACTGTCTTCCAGGTTCCATGGTTTCTGATAAGAAATTTAAGTTGTTCAAATTATTATTTCCTGCATGTAATGCAGTGCTTTTCTTTGCCTGCTTTCATGATGTTTATTTATCTTTTATTTTTAGTACTTCGACTATAATGTGCTTTGGTGTGATTTCCTTTGAGTTTATTCTGTATGGGGCTCTCTGATCTTCTTCAATCTGTACATCTGTCTTTCAGTTCAGCATGTCTGGCCATACTTTCTTCAAATTCCACACCAATCTCTTTCTTCTGTCTCTTTAGGACTCTACTGTCGTAAATGTTAAGCTTTTGATATTTCCTCACAGGTCTATTTATTTTCTATTCAATCCTTTTTTCTCTGTTTTTTTAGATTGAATAATTTCTATGATTTAATCTTCAAGTTCACAGACTGTAAGTTCCATGACCTCCATTGTGCTATTGAGCCCCTCCAGTGATTTTTTTTTAATTTCAGAGATTGTATTTTTCAGTTCTAACATTTCCATTTGGTTGTATTTTATAGTTCTATTTCTCTGATGAGGCTTTTCTGTCATATCAAGAATGTTTGCCTTTACCTCAGGATACATGATTAAAGTAGGTTCTTTCAGTTCTTTCCCTGATAATCTCAACATCTTCCTCATTCTGGTTTGAAAACTATCAACACTACATTTCCTTCAGAATTGAGAGGTCCTATGGGGAGATAACTTACTACAAATCCAAATTTATAATTGACATAGAGATATGTAAGTATTCAATTTACCAATTTCACTTTTGGTAATTTGTGTCTTTGAAAAATGTGATTCATTTCATCTAGATTACAAAATTTATTGGCATAGAGTTACTCATAATATTCGCTTTTTGCCTTTTAACTGTCTGATCTATAGAGATGTTTTTTCTTTTGTTCCTGTTATTGGTAATTTGAGTTTCTTCTGTTTTCACCCCCTCCATTGACTAGTCTAACTGAAGGTTCATAAATTCTTAAAGAACCAGTTTTTGTTTCACTGATATTTATTTATTTTAGTTTTGATTTTAATAATTTCTACCCCTCTTTTTATTATTTTTTTTCTTCTTACTTTTGGTTTAATTTTCTTTTACTAATATCTTAAGTTGGTAACTCAGATTACTGGATGTAGACTATTTTTCTAAAATGTGAATTTAAATCTACAAATTTCCCTCGTTACTATGTTAGCTGCATCCCATAACTATTGAAATGTATTTTTATTATTTAGCTAAAAATATTTTCTGATTTTCTTTTTAATTTTACTCATGGATTATTTACAAATGTGTTGTTTAATTTCCAAATATCTGGGGGCGTCCCAGTTATATTTATGGTGAAGCTCTTTAACTTAACTTTATTGTAGTCGAGAGCATACTCTATGTGACATCAATCTTCTTAAATCTGATGAGACTTGTTTTAGGCTACAGAATCTGGCACCTGCTGGAGTAGCACACACAGGTGAAAAGAATTTGTATTCTGCTGCCATAAGGTATAGTGCTCTACAAATATCAGTAAACTCAAGGTCAATAGTGGGGTTTTTTTGGTTGTTTTGTTTTGTTTTGAGATAGAGTTTCGCTCTTGTTGCCCAGGCTGGAGTGCAATGGCATGATCTCGGCTCACTGCAACCTCCGCCTCCCAGGTTCAAATGATTCTCCCGCCTCAGGCACCCAAGTAGCTGGGATTACAGGCATGCACCACCACACCCGGTTAGTTTTTGTATTTTTAGTAGGGACAGGGTTTCGCCATGTTGGCCAGGCTGGTCTCAAACTCCTTACCTCAGGTGATCCACCTGCCTTGGCCTCCCAAAGTGCTGGGATTACAGGCATGAGCCACCACACCTGGCCAATAGTGTTTTTTAGTTATTCTTTTTTTCTGATCTTTTGTCTAGTTCTTCTATAAATTGCTGATATGGGGTTTAAAGTATCCAACTCTGATTGTGGAATTTTCTATTTCTCCTATATTTCTATCCATTTTTCTTCATGTATTTAGAAGCTCCATTATTAGATACTACACATTTATAATTATTGTGTTTTCTGACTAAATGAGCCTTTTGTTATAAAGTGCTCTTTATCTCTGGTAATGTTTTTGTCTTAATATCTATTTTCTGATAGAAAGATACCCACTTGAGGCTGTTATGCTTTATGCTTGTGTGGTATATCTTTTCTTGAATCTATTCACATCAACCCATCTGTGACTTTATATTTAAAGTCAGATTTCCTGTAAAAAGCATGGAGTTGGGTGTTGCATTTGTATTCACTGGAGAATCTCTTCTCTTCATTGCAATGTTTAACATGATGTGAGTTAAACACTGATGTAACATTTGGTGTAATATGGTTATGTTTGACTCTACCGTTTGAGAACAGTAGTTGCCTCTTATTGGAAGTGTTCATTTCTGTAGTTTCAGTTCCCTGCAGTCGACCATGATCTGAAAATAGGTGCATACAGTACAATAAGATATTTTGAGAGAGAGAAATCACACACACATCACTTTTATTATTGTATATTGTTATATTAGTTACTGTTGCTAATTTCTTACTGTTCCCAACTTATAAATTAAGCTTCATTATAGGTGTGTGTGTATACAGAAAAAATATCATATATCTAGGGCTTGGTACTATCCACTGGGGGTCTTGGAACGTCTTCGCCACAGGTAAGGGGAACCACTGCATTTGTTTCCTATTCATTCTTTCTGGGTTTTGTTGTTGTTATTCCTTTCTTACGTGCTTTCTTTGGGTTGTTTAAACTCTTCTCATGGGAACTTCAGCGAGGCTTTAAGTCATCTGGATAGCCCAGAAAATAAAATAATCTTGGATTGCTAACTCCATTTGGTGCCTGGAAAAAGGAAGAGAAAATTATCTCTGGAGGAAGATAACATTATATAAGGCCTCAAAGTATTTCTGCAAATACATATATGGCATACACACACACAGATATATATATATATATATATATATGAAAAATATATGCTAATCAACATCAGATAACAGCAGTGAAAATAATATTCATGACACGAGCAGAATGGGCACCTCATCCCCCACCTTCCTTCTCGCTTAACTGGATTTCAAAGTCAGAGCCTCCTCAGGACCCCAGATTAGTGTCACCTAAACCACCTCAGGTACATCAGCTGCAAGAAGACTTGGAGGACAGAGTTTAGGTTTCACGTCCCTGAGCTTCTGAACGGTTCCTGAAAAGGAGTTGGTGTGGACACAGCACAGCCTCCTGTTGCCCCCAGCACATCCCTCGTCTCCTAGCAGATGAGGCCTCCAGATAACCCCACTCCGCTCCCTGTAATGATGGAATGGTCCAGGGTGTATACTTTAAAACACACCTGGACCAGATCAACACTTCCTCATAGCAGGAAAATAAGGACGCGAATGCAATCCTGTGACCAGAAAGAGTGCACTCTATCTGGGAAAGACGCTAAGTTTAAAAAAGCTCCAGTTTACACAAAAGATCTGATTGTTATGATAAGCATATGATGAAAAGTGGCTCACCCTAATGGAAAGTGGCTCAGTTTGAATTAACTCGTACAGCCAGGTCCCATGTCCCGATGGAGAGTTCGCTGCAGATGGAAGCTAGAAGTCAACATTTTCCATGCACGGAAGTCTCTTGGGCACCAAAGGTCTAGAACCCCTCCCCGCTGCTTCTAGTGCCCACAGGGCTCCCTACCATCATTGTGAAATCAGGAAGTTGATTGTGAGTGTGCCTGCAGGTCCTTTCTTGTCCGGTGCAGGGATACTTTTTCTCGTGATGACAGAGAGCAAGCGCCTGCAGCTGCGTGTCCACCACACGCCTGGCCTGTCTCAGAGGCGTGGGCTGCAGGCACTTCACAGGCATTGCTTGTGTCATGGCAGCAACTTCAGATCAGGCTTTTGAACAGGAGTCTGTCATTCTGGTGGGCCATGGAGTGAGTCAGTAGCTGTTACTCATTAAACAAAAGGAATCTTCTGTGAGCTGACGGCTTCTTCAGAGTCGGATGGAGGGGCTGCTGTGGAGATCAGGCGCATCCTGACAGGCTGGTTCTGGTAGGCACGAAAGGTTCAGAAGAAAGAATTTCAAAAGATAAAAATGCCCCCAGCAGAAACAATGAATAGCAAGCACACGCGTGCCACCCCACACGCGGAAGTCACACAAAGCTGATCGGGTTTCGTGTGCTCCTCGTGTTCCACGGAGCACCTCATCTGGAGTGGGCAGGTGGCTCCCTCGGGTCTCTCTCCTTCTGATGATAAACCCCCCAGAGCGGGGGTACAGCTCTTTACCGCTTCCTTTGCAAGTCTACGTGGCATTTACGAGTCAACCCAGTCATAAAGCAAGTAAGTCTCCAACCTCCGGTGTCTAGTCACAGTTAACCGTTTCAGCCTCTCTAGGCTGTGGCCATAGCCATGGGCTCACTGATGGTGGTTAATATTAACAACCCGTATTTCCATAGAGGTTTGCGGTAGGTAAAGTTTCATCCTCATCTCCATGGTAGGTTATTATTGTCAATACAGGGAAACAGGCCCTGAGAGATTCAGTCAACTGCCCAAGTCAGTGGTCTGAATGAGTGGTAACTGGTTTCTGTCTCTCTCAGTTCAGAGCTCTCAGCGGTGCCCCACCGGGTCCCCTCTGTCCTGAGCAGAGGCCACACATCCCACGTCTGTGGCCGTGTCATTCTTGGGGTGGAAATTTTGGAACTTGTAACACTACATGGTCACTTGGCTATATTTACTGAAATTGATTGTTGTTAAGTCTACTTCAGTCCAGATCATAACTCAGATATATCAGAGGTATCATTCAGATATTATCCAAATTATAATAATTATACCAAATTATAATTTTAATAAAGTGGTAAAATCTTTACTAATAAAACATAAAGTCCAGTGCAGGAGACATTGCTGTGTCATGGTCCCTAAATATCAGAAATTTGGATTTTTTTTTAAAGTCCTATTTTTATACAAAAATTACCCAGACGTGGTGGCAGGCAACTGTAATCCCAGCTACACCCTGGAGGCGGAGGTTACAGTGAGCTGAGATCACACCATTGCACTCCAGCCTGGGCAACAAGAGCAAAACCTCGAAAAAAAAATCCTATTTTTACTTAAGAGTGCATGTGTTTTATATGTGTGTATGTATTCATCTTGTTCTCGATGAGAAAACATATTGGAACTTATATCAGTTCATGTTTTCCCTGCTGAAATATAGTTGAAGTTAGTTTATTCTCTACTGAAAAGGAAAATAATGCTTAACATAAAAGCATAGATCAATTTAAGTATCAGTGCATCACAACCAAGACCACACTGAAAGAAAATATCTGAATACACATATTTTTTATTATTAAGGTATTTTATGTTTATTTAATACATTTTCAAATGATTAAAGTATACGAAGTAGAAAACTCATATGCTTTAATGACTTAGTCAAGTTCCCCACATACATCCTTCGCTGGCTGCCTGGGGTCAAACCCTTCCTCTACAAATTGTGATCTTTGTGACCTCTGGCAAGTTACGGAACTTCTGTGCCCCTCCTGTACAATGGGGAGAAAAATGGAATCTGGCTGTTGCCAGGAGATGAGGATGGAAGCATCTCTTTTGCCCCATACACAGATTATCTCCTCATCCCACCTCGAATTCCGCCTGCAGAGCTGAGACGATGGCCATGAATGCTGCCACAATCCCACCTCACGTGTGCACCTCGTAGTCACTACTTTTCCTCCAGACATTTTCTCAAGCCAGAAGAATGAGCACAGCCCACATCTGAAGCAGCCTGAGAGGCTGGGCCTGCAGGGGAGATACCGGCCCTATGGAAGGCAGTTGGTGGGCAAAAGTCCGGTTTCTACGCTTTGAGGGGACACCTGTGGGGCACCCTGAGGCCCAGCCCTGCTGGGTGAGTATGGCCTGGCTGTGTGTCTTCACAGCTCCTATCACGACTTCAAATTATCTTCCACATTTGTCTCCAGGTGACTAATTACTGAGGTGAGGCCTGCAGTAGTCAGAAGAATTTCCTCCTAATTTTGTTATGAATGTGTGTGCGTATTATATAGCAAATATCTTTGTTTTCTTCCCTCTCTTATCCTGTTATGTAACATAAGATGTATTTAGGTTATAAGATTGTATTCAAGAATTGTGAATTTTACATCATAGAATCTAAGTTGAAAATATCAGAAGAAGAGTAAACCTCACTCAAGGCCTTTATTTCCTTTTCTGGGGAAGAGATTGTGTGTTTTCAGTTGTATGTGGGATTAGCTGTATCACGTTAGGTGGAATGGTGACCTTGGTATCTTCTTTATTTGAGGATAAAGTGTGGTTTTAAGGAAACCCATCAGTGCCAAGGTGACAACGGGTGACGTGATGGTGAATTTTACGTGTCAACTTGATGAGGACACAGGGTGTCCAGATATTTGGTCAGACATTCTGGGTGTGTCTGGGGGGTGTTTCTGGTTGAGATTAATATTTTAATTGTCAGACTGAGTAAAGCAGACTGCCCTCCCTAATGGGGGTGGGCCTCATCCACCCACGAGAAACCTGGAATAGAATGAAAGGGCCGTCCCTCCTCTGAGAAACGGGGGACTCTGCTGGCTGATGGCCCCCACCTGGAATGCTGGCTCTTCCTGCCCAGCTGCCTTCAAGCTGGGACATTAGCTTTCTGCTGCCTTCAGACTCTAACTGGAACATCTCTTCCTGGGTCTCCAGCCTGCTGGCCTTTGGACTGGAGCTACACCATCAGCTCTCGGAGGTCTCCACTCGCCAACTCACCCTGCAGATCACGGAACTTGTCAGCCTCCATAACTGCAGGAGCCAATGCCTTATAATAAAATCTCTTTCTCTTGTCTTTTCTCTTTCTCTCTCTCTAGATAGATAGATGTATGAAACAAGGAAGCAGAAAAGAAAGAATGATAGAAGATAGACGATAAATAGATAGATAGATGGAAAAAGGAGGAAGAAAAAAAAGGGAGGAAAGAAAGAAAACAAAGAACTGGTATCCCATTGTTTCTGTTTCTCTGGAGAAACCCAGTGAACACAGATTGTGATCCCTCATTAGAATCTAAGTACCAGGAGAACAGAAACCTTGTCTTTCGTGATCATAATCCTATAAACAACAAAAAAAATTAACACCTGGGTCATTAGCTCAGAGGAATCCAAGATGGAAATGGCCAGAGGATGGAACAGGTTGTTTTCCCAGATGAAGCCTCCAGGTAAGCATGGACCACTCCTTCAGGATGCAGCCAGGTAAGCGTGGACAATTCCTTCAGGATAGAGGCTGGTAAGTATGAACCATTCCTCCACGGTGTAGCCAGGTAAGCAGGAAGCATTCCTTCAGGATGCAGCCAGGTAAGTATGAAACATTCCTTCAGGATGCAGCTAGGTAAACATGGATCATTTCTTCAGGATGGAGCCGGATAAATGTGAATCATTTCTTCAGGATGCAGCCAGGGAAGTGTGGACAATTCCTTCAGTGTAAAGCCAGGGAAGCGAGGGCCATTATTACTTCAGGATGGAGCCAGGTATGCATAGACCATTCCCTCAGGATGGAGCCAAGTAAGCATGGACAATTCCTTCAGGATGCAGCCAGGTAAGCACAGACCTTTCCTTTAGGGTGCAGCCAGGAAACTGTGGACCATTTCTTCAGGATGGAGCCAGGTAAGCGTGAAACATTTCTTCAGGATGCAGCCAAGTAAGCACAGACCTTTGCGTTAGGGTGCAGCCAGGTAACTGTGGACCATTTCTTCAGGATGCAGCCAGGTAAGCATGAACCTTTCTTCTGAATGGATCATTTCTTCTGGATGGAGCCAGCTAAGCATGGACCATTCCCTTAGGATAAAGCCAGGTAAGTTTGGACCATTTTCTCAGAATGCAGCCAGGTAACCAAGGACCACTCGTTCAGGATACAGCCAGGTAAGTGTGGATCATTCCTTCAGGATGCAGCCAGGTAAGCATGGATCAATCCTTCAGGATGCGGCCAGGTAAGCGTGGAACATTCCTTCAGATGGAGCAAGGTAAGCATGGACCATTTTTTCAAGATAAAGCCAGGTAAGCATGGATCATTCCTTCCAAATGGAGCCAGGTAAGTATGGGCCATTCATTCAGGGTGAAGTGAGATAAGTATGGGCCATTCATTCAACATGGAGCCAGGTAAGCATGGACCATTACTTTAGGGTACATACAGGTAAATATGAGCCAGTATTTCAGGATGGAGCCAGGTAAGTGTGAATGTTTCATTAAGGAGGGAGCCAGGTAAGCATGGGACATTCCTTCAGAATAGAGCCAGGTAAGCATGGACCATTCCTTCTGGATGCAGCCAGGTAAACATAAAACAATTTTTCAGGATGGAGCCAGGTAACCCTGGACCATTTCCTCAGGATGCAGACAGGTAAGCATGAACCATTCCTTGAGGATGCAGATATAAAAGTGTGGACCATACCTTCAGAATGGAGCAAGGTAAGTGTAGACCATTTGATCAGGATGCAGCCAGGTAAGCAGGGACCATTCTTCAGCATGCAGGTAGGTAAGTATGAACCATTTCTTTAGGATGCTGCCAGGGTAGCATGGATCATTCCGTCAGGATGCAGCCATGTAGGCATGGATCATTCCCTCAAAATGGAGCCAGGTAAGCACTGACCATTCCTTCAAGATTCAGTGAGTTAAGTGTGGGTCATTCCCTCAGGATGCAGCCAGGTAATCAGGGACCATTCCTTCAGAATACAGCCAGGTAAGCAAGGAGTGTTTCCTCAGGATGGGCCCAGGTAAGCATGGACCATTCCTTCAGGATGGAGCCAGTTAAGTGTGGACCATTCCTTCAGACTACAGCCAGGTAAGCATGGACTGTTTCTTCAGGATGGGCCCAGGTAAGCATGGACCATTCCATCAGGATGGAGTCAGGTAAGTGTGGACCATTACTTCAGGATGGAGCCAGGTAAGTGTGGACCATTCCTTCAGAATACAGCCAAGTAAGCATGGACTGTTTCTTCAGGATGGGCCCAGGTAAACATGGACCATTCCTTCAGGATGGAGTCAGATAAGTGTGGACCATTCCTTCAGGATGGAGCAAGGTAAGCATGGACTGTTTCTTCAGGATGGGCCCAGGTAAGCATAGACCATTCCTTCAGGATAGAGCCAGGTAAGTGTGGACCATTCCTTCAGAATACAGCCAGGTAAGCATGGACTGTTTCTTCAGGATGGGCCCAGGTAAGCATGGACCATTCCTTCAGAGTGGAGTCAGGTCAGTGTGGACCATTCCTTCAGGATGGAGCCAGGTAAGTGTGGAACATTTCTTCAGAATACGGCCAGGTAAGCATGGACTGTTTCTTCAGGATGGGCCCAGGTAAGCATGGACCATTCCTTCAGGATGGAGTCAGGTAAGTATGGACCATTCCTTCAGAATGCAGCAAGGTAAGCATGGACTGTTTCTTCAGGATGGGACCAGGTAAGCATGGACCATTCCTTCAGGATGCAGTCAGGTAAGTGTGGACCACTCCATCAGGATGCAGCAAGGTAAGCATGGACTGCTTCTTCAGGATGGGCCCAGGTAAGCATGGACTATTCCTTGAGGATGGAGCCAGGTAATCAGTGACCATTGCTTCAGAATACAGCCAGGTAAGCATGGACTGTTCCTTCAGGATGGGCCCAGGTAAGCATGGACCATTCCTTCAGGATGGAGCCAGGTAAGTGTGGACCATTCCTTCAGAATACAGTCAGGTAAGCATGGACTGTTTCTTCAGGATGGGCCCAGGTAAACATGGACCATTTCTTCAGGATGGAGACAGGAAAGTGAGGATCATGCCTTCAAAATACAGGCAGGTAAGCATGTACTGTTTCTTCAGGATGGGCCCAGGTAAGCATGGACCATTCCTTCAGGATGGAGCCAGGTAAGTGTGGACCATTCCTTCAGAATACAGCGAGGTAAGCATGGACTGTTTCTTCAGGATGGGACCAGGTAAGCATGGACCATTCCTTCAGGATGCAGTCACGTAAGTGTGGACCATTCCTTCAGGATGGAATCAGGTAAGCAAGGACCATTCCTTCAGAATACAGCCAGGTAAGCATGAACTGTTTCTTCAGGATGGGCCCAGGTAAGAATGGACCATTCCTTCAGGATGGAGCCAGGTAAGTGTGGACCATTCCTTCAGAATACAGCCAGGTATGCATGGACTCTTTCTTCAGGATGGGCCCAGGTAACCATGGACCATTCCTTCAGGATAGAGCCAGGTAAGTGTGGAACATTCCTTCAGAATACGGCCAGGTAAGCATGGACTGTATCTTCAGGATGGGCCCAGGTAAGAATGGACCATTCCTTCAGGATGGAGCCAGGTAAGTGTGGACCATTCCTTCAGAATACAGCCAGGTATGCATGGACTCTTTCTTCAGGATTGGCCCAGGTAACCATGGACCATTCCTTCAGGATAGAGCCAGGTAAGTGTGGAACATTCCTTCAGAACACGGCCAGGTAAGCATGGACTGTATCTTCAGGATGGGCCCAGGTAAGCATGGACCATTCCTTCAGAGTGGAGTCAGGTAAGTGTGGACCATTCCTTCAGGATGGAGCAAGGTAAGCATGGACAGTTTCTTCAGGATGGGCCCAGGTAAGCATGGACCATCCCTTCAGGATGGAGCCAGGTAAGCGTGCACCATTCCTTCAGAATACAGCCAGGTAACCATGGACTGTTTCTTCACGATGGGCCCAGGTAAGCATGGACCATTCCTTCAGGATGCAGCCAGGTAAGTGTGGACCATTTCTTCAGAATACAGGCAGGTAAGCATGGAGTGTTTCTTCAGGATGGGCCCAGGTAAGCATGGACCATTCCTTCAGGATGGAGTCACGTAATTGTGGACCATTCCTTCAGAATACAGCCAGGTAAGCATGGACTGTTTCTTCAGGATGGGCCCAGGTAAGCATGGACCATTCCTTCAGGATGGAGTCACATAAGTGTGGGCCATTCCTTCAGGATGGAATCAGGTAAGCAGGGACCAATCCTTCAGGATGGAGCAAGGTAAGCATGGACTGTTTCTTCAGGATGGGCCCAGGTAAGCATGGACCATTCCTTCAGGATGGAGCCAGGTAAGTGTGGACCATTCCTTCAGAATACAGCCAGGTAAGCATGGACTGTTTCTTCAGGATGGGCCCAGGTAAGCATGGACCAGTCCTGCAGGATGGAGCCAGGTAAGTGTGGACCATTTCTTCAGAATACAGCCAGGTAAGCATGGACTGTTGCCTCAAGATGGGCCCAGGTAAGCATGGACCATTCCTTCAGGATGGAGTCACGTAAGTGTGGACCATTCCTTCAAGATGGAATCAGGTAAGCAGGGACCATTCCTTCAGAATACAGCCAGGTAAGCATGGACTGTTTCTTCAGGATGAGCCCAGGTCAGCATGGACCATTCCTTCAGGGTGGATTCAGGGAAGTGTGGACCCTTCCTTCAGGATGGAGCCAGGTAAGTGTGGACCATTTCTTCATAATACAGCCACGTAAGCATGGACTGTTTCTTCAGGATGGGCCCAGGTAAGCATGGACCATTCCTTCAGGATGGAGTCAGGTAAGTATGGACCATTCCTTCAGAATGCAACAAGGTAAGCATGGACTGTTTCTTCAGGACGGGCCCAGTTAAGCATGGACCATTCCTTCAGGATGGAGTCAGGTAAGTGTGGACCACTCCATCAGGATGCAGCAAGGTAAGCATTGACTGCTTCTTCAGGATGGGCCCAGGTAAGCATGGACTATTCCTTGAGGATGGAGCCAGGTAATCACTGACCATTCCTTCAGAATACAGCCAGTTAAGCATGGACTGTTTCTTCAGGATGGGCCCAGGTAAGCATGGACCATTCCTTCAGGATGGAGCCAGGTAAGTGTTGACCATTCCTTCAGAATACAGCCAGGTAAGCATGGACTGTTTCTTCAGGATGGGCCCAGGTAAGCATGGACCAGTCCTGCAGGATGGAGCCAGGTAAGTGTGGACCAATTCTTCAGAATACAGCCAGGTAAGCATGGACTGTTTCCTCAAGATGGGCCCAGGTAAGCATGGACCAATCCTTCAAGATGGAGTCACGTAAGTGTGGACCATTCCTTCAGGATGGAATCAGGTAAGCAGGGACCATTCCTTCACAATGCAGCCAGGTAAGCATGCACTGTTTCTTCAGGATGGGCCCAGTTAAGCATGGACCATTCCTTCAGGATGGAGTCAGGTAAGTGTGGACCATTCCTTCAGGATGGGCTCAGGTAAGCATGGACCATTCCTTCAGGATGAAGTCAGGTAAGTGTGGACCATTCCTTCAGAATACAGCCAGGTAAGCATGGACTGTTTCTTCATGATGGGCCCAGGTAACCATGGACCATTCCTTCAGGATAGAGCCAGGTAAGTGTGGACCATTCCTTCAGAATACAGCCAGGTAAGAATGGACTGTTTCTTCAGGATGGGCCCAGGTAAGCATGGACCATTCCTTCAGAGTGGAGTCAGGTAAGTGTGGACCATTCCTTCAGGATGGAGCAAGGTAAGCATGGACTGTTTCTTCAAGATGGGCCCAGGTAAGCACGGACCATTCCTTCAGGATGGAGCCAGGTAAGTGTGGACCATTTCTTCAGAATACAGCCAGGTAAGCATGGACTGTTCTTCAGGATGGGCCCAGGTAAACATGGACCATTCCTTCAGAGTGGAGTCAGGTAAGTGTGGACCATTCCTTCAGGATGGAGCAAGGTAAGCATGGACTGTTTCTTCAGGATGGGCCCAGGTAAGCATGGACCATTCCTTCAGGATGGAGCCAGGTAAGTGTGGACCATTCCTTCAGAATACAGCCAGGTAAGCATGGACTGTTTCTTCAGGATGGGCCCAGGTAAGCATGGACCATTCCTTCAGGATGGAGCCAGGTAAGTGTGGACCATTTCTTCAGAATACAGCCAGGTAAGCATGGACTGTTTCTTCAGGATGGGCCCAGGTAAGCATGGACCATTCCTTCAGGATGGAGTCACGTAAGTGTGGACCATTCCTTCAGGATGGAATCAGGTAAGCAGGGACCATTCCTTCAGAATACAGCCAGGTAAGCATGCACTGTTTCTTCAGGATGGGCCCAGTTAATCATGGACCATTCCTTCAGGATGGAGTCAGGTAAGTGGGGACCATTCCTTCAGGATGGATAACGGTAACCATGGACTGTTTCTTCAGGATGGGCCCAGGTAAGCATGGACCATTCCTTCAGGATGGAGCCAGGTAAGTGTGGACCATTCCTTCGGAATACTGCCAGTTAAGCATGGAGTGTTTCTTCAGGATGGGCCCAGGTAAGCATGGACCATTCCTTCAGGAGGGAGCCAGGTAAGTGTGGACCATTCCTTCGGAATACAGCCAGGTAAGCTTGGAGTGTTTCTTCAGGATGGGCCCAGGTAAGCATGGAACATTCCTTCAGGATGGAGTCAGGTAATTGTGGACCATTCCCTCAGAATACAGCCAGGTAAGCATGGACTGTTTCTTCAGGATGGGCCCAGGTAAGCATGGACCATTCCTTCAGGATGGAGTCACGTAAGTGTGGACCTTTCCTTCAGGATGGAATCAGGTAAGCAGGGACCATTCCTTCAGAATACAGCCAGGTAAGCATGCACTGTTTCTTCAGGATGGGCCCAGTTAATCATGGACCATTCCTTCAGGATGGAGTCAGGTAAGTGGGGACCATTCCTTCAGGATGGATCAAGGTAAGCATGGACTGTTTCTTCAGGATGGGCCCAGGTAAGCATGGACCATTCCTTCAGGAGGGAGCCAGGTAAGTGTGGACCATTCCTTCAGAATACAGCCAGGTAAGCATGGAGTGTTTCTTCAGGATGGGCCCAGGTAAGCATGGAACATTCCTTCAGGATGGAGTCAGGTAATTGTGGACCATTCCTTCAGAATACAGCCAGGTAAGCATGGACTGTTTCTTCAGGATGGGCCCAGGTAAGCATGGACCATTCCTTCAGGATGGAGTCACATAAGTGTGGACCATTCCTTCACGATGGAATCAGGTAGGCAGGGACCATTCCTTCAGAATACAGCCAGGTAAGCATGTACTGTTTCTTCAGGATGGGCCCAGGTAAACATGGACCATACCTTCAGGATGGAGACAGGAAAGTGTGGATCATTCCTTCAGAATACAGCCAGGTAAGCATGGACTGTTTCTTCAGGATGGGCCCAGGTAAGCATGGACCATTCCTTCAGGATGGAGCCAGTAAGTGTGGACCATTCCTTCAGAATACAGCCAGGTAAGCATGGACTGTTTCTTCAGGATGGGCCCATGTTAGCATGGACCATTCCTTCAGGATGGATTCAGGTAAGTATGGACCATTCCTTCAGAATGGAGCAAGGTAAGCATGGACTCTTTCTTCAGGATGGGCCCAGGTAAGCATGGACCATTCCTTCAGGATGGAGCCAGGTAAGTGTGGACCATTCCTTCAGAATACAGCCAGGTAACCATGGACTGTTTCTTCAGGATGGGCCCAGGTAAGCATGGACCATTCCTTCAGAATGGAGCCAGGTAAGTGTGGACCATTCCTTCAGAATACAGCCAGGTAAGCATGGACTGTTTCTTCAAGATGGGCCCAGGTAAGCACGGACCATTCCTTCAGGATGGAGCCAGGTAAGTGTGGACCATTTCTTCAGAATACAGCCAGGTAAGCATGGACTGTTTCTTCAGGATGGGCCCAGGTAAGCATGGACCATTCCTTCAGGATGGAGTCACGTAAGTGTGGACCATTCCTTCACGATGCAATCAGGTAGGCAGGGACCATTCCTTCAGAATACAGCCAGGTAAGCATGGACTGTTTCTTCAGGATGGGCCCAGGTAAGCAAGGACCATTACTTCAGGATGGAGCCAGGTAAATGTGGACCATTCCTTCAGGATGGAGCCAGGTAAGTGTGGACCATTTCTTCAGAATACAGCCAGGTAAGCATGGACTGTTTCTTCAGGATGGGCCCAGGTAAGCATGGACCATTCCTTCAGAGTGGAGTCAGGTAAGTGTGGACCATTCCTTCAGGATGGAGCAAGGTAAGCATGGACTGTTTCTTCAGGATGGGCCCAGGTAAGCATGGACCATTCCTTCAGGATGGAGCCAGGTAAGTGTGGACCATTCCTTCAAAATACAGCCAGGTAAGCATGGACTGTTTCTTCATGATGGGCCCAGGTAAGCATGGACCATTCCTTCAGGATGGAGCCAGGTAAGTGTGGACCATTTCTTCAGAATACAGCCAGGTAATCATGGACTGTTTCTTCAGGATGGGCCCAGGTAAGCATGGACCATTCCTTCAGGATGGAGTCACGTAAGTGTGGACCTTTCCTTCAGGATGGAATCAGGTAAGCAGGGACCATTCCTTCAGAATACAGCCAGGTAAGCATGCACAGTTTCTTCAGGATGGGCCCAGTTAATCATGGACCATTCCTTCAGGATGTAGTCAGGTAAGTGGGGACCATTCCTTCAGGATGGATAAAGGTAACCATGGACTGTTTCTTCAGGATGGGCCCAGGTAAGCATGGACCATTCCTTCAGGATGGAGCCAGGTAAGTGTGGACCATTCCTTCAGAATACAGCCAGGTAAGCATGGAGTGTTTCTTCAGGATGGGCCCAGGTAAGCATGGAACATTCCTTCAGGATGGAGTCAGGTAATTGTGGACCATTCCTTCAGAATACAGCCAGGTAAGCATGGACTGTTTCTTCAGGATGGGCCCAGGTAAGCATGGACCATTCCTTCAGGATGGAGTCACATAAGTGTGGACCATTCCTTCACGATGGAATCAGGTAGGCAGGGACCATTCCTTCAGCATACAGCCAGGTAAGCATGGACTGTTTCTTCAGGATGGGCCCAGGTAAGCAAGGACAATTCCTTCAGGATGGAGCCAGGTAAATGTGGACCATTCCTTCAGGATGGAGCAAGGTAAGCATGGACTGTTTCTTTAGGATGGGCCCATGTAAGCATGGACCATTCCTTCAGGATGGATTCAGGTAAGTATGGACCATTCCTTCAGAATGGAGCAAGGTAAGCATGGACTCTTTCTTCAGGATGGGCCCAGGTAAGCATGGACCATTCCTTCAGGATGGAGCCAGGTAAGTGTGGACCATTCCTTCAGAATACAGCCAGGTAACCATGGACTGTTTCTTCGGGATGGGCCCAGGTAAGCATGGACCATTCCTTCAGAATGGAGCCAGGTAAGTGTGGACCATTCCTTCAGAATACAGCCAGGTAAGCATGGACTGTTTCTTCAAGATGGGCCCAGGTAAGCACGAACCATTCCTTCAGGATGGAGCCAGGTAAGTGTGGACCATTTCTTCAGAATACAGCCAGGTAAGCATGGACTGTTTCTTCAGGATGGGCCCAGGTAAGCATGGACCATTCCTTCAGGATGGAGCCAGGTAAGTGTGGACCATTCCTTCAGAATACAGCCAGGTAAGCATGGACTGTTTCTTCAGGATGGGACCAGGTAAGCATGGATCATTCCTTCAGGATGGAGTCACGTAAGTGTGGACCATTCCTTCAGGATGGAATCAGGTAAGCAAGGACCATTCCTTCAGAATACAGCCAGGTAAGCATGAACTGTTTCTTCAGGATGGGCCCAGGTAAGAATGGACCATTCCTTCAGGATGGAGCCAGGTAAGTGTGGACCATTCCTTCAGAATACAGCCAGGTATGCATGGACTCTTTCTTCAGGATGGGCCCAGGTAACCATGGACCATTCCTTCAGGATAGAGCCAGGTAAGTGTGGAACATTCCTTCAGAATACGGCCAGGTAAGCATGGACTGTATCTTCAGGATGGGCCCAGGTAAGAATGGACCATTCCCTCAGGATGGAGCCAGGTAAGTGTGGACCATTCCTTCAGAATACAGCCAGGTATGCATGGACTCTTTCTTCAGGATGGGCCCAGGTAACCATGGACCATTCCTTCAGGATAGAGGCAGGTAAGTGTGGAACATTCCTTCAGAATACAGCCAGGTAACCATGGACTGTATCTTCAGGATGGGCCCAGGTAAGCATGGACCATTCCTTCAGAGTGGAGTCAGGTAAATGTGGACCATTCCTTCAGGATGGAGCAAGGTAAGCATGGACTGTTTCTTCAGGATGGGCCCAGGTAAGCATGGACCATCCCTTCAGGAT
The DNA here is from genome assembly GCF_000001405.40 of Homo sapiens. Lineage (NCBI taxonomy): Eukaryota > Metazoa > Chordata > Mammalia > Primates > Hominidae > Homo > Homo sapiens. The sequence goes on from NC_000013.11 coordinate 112,285,831, forward strand.
GGAGCCAGGTAAGCGTGCACCATTCCTTCAGAATACAGCCAGGTAACCATGGACTGTTTCTTCACGATGGGCCCAGGTAAGCATGGACCATTCCTTCAGGATGCAGCCAGGTAAGTGTGGACCATTTCTTCAGAATACAGGCAGGTAAGCATGGAGTGTTTCTTCAGGATGGGCCCAGGTAAGCATGGACCATTCCTTCAGGATGGAGTCACGTAATTGTGGACCATTCCTTCAGAATACAGCCAGGTAAGCATGGACTGTTTCTTCAGGATGGGCCCAGGTAAGCATGGACCATTCCTTCAGGATGAGTCACATAAGTGTGGGCCATTCCTTCAGGATGGAATCAGGTAAGCAGGGACCAATCCCTCAGGATGGAGCAAGGTAAGCATGGACTGTTTCTTCAGGATGGGCCCAGGTAAGCATGGACCATTCCTTCAGGATGGAGCCAGGTAAGTGTGGACCATTTCTTCAGAATACAGCCAGGTAAGCATGGACTGTTTCCTCAAGATGGGCCCAGGTAAGCATGGACCATTCCTTCAGGATGGAGTCACGTAAGTATGGACCATTCCTTCAAGATGGCATCAGGTAAGCAGGGACCATTCCTTCAGAATACAGCCAGGTAAGCATGGACTGATTCTTCAGGATGAGCCCAGGTCAGCATGGACCATTCCTTCAGGGTGGATTCAGGGAAGTGTGGACCCTTCCTTCAGGATGGAGCCAGGTAAGTGTGGACCATTTCTTCATAATACAGCCAGGTAAGCATGGACTGTTTCTTCAGGATGGGCCCAAGTAAGCATGGACCATTCCTTCAGGATGGAGTCAGGTAAGTATGGACCATTCCTTCAGAATGCAACAAGGTAAGCATGGACTGTTTCTTCAGGATGGGCCCAGTTAAGCATGGACCATTCCTTCAGGATGGAGTCAGGTAAGTGTGGACCACTGCATCAGGATGCAGCAAGGTAAGCATTGACTGCTTCTTCAGGATGGGCCCAGGTAAGCATGGACCATTCCTTCAGAATGGAGCCAGGTAAGTGTGGACCATTCCTTCAGAATACAGCCAGGTAAGCATGGACTGTTTCTTCAGGATGGGCCCAGGTAAACATGGACCATACCTTCAGGATGGAGACAGGAAAGTGTGGATCATTCCTTCAGAATACAGCCAGGTAAGCATGGACTGTTTCTTCAGGATGGGCCCATGTTACCATGGACCATTCCTTCAGGATGGATTCAGGTAAGTATGGACCATTCCTTCAGAATGGAGCAAGGTAAGCATGGACTCTTTCTTCAGGATGGGCCCAGGTAAGCATGGACCATTCCTTCAGGATGGAGCCAGGTAAGTGTGGACCATTCCTTCAGAATACAGCCAGGTAACCATGGACTGTTTCTTCAGGATGGGCCCAGGTAAGCATGGACCATTCCTTCAGAATGGAGCCAGGTAAGTGTGGACCATTTCTTCAGAATACAGCCAGGTAAGCATGGACTGTTTCTTCAAGATGGGCCCAGGTAAGCACGGACCATTTCTTCAGGATGGAGCCAGGTAAGTGTGGACCATTTCTTCAGAATACAGCCAGGTAAGCATGGACTGTTTCTTCAGGATGGGCCCAGGTAAGCATGGACCATTCCTTCAGAGTGGAGTCAGGTAAGTGTGGACCATTCCTTCAGGATGGAGCAAGGTAAGCATGGACTGTTTCTTCAGGATGGGCCCAGGTAAGCATGGACCATTCCTTCAGGATGGAGCCAGGTAAGTGTGGACCATTCCTTCAGAATACAGCCAGGTAAGCATGGACTGTTTCTTCAGGATGGGCCCAGGTAAGCATGGACCAGTACTGCAGGATGGAGCCAGGTAAGTGTGGACCATTTCTTCAGAATACAGCCAGGTAAGCATGGACTGTTTCTTCAGGATGGGCCCAGGTAAGCATGGACCATTCCTTCAGGATGGAGTCACGTAAGTGTGGACCATTCCTTCAGGATGGAATCAGGTAAGCAGGGACCATTCCTTCAGAATACAGCCAGGTAAGCATGCACTGTTTCTTCAGGATGGGCCCAGTTAATCATGGACCATTCTTTCAGGATGGAGTCACGTAAGTGGGGACCATTCCTTCAGGATGGATCAAGGTAAGCATGGACTGTTTCTTCAGGATGGGCCCAGGTAAACATGGACCATTCCTTCAGGATGGAGCCAGGTAAGTGTGGACCATTCCTTCAGAATACAGCCAGGTAAGCATGGACTGTTTCTTCAGGATGGGCCCAGGTAAGCATGGACCATTCCTTCAGGATAGAGCCAGGTAAGTGTGGACCATTCCTTCAGAATACAGTCAGGTAAGCATGGAGTGTTTCTTCAGGATGGGCCCAGGTAAGCATGGACCATTCCTTCAGAGTGGAGTCAGGTAAGTGTGGACCATTCCTTCAGGATGGAGCAAGGTAAGCATGGACTGTTTCTTCAGGATGGGCCCAGGTAAGCATGGACCATTCCTTCAGGATGGAGCCAGGTAAGTGTGGACCATTCCTTCGGAATACTGCCAGGTAAGCATGGAGTGTTTCTTCAGGATGGGCCCAGGTAAGCATGGACCATTCCTTCAGGAGGGAGCCAGGTAAGTGTGGACCATTCCTTCGGAATACAGCCAGGTAAGCTTGGAGTGTTTCTTCAGGATGGGCCCAGGTAAGCATGGAACATTCCTTCAGGATGGAGTCAGGTAATTGTGGACCATTCCCTCAGACTACAGCCAGGTAAGCATGGACTGTTTCTTCAGGATGGGCCCAGGTAAGCATGGACCATTCCTTCAGGATGGAGTCACATAAGTGTGGACCATTCCTTCACGATGGAATCAGGTAGGCAGGGACCATTCCTTCAGAATACAGCCAGGTAAGCATGGACTGTTTCTTCAGGATGGGCCCAGGTAAGCAAGGACCATTCCTTCAGGATGGAGCCAGGTAAATGTGGACCACTCCATCAGGATGCAGCAAGGTAAGCATGGACTGCTTCTTCAGGATGGGCCCAGGTAAGCATGGACTATTCCGTGAGGATGGAGCCAGGTAATCAGTGACCATTCCTTCAGAATACAACCAGGTAAGCATGGACTGTTTCTTCAGGATGGGCCCAGGTAAACATGGACCATTTCTTCAGGATGGAGACAGGAAAGTGATGATCATGCCTTCAGAATACAGGCAGGTAAGCATGTACTGTTTCTTCAGGATGGGCCCAGGTAAGCATGGACCATTCCTTCAGGATGGAGCCAGGTAAGTGTGGACCATTCCTTCAGAATACAGCCAGGTAAGCATGGACTGTTTCTTCAGGATGGGACCAGGTAAGCATGGACCATTCCTTCAGGATGGAGTCACGTAAGTGTGGACCATTCCTTCAGGATGGAATCAGGTAAGCAAGGACCATTCCTTCAGAATACAGCCAGGTAAGCATGAACTGTTTCTTCAGTATGGGCCCAGGTAAGAATGGACCATTCCTTCAGGATGGAGCCAGGTAAGTGTGGACCATTCCTTCAGAATACAGCCAGGTATGCATGCACTCTTTCTTCAGGATGGGCCCAGGTAACCATGGACCATTCCTTCAGGATAGAGCCAGGTAAGTGTGGAACATTCCTTCAGAATACGGCCAGGTAAGCATGCACTGTATCTTCAGGATGTGCCCAGGTAAGAATGGACCATTCCCTCAGGATGGAGCCAGGTAAGTGTGGACCATTCCTTCAGAATACAGCCAGGTATGCATGGACTCTTTCTTCAGGATGGGCCCAGGTAACCATGGACCATTCCTTCAGGATAGAGCCAGGTAAGTGTGGAACATTCCTTCAGAACACGGCCAGGTAAGCATGGACTGTATCTTCAGGATGGGCCCAGGTAAGCATGGACCATTCCTTCAGAGTGGAGTCAGGTAAGTGTGGACCATTCCTTCAGGATGGAGCAAGGAAAGCATGGACTGTTTCTTCAGGATGGGCCCAGATAAGCATGGACCATCCCTTCAGGTTGGAGCCAGGTAAGCGTGCACCATTCCTTCAGAATACAGCCAGGTAACCATGGACTGTTTCTTCACGATGGGCCCAGGTAAGCATGGACCATTCCTTCAGGATGCAGCCAGGTAAGTGTGGACCATTTCTTCAGAATACAGGCAGGTAAGCATGGAGTGTTTCTTCAGGATGGGCCCAGGTAAGCATGGACCATTCCTTCAGGATGGAGTCACGTAAGTGTGGACCATTCCTTCAAGATGGAATCAGGTAAGCAGGGACCATTCCTTCAGAATACAGCCAGGTAAGCATGGACTGTTTCTTCAGGATGAGCCCAGGTCAGCATGGACCATTCCTTCAGGGTTGATTCAGGGAAGTGTGGACCCTTCCTTCAGGATGGAGCCAGGTAAGTGTGGACCATTTCTTCATAATACAGCCAGGTAAGCATGGACTGTTTCTTCAGGATGGGCCCAGGTAAACATGGACCATTCCTTCAGGATGGAGTCAGGTAAGTATGGACCATTCCTTCAGAATGCAACAAGGTAAGCATGGACTGTTTCTTCAGGATGGGCCCAGTTAAGCATGGACCATTCCTTCAGGATGGAGTCAGGTAAGTGTGGACCACTCCATCAGGATGCAGCAAGGTAAGCATTGACTGCTTCTTCAGGATGGGCCCAGGTAAGCATGGACTATTCCTTGAGGATGGAGCCAGGTAATCACTGACCATTCCTTCAGAATACAGCCAGTTAAGCATGGACTGTTTCTTCAGGATGGGCCCAGGTAAGCATGGACCATTCCTTCAGGATGGAGTCAGGTAAGTGTTGACCATTCCTTCAGAATACAGCCAGGTAAGCATGGACTGTTTCTTCAGGATGGGCCCAGGTAAGTATGAACCAGTCCTTCAGGATGGAGCCAGGTAAGGGTGGACCATTCCTTCAGAATACAGCCAGGTAAGCATGGACAGTTTCCTCAAGATGGGCCCAGGTAAGCATGGACCAATCCTTCAAGATGGAGTCAGGTAAGTGTGGACCATTCCTTCAGGATGGAATCAGGTAAGCAGGGACCATTCCTTCAGAATACAGCCAGGTAAGCATGCACTGTTTCTTCAGGATGGGCCCAGTTAAGCATGGACCATTCCTTCAGGATGGAGTCAGGTAAGTGTGGACCATTCCTTCAGGATGGGCCCAGGTAAGCATGGACCATTCCTTCAGGATGAAGTCAGGTAAGTGTGGACCATTCCTTCAGAATACAGCCAGGTAAGCATGGACTGTTTCTTCATGATGGGCCCAGGTAACCATGGACCATTCCTTCAGGATAGAGCCAGGTAAGTGTGGACCATTCCTTCAGAATACAGCCAGGTAAGAATGGACTGTTTCTTCAGGATGGGCCCAGGTAAGCATGGACCATTCCTTCAGAGTGGAGTCAGGTAAGTGTGGACCATTCCTTCAGGATGGAGCAAGGTAAGCATGGACTGTTTCTTCAGGATGGGCCCAGGTAAGCATGGACCATTCCTTCAGCATGGAGCCAGGTAAGTGTGGACCATTCCATCAGAATACAGCCAGGTAAGCATGGAGTGTTTCTTCAGGATGGGCCCAGGTAAGCATGGACCATTCCTTCAGGATGGAGCCAGGTAAGTGTGGACCATTTCTTCAGAATACAGCCAGGTAAGCATGGACTATTTCTTCAGGATGGGCCCAGGTAAGCATGGACCATTCCTTCCGGGTGGAGTCAGGTAAGTGTGGACCATTCCTTCAGGATGGAGCAAGGTAAGCATGGACTGTTTCTTCAGGATGGGCCCAGGGAAGCATGGACCATTCCTTCAGGATGCAGTCAGGTATTTGTGGACCATTCCTTCAGAATGGAGCCAGGTAAGCATGGAGTGTTTCTTCAGGATGGGCCCAGGTAAGCATGGACCATTCCTTCAGGTTGGAGCCAGGGAAGTGTGGACCATTCCTTCAGAATACAGCCAGGTAAGCATGTACTGTTTCTTCAGGATGGGCCCAGGTAAACATGGACCATACCTTCAGGATGGAGACAGGAAAGTGTGGATCATTCCTTCAGAATACAGCCAGGTAAGCATGGACTGTTTCTTCAGGATGGGCCCAGGTAAGCATGGACCATTCCTTCAGGATGGAGCCAGTAAGTGTGGACCATTCCTTCAGAATACAGCCAGGTAAGCATGGACTGTTTCTTCAGGATGGGCCCATGTTAGCATGGACCATTCCTTCAGGATGGATTCAGGTAAGTATGGACCATTCCTTCAGAATGGAGCAAGGTAAGCATGGACTCTTTCTTCAGGATGGGCCCAGGTAAGCATGGACCATTCCTTCAGGATGGAGCCAGGTAAGTGTGGACCATTCCTTCAGAATACAGCCAGGTAACCATGGACTGTTTCTTCAGGATGGGCCCAGGTAAGCATGGACCATTCCTTCAGAATGGAGCCAGGTAAGTGTGGACCATTCCTTCAGAATACAGCCAGGTAAGCATGGACTGTTTCTTCAAGATGGGCCCAGGTAAGCACGGACCATACCTTCAGGATGGAGCCAGGTAAGTGTGGACCATTTCTTCAGAATACAGCCAGGTAAGCATGGACTGTTTCTTCAGGATGGGCCCAGGTAAGCATGGACCATTCCTTCAGAGTGGAGTCAGGTAAGTGTGGACCATTCCTTCAGGATGGAGCAAGGTAAGCATGGACTGTTTCTTCAGGATGGGCCCAGGTAAGCATGGACCATTCCTTCAGGATGGAGTCACGTAAGTGTGGACCATTCCTTCAGGATGGAATCAGGTAAGCAGGGACCATTCCTTCAGAATACAGCCAGGTAAGCATGCACTGTTTCTTCAGGATGGGCCCAGTTAATCATGGACCATTCCTTCAGGATGGAGTCAGGTAAGTGGGGACCATTCCTTCAGGATGGATCAAGGTAAGCATGGACTGTTTCTTCAGGATGGGCCCAGGTAAGCATGGAACATTCCTTCAGGATGGAGTCAGGTAATTGTGGACCATTCCTTCAGAATACAGCCAGGTAAGCATGGACTGTTTCTTCAGGATGGGCCCCGGTAAGCATGGACCATTCCTTCAGGATGGAGTCACATAAGTGTGGACCATTCCTTCACGATGGAATCAGGTAGGCAGGGACCATTCCTTCAGAATACAGCCAGGTAAGCACGGACTGTTTCTTCAGGATGGGCCCAGGTAAGCAAGGACCATTCCTTCAGGATGGAGCCAGGTAAATGTGGACCATTCCTTCAGGATGGAGCAAGGTAAGCATGGACTGTTTCTTCAGGATGGGCCCATGTAAGCATGGACCATTCCTTCAGGATGGATTCAGGTAAGTATGGACCATTCCTTCAGAATGGAGCAAGGTAAGCATGGACTCTTTCTTCAGGATGGGCCCAGGTAAGCACGGACCATTCCTTCAGGATGGAGCCAGGTAAGTGTGGACCATTTCTTCAGAATACAGCCAGGTAAGCATGGACTGTTTGTTCAGGATGGGCCCAGGTAAGCATGGACCATTCCTTCAGAGTGGAGTCAGGTAAGTGTGGACCATTCCTTCAGGATGGAGCAAGGTAAGCATGGACTGTTTCTTCAGGATGGGCCCAGGTAAGCATGGACCATTCCTTCAGGATGGAGCCAGGTAAGTGTGGACCATTCCTTCAGAATACAGCCAGGTAAGCATGGACTGTTACTTCATGATGGGCCCAGGTAAGCATGGACCATTCCTTCAGGATGGAGCCAGGTAAGTGTGGACCATTTCTTCAGAATACAGCCAGGTAATCATGGACTGTTTCTTCAGGATGGGCCCAGGTAAGCATGGACCATTCCTTCAGGATGGAGTCACGTAAGTGTGGACCATTCCTTCAGGATGGAATCAGGTAAGCAGGGACCATTCCTTCAGAATACAGCCAGGTAAGCATGCACTGTTTCTTCAGGATGGGCCCAGTTAATCATGGACCATTCCTTCAGGATGGAGTCAGGTAAGTGGGGACCATTCCTTCAGGATGGATCAAGGTAAGCATGGACTGTTTCTTCAGGATGGGCCCAGGTAAGCATGGACCATTCCTTCAGGAGGGAGCCAGGTAAGTGTGGACCATTCCTTCAGAATACAGCCAGGTAAGCATGGAGTGTTTCTTCAGGATGGGCCCAGGTAAGCATGGAACATTCCTTCAGGATGGAGTCAGGTAATTGTGGACCATTCCTTCAGAATACAGCCAGGTAAGCATGGACTGTTTCTTCAGGATGAGCCCAGGTAAGCATGGACCATTCCTTCAGGATGGAGTCACATAAGTGTGGACCATTCCTTCACGATGGAATCAGGTAGGCAGGGACCATTCCTTCAGAATACAGCCAGGTAAGCATGGACTGTTTCTTCAGGATGGGCCCAGGTAAGCAAGGACCATTCCTTCAGGATGGAGCCAGGTAAATGTGGACAATTCCTTCAGGATGGAGCAAGGTAAGCATGGACTGTTTCTTTAGGATGGGCCCATGTAAGCATGGACCATTCCTTCAGGATGGATTCAGGTAAGTATGGACCATTCCTTCAGAATGGAGCAAGGTAAGCATGGACTCTTTCTTCAGGATGGGCCCAGGTAAGCATGGACCATTCCTTCAGGATGGAGCCAGGTAAGTGTGGACCATTCCTTCAGAATACAGCCAGGTAACCATGGACTGTTTCTTCAGGATGGGCCCAGGTAAGCATGGACCATTCCTTCAGAATGGAGCCAGGTAAGTGTGGACCATTCCTTCAGAATACAGCCAGGTAAGCATGGACTGTTTCTTCAAGATGGGCCCAGGTAAGCACGGACCATTCCTTCAGGATGGAGCCAGGTAAGTGTGGAACATTTCTTCAGAATACAGCCAGGTAAGCATGGACTGTTTCTTCAGGATGGGCCCAGGTAAGCATGGACCATTCCTTCAGAGTGGAGTCAGGTAAGTGTGGACCATTCCTTCAGGATGGAGCAAGGTAAGCATGGACTGTTTCTTCAGGATGGGCCCAGGTAAGCATGGACCATTCCTTCAGGATGGAGCCAGGTAAGTGTGGACCATTCCTTCAGAATACAGCCAGGTAAGCATGGACTGTTTCTTCAGGATGGGCCCAGGTAAGCATGGACCATTCCTTCAGGATGGAGCCAGGTAAGTGTGGACCATTTCTTCAGAATACAGCCAGGTAAGCATGGACTGTTTCTTCAGGATGGGCCCAGGTAAGCATGGACCATTCCTTCAGGATGGAGTCACGTAAGTGTGGACCATTCCTTCAGGATGGAATCAGGTAAGCAGGGACCATTCCTTCAGAATACAGCCAGGTAAGCATGCACAGTTTCTTCAGGATGGGCCCAGTTAATCATGGACCATTCCTTCAGGATGTAGTCAGGTAAGTGGGGACCATTCCTTCAGGATGGATCAAAGGTAACCATGGACTGTTTCTTCAGGATGGGCCCAGGTAAGCATGGACCATTCCTTCAGGAGGGAGCCAGGTAAGTGTGGACCATTCCTTCAGAATACAGCCAGGTAAGCATGGAGTGTTTCTTCAGGATGGGCCCAGGTAAGCATGGAACATTCCTTCAGGATGGAGTCAGGTAATTGTGGACCATTCCTTCAGAATACAGCCAGGTAAGCATGGACTGTTTCTTCAGGATGGGCCCAGGTAAGCATGGACCATTCCTTCAGGATGGAGTCACATAAGTGTGGACCATTCCTTCACGATGGAATCAGGTAGGCAGGGACCATTCCTTCAGAATACAGCCAGGTAAGCATGGACTGTTTCTTCAGGATGGGCCCAGGTAAGCAAGGACCATTCCTTCAGGATGGAGCCAGGTAAATGTAGACCATTCCTTCAGGATGGAGCAAGGTAAGCATGGACTGTTTCTTTAGGATGGGCCCATGTAAGCATGGACCATTCCTTCAGGATGGATTCAGGTAAGTATGGACCATTCCTTCAGAATGGAGCAAGGTAAGCATGGACTCTTTCTTCAGGATGGGCCCAGGTAAGCATGGACCATTCCTTCAGAATGGAGCCAGGTAAGTGTGGATCATTCCTTCAGAATACAGCCAGGTAAGCATGGACTGTTTCTTCAAGATGGGCCCAGGTAAGCACGGACCATTCCTTCAGGATGGAGCCAGGTAAGTGTGGACCATTTCTTCAGAATACAGCCAGGTAAGCATGGACTGTTTCTTCAGGATGGGCCCAGGTAAGCATGGACCATTCCTTCAGGGTGGAGTCAGGTAAGTGTGGACCATTCCTTCAGGATGGAGCAAGGTAAGCATGGACTGTTTCTTCAGGATGGGCCCAGGTAAGCATGGACCATTCCTTCAGGATGGAGCCAGGTAAGTGTGGACCATTCCTTCAGAATACAGCCAGGTAAGCATGGACTGTTTCTTCAGGATGGGCCCAGGTAAGCATGGACCATTCCTTCAGGATGGAGCCAGGTAAGTGTGGACCATTTCTTCAGAATACAGCCAGGTAAGCATGGACTGTTTCTTCAGGATGGGCCCAGGTAAGCATGGACCATTCCTTCAGGATGGAGTCACGTAAGTGTGGACCATTCCTTCAGGATGGAATCAGGTAAGCAGGGACCATTCCTTCAGAATACAGCCAGGTAAGCATGCACTGTTTCTTCAGGATGGGCCCAGTTAATCATGGACCATTCCTTCAGGATGGAGTCAGGTAAGTGGGGACCATTCCTTCAGGATGGATCAAGGTAAGCATGGACTGTTTCTTCAGGATGGGCCCAGGTAAGCATGGACCATTCCTTCAGGATGGAGCCAGGTAAGTGTGGACCATTCCTTCAGAATACAGCCAGGTAAGCATGGACTGTTTCTTCAGGATGGGCCCAGGTAAGCATGGACCATTCCTTCAGGATGGAGCCAGGTAAGTGTGGACCATTCCTTCAGAATACAGCCAGGTTAGCATGGACTGTTTCTTCAGGATGGGCCGAGGTAAGCATGGACCATTCCTTCAGGATAGAGCCAGGTAAGTGTGGACCATTCCTTCAGAATACAGTCAGGTAAGCATGGAGTGTTTCTTCAGGATGGGCCCAGGTAAGCATGGACCATTCCTTCAGAGTGGAGTCAGGTAAGTGTGGACCATTCCTTCAGGATGGAGCAAGGAAAGCATGGACTGTTTCTTCAGGATGGGCCCAGGTAAGCATGGACCATTCCTTCAGGATGGAGCCAGGTAAGTGTGGACCATTCCTTCGGAATACTGCCAGGTAAGCATGGAGTGTTTCTTCAGGATGGGCCCAGGTAAGCATGGACCATTCCTTCAGGAGGGAGCCAGGTAAGTGTGGACCATTCCTTCGGAATACAGCCAGGTAAGCATGGAGTGTTTCTTCAGGATGGGCGCAGGTAAGCATGGAACATTCCTTCACGATGGAGTCAGGTAATTGTGGACCATTCCTTCAGAATACAGCCAGGTAAGCATGGACTGTTTCTTCAGGATGGGCCCAGGTAAGCATGGACCATTCCTTCAGGATGGAGTCACATAAGTGTGGACCATTCCTTCACGATGAAATCAGGTAGGCAGGGACCATTCCTTCAGAATACAGCCAGGTAAGCATGGACTGTTTCTTCAGGATGGGCCCAGGTAAGCAAGGACCATTCCTTCAGGATGGAGCCAGGTAAATGTGGACCATTCCTTCAGGATGGAGCAAGGTAAGCATGGACTGTTTCTTCAGGATGGGCCCAGGTAAGCATGGACTATTCCTTGAGGATGGAGCCAGGTAATCACTGACCATTCCTTCAGAATACAGCCAGTTAAGCATGGACTGTTTCTTCAGGATGGGCCCAGGTAAGCATGGACCATTCCTTCAGGATGGAGCCAGGTAAGTGTTGACCATTCCTTCAGAATACAGCCAGGTAAGCATGGACTGTTTCTTCAGGATGGGCCCAGGTAAGCATGAACCAGTCCTTCAGGATGGAGCCAGGTAAGGGTGGACCATTCCTTCAGAATACAGCCAGGTAAGCATGGACAGTTTCCTCAAGATGGGCCCAGGTAAGCATGGACCAATCCTTCAAGATGGAGTCACGTAAGTGTGGACCATTCCTTCAGGATGGAATCAGGTAAGCAGGGACCATTCCTTCAGAATACAGCCAGGTAAGCATGCACTGTTTCTTCAGGATGGGCCCAGTTAAGCATGGACCATTCCTTCAGGATGGAGTCAGGTAAGTGTGGACCATTCCTTCAGGATGGGCCCAGGTAAGCATGGACCATTCCTTCAGGATGAAGTCAGGTAAGTGTGGACCATTCCTTCAGAATACAGCCAGGTAAGCATGGACTGTTTCTTCATGATGGGCCCAGGTAACCATGGACCATTCCTTCAGGATAGAGCCAGGTAAGTGTGGACCATTCCTTCAGAATACAGCCAGGTAAGAATGGACTGTTTCTTCAGGATGGGCCCAGGTAAGCATGGACCATTCCTTCAGAGTGGAGTCAGGTAAGTGTGGACCATTCCTTCAGGATGGAGCAAGGTAAGCATGGACTGTTTCTTCAGGATGGGCCCAGGTAAGCATGGACCATTCCTTCAGCATGGAGCCAGGTAAGTGTGGACCATTCCATCAGAATACAGCCAGGTAAGCATGGAGTGTTTCTTCAGGATGGGCCCAGGTAAGCATGGACCATTCCTTCAGGATGGAGCCAGGTAAGTGTGGACCATTTCTTCAGAATACAGCCAGGTAAGCATGGACTATTTCTTCAGGATGGGCCCAGGTAAGCATGGACCATTCCTTCAGGGTGGAGTCAGGTAAGTGTGGACCATTCCTTCAGGATGGAGCAAGGTAAGCATGGACTGTTTCTTCAGGATGGGCCCAGGTAAGCATGGACCATTCCTGCAGGATGGAGCCAGGTAAGTGTGGACCATTTCTTCAGAATACAGCCAGGTAAACATGGAGTGTTTCTTCAGGATGGGCCCAGGTAAGCATGGACCATTCCTTCAGGATGCAGTCAGGTATTTGTGGACCATTCCTTCAGAATGGAGCAAGGTAAGCATGGACTGTTTCTTCAGGATGGGCCCAGGTAAGCATGGACCATTCCTTCAGGTTGGAGCCAGGGAAATGTGGACCATTCCTTCAGAATACAGCCAGGTAAGCATGGACTGTTTCTTCAGGATGGGCCCAGGTAAACATGGACCATACCTTCAGGATGGAGACAGGAAAGTGTGGATCATTCCTTCAGAATACAGCCAGGTAAGCATGGACTGTTTCTTCAGGATGGGCCCAGGTAAGCATGGACCATTCCTTCAGGATGGAGCAAGTAAGTGTGGACCATTCCTTCAGAATACAACCAGGTAAGCATGGACTGTTTCTTCAGGATGGGCCCATGTTAGCATGGACCATTCCTTCAGGATGGATTCAGGTAAGTATGGACCATTCCTTCAGAATGGAGCAAGGTAAGCATGGACTCTTTCTTCAGGATGGGCCCAGGTAAGCATGGACCATTCCTTCAGGATGGAGCCAGGTAAGTGTGGACCATTCCTTCAGAATACAGCCAGGTAACCATGGACTTTTTCTTCAGGATGGGCCCAGGTAAGCATGGACCATTCCTTCAGAATGGAGCCAGGTGAGTGTGGACCATTCCTTCAGAATACAGCCAGGTAAGCATGGACTGTTTCTTCAAGATGGGCCCAGGTAAGCACGGACCATTCCTTCAGGATGGAGCCAGGTAAGTGTGGACCATTTCTTCAGAATACAGCCAGGTAAGCATGGACTGTTTCTTCAGGATGGGCCCAGGTAAGCATGGACCATTCCTTCAGGATGGAGTCACGTAAGTGTGGACCATTCCTTCAGGATGGAATCAGGTAAGCAGGGACCATTCCTTCAGAATACAGCCAGGTAAGCATGCACTGTTTCTTCAGGATGGGCCCAGTTAATCATGGACCATTCCTTCAGGATGGAGTCAGGTAAGTGGGGACCATTCCTTCAGGATGGATCAAGGTAAGCATGGACTGTTTCTTCAGGATGGGCCCAGGTAAGCATGGACCATTCCTTCAGGATGGAGCCAGGTAAGTGTGGACCATTCCTTCAGAATACAGCCAGGTAAGCATGGACTGTTTCTTCAGGATGGGCCCAGGTAAGCATGGACCATTCCTTCAGGATAGAGCCAGGTAAGTGTGGACCATTCCTTCAGAATACAGTCAGGTAAGCATGGAGTGTTTCTTCAGGATGGGCCCAGGTAAGCATGGACCATTCCTTCAGAGTGGAGTCAGGTAAGTGTGGACCATTCCTTCAGGATGGAGCAAGGTAAGCATGGACTGTTTCTTCAGGATGGGCCCAGGTAAGCATGGACCATTCCTTCAGGATGGAGCCAGGTAAGTGTGGACCATTCCTTCGGAATACTGCCAGGTAAGCATGGAGTGTTTCTTCAGGATGGGCCCAGGTAAGCATGGACCATTCCTTCAGGAGGGAGCCAGGTAAGTGTGGACCATTCCTTCAGAATACAGTCGGGTAAGCATGGAGTGTTTCTTCAGGACGGGCCCAGGTAAGCATGGAACATTCCTTCAGGATGGAGTCAGGTAATTGTGGACCATTCCTTCAGAATACAGCGAGGTAAGCATGGACTGTTTCTTCAGGATGGGCCCAGGTAAGCATGGACCATTCCTTCAGGATGGAGTCACATAAGTGTGGACCATTCCTTCACGATGGAATCAGGTAGGCAGGGACCATTCCTTCAGAATACAGCCAGGTAAGCATGGACTGTTTCTTCAGGATGGGCCCAGGTAAGCAAGGACCATTCCTTCAGGATGGAGCCAGGTAAATGTGGACCATTCCTTCAGGATGGAGCAAGGTAAGCATGGACTGTTTCTTCAGGATGGGCCCATGTAAGCATGGACCATTCCTTCAGGATGGATTCAGGTAAGTATGGACCATTCCTTCAGAATGGAGCAAGGTAAGCATGGACTCTTTCTTCAGGATGGGCCCAGGTAAGCATGGACCATTCCTTCAGGATGGAGCCAGGTAAGTGTGGACCATTCCTTCAGAATACAGCCAGGTAACCATGGATTGTTTCTTCAGGATGGGCCCAGGTAAGCATGGACCATTCCTTCAGAATGGAGCCAGGTAAGTGTGGACCATTCCTTCAGAATACAGCCAGGTAAGCATGGACTGTTTCTTCAGGATGGGCCCAGGTAAGCATGGACCATTCCTTCAGGATGGAGTCACGTAAGTGTGGACCATTCCTTCAGGATGGAATCAGGTAAGCAGGGACCATTCCTTCAGAATGCAGCCAGGTAAGCATGCACTGTTTCTTCAGGATGGGCCCAGTTAATCATGGACCATTCCTTCAGGATGGAGTCACGTAAGTGGGGACCATTCCTTCAGGATGGATCAAGGTAAGCATGGACTGTTTCTTCAGGATGGGCCCAGGTAAACATGGACCATTCCTTCAGGATGGAGCCAGGTAAGTGTGGACCATTCCTTCAGAATACAGCCAGGTAAGCATGGACTGTTTCTTCAGGATGGGCCCAGGTAAGCAGGGACCATTCCTTCAGGATAGAGCCAGGTAAGTGTGGACCATTCCTTCAGAATACAGTCAGGTAAGCATGGAGTGTTTCTTCAGGATGGGCCCAGGTAAGCATGGACCATTCCTTCAGAGTGGAGTCAGGTAAGTGTGGACCATTCCTTCAGGATGGAGCAAGGTAAGCATGGACTGTTTCTTCAGGATGGGCCCAGGTAAGCATGGACCATTCCTTCAGGATGGAGCCAGGTAAGTGTGGACCATTCCTTCGGAATACTGCCAGGTAAGCATGGAGTGTTTCTTCAGGATGGGCCCAGGTAAGCATGGACCATTCCTTCAGAAGGGAGCCAGGTAAGTGTGGACCATTCCTTCGGAATACAGCCAGGTAAGCATGGAGTGTTTCTTCAGGATGGGCCCAGGTAAGCATGGAACATTCCTTCAGGATGGAGTCAGGTAATTGTGGACCATTCCCTCAGAATACAGCCAGGTAAGCATGGACTGTTTCTTCAGGATGGGCCCAGGTAAGCATGGACCATTCCTTCAGGATGGAGTCACATAAGTGTGGACCATTCCTTCACGATGGAATCAGGTAGGCAGGGACCATTCCTTCAGAATACAGCCAGGTAAGCATGGACTGTTTCTTCAGGATGGGCCCAGGTAAGCAAGGACCATTCCTTCAGGATGGAGCCAGGTAAATGTGGACCATTCCTTCAGGATGGAGCAAGGTAAGCATGGACTGTTTCTTCAGGATGGGCCCATGTAAGCATGTACCATTCCTTCAGGATGGATTCAGGTAAGTATGGACCATTCCTTCAGAATGGAGCAAGGTAAGCATGGACTCATTCTTCAGGATGGGCCCAGGTAAGCATGGACCATTCCTTCAGGATGGAGCCAGGTAAGTGTGGACCATTCCTTCAGAATACAGCCAGGTAACCATGGAGTGTTTCTTCAGGATGGGCCCAGGTAAGCATGGACCATTCCTTCAGAATGGAGCCAGGTAAGTGTGGACCATTCCTTCAGAATACAGCCAGGTAAGCATGGACTGTTTCTTCAAGATGGGCCCAGGTAAGCACGGACCATTCCTTCAGGATGGAGCCAGGTAAGTGTGGACCATTTCTTCAGAATACAGCCAGGTAAGCATGGACTGTTTCTTCAGGATGGGCCCAGGTAAACATGGACCATTCCTTCAGAGTGGAGTCAGGTAAGTGTGGACCATTCCTTCAGGATGGAGCAAGGTAAGCATGGACTGTTTCTTCAGGATGGGCCCAGGTAAGCATGGACCATTCCTTCAGGATGGAGCCAGGTAAGTGTGGACCATTCCTTCAGAATACAGCCAGGTAAGCATGGACTGTTTCTTCAGGATGGGCCCAGGTAAGCATGGACCATTCCTTCAGGATGGAGCCAGGTAAGTGTGGACCATTTCTTCAGAATACAGCCAGGTAAGCATGGACTGTTTCTTCAGGATGGGCCCAGGTAAGCATGGACCATTCCTTCAGGATGGAGTCACGTAAGTGTGGACCATTCCTTCAGGATGGAATCAGGTAAGCAGGGACCATTCCTTCAGAATGCAGCCAGGTAAGCATGCACTGTTTCTTCAGGATGGGCCCAGTTAATCATGGACCATTCCTTCAGGATGGAGTCACGTAAGTGGGGACCATTCCTTCAGGATGGATCAAGGTAAGCATGGACTGTTTCTTCAGGATGGGCCCAGGTAAACATGGACCATTCCTTCAGGATGGAGCCAGGTAAGTGTGGACCATTCCTTCAGAATACAGCCAGGTAAGCATGGACTGTTTCTTCAGGATGGGCCCAGGTAAGCAGGGACCATTCCTTCAGGATAGAGCCAGGTAAGTGTGGACCATTCCTTCAGGATGGAGCCAGTAAGTGTGGACCATTCCTTCAGAATACAGCCAGGTAAGCATGGACTGTTTCTTCAGGATGGGCCCAGGTAAGCATGGACCATTCCTTCAGAATGGAGCCAGGTAAGTGTGGACCATTCCTTCAGAATACAGCCAGGTAAGCATGGACTGTTTCTTCAAGATGGGCCCAGGTAAGCACGGACCATTCCTTCAGGATGGAGCCAGGTAAGTGTGGACCATTTCTTCAGAATACAGCCAGGTAAGCATGGACTGTTTCTTCAGGATGGGCCCAGGTAAGCATGGACCATTCCTTCAGGGTGGAGTCAGGTAAGTGTGGACCATTCCTTCAGGATGGAGCAAGGTAAGCATGGACTGTTTCTTCAGGATGGGCCCAGGTAAGCATGGACCATTCCTTCAGGATGGAGCCAGGTAAGTGTGGACCATTCCTTCAGAATACAGCCAGGTAAGCATGGACTGTTTCTTCAGGATGGGCCCAGGTAAGCATGGACCATTCCTTCAGGATGGAGCCAGGTAAGTGTGGACCATTCCTTCAGGATGGAATCAGGTAAGCAGGGACCATTCCTTCAGAATACAGCCAGGTAAGCATGCACTGTTTCTTCAGGATGGGCCCAGTTAAGCATGGACCATTCCTTCAGGATGGAGTCAGGTAAGTGTGGACCATTCCTTCAGGATGGGCCCAGGTAAGCATGGACCATTCCTTCAGGATGAAGTCAGGTAAGTGTGGACCATTCCTTCAGAATACAGCCAGGTAAGCATGGACTGTTTCTTCATGATGGGCCCAGGTAACCATGGACCATTCCTTCAGGATAGAGCCAGGTAAGTGTGGACCATTCCTTCAGAATACAGCCAGGTAAGAATGGACTGTTTCTTCAGGATGGGCCCAGGTAAGCATGGACCATTCCTTCAGAGTGGAGTCAGGTAAGTGTGGACCATTCCTTCAGGATGGAGCAAGGTAAGCATGGACTGTTTCTTCAGGATGGGCCCAGGTAAGCATGGACCATTCCTTCAGCATGGAGCCAGGTAAGTGTGGACCATTCCATCAGAATACAGCCAGGTAAGCATGGAGTGTTTCTTCAGGATGGGCCCAGGTAAGCATGGACCATTCCTTCAGGATGGAGCCAGGTAAGTGTGGACCATTCCTTCAGAATACAGCCAGGTAAGCATGGACAGTTTCCTCAAGATGGGCCCAGGTAAGCATGGACCAATCCTTCAAGATGGAGTCAGGTAAGTGTGGACCATTCCTTCAGGATGGAATCAGGTAAGCAGGGACCATTCCTTCAGAATACAGCCAGGTAAGCATGCACTGTTTCTTCAGGATGGGCCCAGTTAAGCATGGACCATTCCTTCAGGATGGAGTCAGGTAAGTGTGGACCATTCCTTCAGGATGGGCCCAGGTAAGCATGGACCATTCCTTCAGGATGAAGTCAGGTAAGTGTGGACCATTCCTTCAGAATACAGCCAGGTAAGCATGGACTGTTTCTTCATGATGGGCCCAGGTAACCATGGACCATTCCTTCAGGATAGAGCCAGGTAAGTGTGGACCATTCCTTCAGAATACAGCCAGGTAAGAATGGACTGTTTCTTCAGGATGGGCCCAGGTAAGCATGGACCATTCCTTCAGAGTGGAGTCAGGTAAGTGTGGACCATTCCTTCAGGATGGAGCAAGGTAAGCATGGACTGTTTCTTCAGGATGGGCCCAGGTAAGCATGGACCATTCCTTCAGCATGGAGCCAGGTAAGTGTGGACCATTCCATCAGAATACAGCCAGGTAAGCATGGAGTGTTTCTTCAGGATGGGCCCAGGTAAGCATGGACCATTCCTTCAGGATGGAGCCAGGTAAGTGTGGACCATTTCTTCAGAATACAGCCAGGTAAGCATGGACTATTTCTTCAGGATGGGCCCAGGTAAGCATGGACCATTCCTTCCGGGTGGAGTCAGGTAAGTGTGGACCATTCCTTCAGGATGGAGCAAGGTAAGCATGGACTGTTTCTTCAGGATGGGCCCAGGGAAGCATGGACCATTCCTTCAGGATGGAGCCAGGTAAGTGTGGACCATTTCTTCAGAATACAGCCAGGTAAACATGGAGTGTTTCTTCAGGATGGGCCCAGGTAAGCATGGACCATTCCTTCAGGATGCAGTCAGGTATTTGTGGACCATTCCTTCAGAATGGAGCAAGGTAAGCATGGAGTGTTTCTTCAGGATGGGCCCAGGTAAGCATGGACCATTCCTTCAGGTTGGAGCCAGGGAAGTGTGGACCATTCCTTCAGAATACAGCCAGGTAAGCATGTACTGTTTCTTCAGGATGGGCCCAGGTAAACATGGACCATACCTTCAGGATGGAGACAGGAAAGTGTGGATCATTCCTTCAGAATACAGCCAGGTAAGCATGGACTGTTTCTTCAGGATGGGCCCAGGTAAGCATGGACCATTCCTTCAGGATGGAGCCAGTAAGTGTGGACCATTCCTTCAGAATACAGCCAGGTAAGCATGGACTGTTTCTTCAGGATGGGCCCATGTTAGCATGGACCATTCCTTCAGGATGGATTCAGGTAAGTATGGACCATTCCTTCAGAATGGAGCAAGGTAAGCATGGACTCTTTCTTCAGGATGGGCCCAGGTAAGCATGGACCATTCCTTCAGGATGGAGCCAGGTAAGTGTGGACCATTCCTTCAGAATACAGCCAGGTAACCATGGACTGTTTCTTCAGGATGGGCCCAGGTAAGCATGGACCATTCCTTCAGAATGGAGCCAGGTAAGTGTGGACCATTCCTTCAGAATACAGCCAGGTAAGCATGGACTGTTTCTTCAAGATGGGCCCAGGTAAGCACGGACCATTCCTTCAGGATGGAGCCAGGTAAGTGTGGACCATTTCTTCAGAATACAGCCAGGTAAGCATGGACTGTTTCTTCAGGATGGGCCCAGGTAAGCATGGACCATTCCTTCAGGATGGAGTCACGTAAGTGTGGACCATTCCTTCACGATGCAATCAGGTAGGCAGGGACCATTCCTTCAGAATACAGCCAGGTAAGCATGGACTGTTTCTTCAGGATGGGCCCAGGTAAGCAAGGACCATTACTTCAGGATGGAGCCAGGTAAATGTGGACCATTCCTTCAGGATGGAGCAAGGTAAGCATGGACTGTTTCTTCAGGATGGGCCCATGTAAGCATGGACCATTCCTTCAGGATGGATTCAGGTAAGTATGGACCATTCCTTCAGAATGGAGCAAGGTAAGCATGGACTCTTTCTTCAGGATGGGCCCAGGTAAGCACGGACCATTCCTTCAGGATGGAGCCAGGTAAGTGTGGACCATTTCTTCAGAATACAGCCAGGTAAGCATGGACTGTTTCTTCAGGATGGGCCCAGGTAAGCATGGACCATTCCTTCAGAGTGGAGTCAGGTAAGTGTGGACCATTCCTTCAGGATGGAGCAAGGTAAGCATGGACTGTTTCTTCAGGATGGGCCCAGGTAAGCATGGACCATTCCTTCAGGATGGAGCCAGGTAAGTGTGGACCATTCCTTCAAAATACAGCCAGGTAAGCATGGACTGTTTCTTCATGATGGGCCCAGGTAAGCATGGACCATTCCTTCAGGATGGAGCCAGGTAAGTGTGGACCATTTCTTCAGAATACAGCCAGGTAATCATGGACTGTTTCTTCAGGATGGGCCCAGGTAAGCATGGACCATTCCTTCAGGATGGAGTCACGTAAGTGTGGACCTTTCCTTCAGGATGGAATCAGGTAAGCAGGGACCATTCCTTCAGAATACAGCCAGGTAAGCATGCACTGTTTCTTCAGGATGGGCCCAGTTAATCATGGACCATTCCTTCAGGATGGAGTCAGGTAAGTGGGGACCATTCCTTCAGGATGGATCAAGGTAAGCATGGACTGTTTCTTCAGGATGGGCCCAGGTAAGCATGGACCATTCCTTCAGGAGGGAGCCAGGTAAGTGTGGACCATTCCTTCAGAATACAGCCAGGTAAGCATGGAGTGTTTCTTCAGGATGGGCCCAGGTAAGCATGGAACATTCCTTCAGGATGGAGTCAGGTAATTGTGGACCATTCCTTCAGAATACAGCCAGGTAAGCATGGACTGTTTCTTCAGGATGGGCCCAGGTAAGCATGGACCATTCCTTCAGGATGGAGTCACATAAGTGTGGACCATTCCTTCACGATGGAATCAGGTAGGCAGGGACCATTCCTTCAGAATACAGCCAGGTAAGCATGGACTGTTTCTTCAAGATGGGCCCAGGTAAGCACGGACCATTCCTTCAGGATGGAGCCAGGTAAGTGTGGAACATTTCTTCAGAATACAGCCAGGTAAGCATGGACTGTTTCTTCAGGATGGGCCCAGGTAAGCATGGACCATTCCTTCAGAGTGGAGTCAGGTAAGTGTGGACCATTCCTTCAGGATGGAGCAAGGTAAGCATGGACTGTTTCTTCAGGATGGGCCCAGGTAAGCATGGACCATTCCTTCAGGATGGAGCCAGGTAAGTGTGGACCATTCCTTCAGAATACAGCCAGGTAAGCATGGACTGTTTCTTCAGGATGGGCCCAGGTAAGCATGGACCATTCCTTCAGGATGGAGCCAGGTAAGTGTGGACCATTTCTTCAGAATACAGCCAGGTAAGCATGGACTGTTTCTTCAGGATGGGCCCAGGTAAGCATGGACCATTCCTTCAGGATGGAGTCACGTAAGTGTGGACCATTCCTTCAGGATGGAATCAGGTAAGCAGGGACCATTCCTTCAGAATACAGCCAGGTAAGCATGCACTGTTTCTTCAGGATGGGCCCAGTTAATCATGGACCATTCCTTCAGGATGGAGTCAGGTAAGTGGGGACCATTCCTTCAGGATGGATCAAGGTAAGCATGGACTGTTTCTTCAGGATGGGCCCAGGTAAGCATGGACCATTCCTTCAGGATGGAGTCACATAAGTGTGGACCATTCCTTCACGATGAAATCAGGTAGGCAGGGACCATTCCTTCAGAATACAGCCAGGTAAGCATGGACTGTTTCTTCAGGATGGGCCCAGGTAAGCAAGGACCATTCCTTCAGGTTGGAGCCAGGTAAATGTGGACCATTCCTTCAGGATGGAGCAAGGTAAGCATGGACTGTTTCTTCAGGATGGGCCCAGGTAAGCATGGACCATTCCTTTAGGATGGAGTCCGGTAAGTGTGGACCATTCCTTCAGGATGGAGCAAGGTAAGCATGGACTGTTTCTTCAGGATGGGCCCAGGTAAGCATGGACCATTCCTTCAGGATGGAGCCAGGTAAGTTTGGACCATTCCTTCAGAATACAGCCAGGTAAGCATGGACTGTTTCTTCAGGATTGGCCCAGGTAAGCATGGACCATTCCTTCAGGATAGAGCCAGGTAAGTGTGGACCATTCCTTCAGAGTACAGCCAGGTAAGCATGGACTGTTTTTTCAGGATGGGCCCAGGTAAGCATGCACCATTCCTTCAGAGTGGAGTCAGGTAAGTGTTGACCATTCCTTCAGGATGGAGCACGTAAGCATGGACTGTTTCTTCAGGATGGGCCCAGGTAAGCATGGACCATTCCTTCAGGATAGAGCCAGGTAAGTGTGGACCATTCCTTCAGAATACAGCCAGGTAACCATGGACTGTTTCTTCAGGATGGGCCCAGGTAAGCATGGACCATTCCTTCAGAGTGGAGTCAGGTAAGTGTGGACCATTCCTTCAGGATGGAGCAAGGTAAGCATGGACTGTTTCTTCAGGATGGGCCCAGGTAAGCATGGACCATTCCCTCAGGATGGAGCCAGGTAAGTGTGGACCATTCCTTCAGAATACTGTCAGGTAAGCATGGAGTGTTTCTTCAGGATGGGCCCAGGTAAGCATGGACCATTCCTTCAGGATGGAGCCAGGTAAGTGTGGACCATTCCTTCAGAATACAGCCAGGTAAGCATGGAGTGTTTCTTCAAGATGGGCCCAGGTAATCATGGACCATTCCTTCAGGATGGAGTCACATAAGTGTGGACCATTCCTTCAGGATGGAATCAGGTAGGCAGGGACCATTCCTTCAGAATACAGCCAGGTAAGCATGGACTGTTTCTTCAGGATGGGCCCAGGTAAGCATGGACCATTCCTTCAGGATGGAGCCAGATAAGTGTGGACCATTTCTTCAGAATACAGCCAGGTAATCATGGACTGTTTCTTCAGGATGGGCCCAGGTAACCATGGACCATTCCTTCAGGATGGAGTCACGTAAGTGTGGACCATTCCTTCAGGATGGAATCAGGTAAGCAGGGACCATTCCTTCAGAATACAGCCAGGTAAGCATGGACTGTTTCTTCAGGATGGGCCCAGTTAAGCATGGACCATTCCTTCGGGATGGAGTCAGGTATGTGGGGACCATTCCTTCAGGATGGATCAAGGTAAGCATGGACTGTTTCTTCAGGATGGGCCCAGGTAAGCATGGACCATTCCTTCAGGATGGAGCCAGGTAAGTGTGGACCATTCCTTCAGAATACAGCCAGGTAAGCATGGACTGTTTCTTCAGGATGGGCCCAGGTAAGCATGGACCATTCCTTCAGAGTGGAGTCAGGTAAGTGTGGACCATTCCTTCAGGATTGTGCAAGGTAAGCATGGACTGTTTCTTCAGGATGGGCCCATGTAAGCATGGACCATTCCTTCAGGATGGAGCCAGGTAAGTGTGGACCATTCCTTCAGAATACTGCCAGGTAAGCTTGGAGTGTTTCTTCAGGATGGGCCCAGGTAAGCATGGACCATTCCTTCAGGATGGAGCCAGGTAAGTGTGGACCATTCCTTCAGAATACAGCCAGGTAAGCATGGAGTGTTTCTTCAGGATGGGCCCAGGTAAGCATGGACCATTCCTTCAGGATGGAGCCAGGTAATTGTGGACCATTTCTTCAGAATACAGCCAGGTAAGCATGGACTGTTTCTTCAGGTTGGGCCCAGGTAAGCATGGACCATTCCTTCAGGATGGAGTCAGGTAATTGTGGACCATTCCTTCAGAATGGAGCAAGGTAAGCATGGAGTGTTTCTTCAGGATGGGCCCAGGTAAGCATGGACCATTCCTTCAGGATGGAGCCAGGTAAGTGTGGACCATTTCTTCAGAATACAGCCAGGTAAGCATGGACTGTTTCTTCAGGATGGGCCCAGGTCAGCATGGACCATTCCTTCAGGGTGGAGTCAGGTAAGTGTGGACCATTCCTTCAGGATGGAGCAAGGTAACCATGGACTGTTTCTTAAGGATGGGCCCAGGTAAGCATGGACCATTCCTCCAGGTTGGAGCCAGGTAAGTGTGGGCCATTTCTTCAGAATACCGCCAGGTAAGCATGGATTGTTTCTTCAGGATGGGCCCAGGTAAGCATGGACCATTCCTTCAGGATGGAGTCAGGTAATTGTGGACCATTCCTTCAGAATGGAGCAAGGTAATCATGGACTGTTTCTTCAGGATTGGCCCCGGTAAGCATGGACCATTCCTTCAGGTTGGAGCCAGGTAAGTGTGGACCATTCCTTCAGAACACAGCCAGGTAAGCATGGACTGTTTCTTCAGGATGGGCCCAGGTAAGCATGGACCATTCCTTCAGGATGGAGTCAGGTAATTGTGGACCATTCCTTCAGAATGGAGCAAGGTAAGCATGGACTGTTTCTTCAGGATGGGCCCAGGTAAGCATGGACCATTCCTTCAGGTTGGAGCCAGGTAAGTGTGTACCATTCCTTCAGAATACAGCCAGGTAAGCATGGACTGTTTCTTCAGGATGGGCCCAGGTAAGCATGGACCATTCCTTCAGGATGGAGTCACGTAAGTGTGGACCATTCCTTCAGGATGGAATCAGGTAAGCAGGGACCATTCCTTCAGAATACAGCCACGTAAGCATGGACTGTTTCTTCAGGATGGGCCCAGGTAAGCATGGACCATTCCTTCAGGATGGAGTCAAGTAAGTGTGGACCATTCCTTCAGGATGGAGCAAGGTAAGCATGGACTGTTTCTTCTGGATGGGCCCAGGTAAGCATGGACCATTCCTTCAGGATGGAGCCAGGTAAGTGTGGACCATTCCTTCAGAATACAGCCTGGTAAGCATGGACTGTTTCTTCAGGTTGGGCCCAGCTAAGCATGCACCATTCCTTCAGGATAGAGCCAGGTAAGTGTGGACCATTCCTTCAGAATACAGCCAGGTAAGCATGGACTCTTTCTTCAGGATGGGCCCAGGTAAGCATGGACCATTCCTTCAGAGTAGAGTCAGGTAAGTGTGGACCATTCCTTCAGGATGGAGCAAGGTAAGCATGGACTGTTTCTTCAGGATGGGCCCAGGTAAGTATGGACCATTCCTTCAGGATGGAGCCAGGTAAGTGTGGACCATTTCTTCAGAATACAGCCAGGTAAGCATGGACTGTTTCTTCAGGATGGGCCCAGGTCAGCATGGACCATTCCTTCAGGGTGGAGTCAGGTAAATGTGGACCATTCCTTCAGGATGGAGCAAGGTAAGCATGGACTGTTTCTTCAGGATGGGCCCAGGTAAGCATGGACCATTCCTTCACGATGGAGCCAGCTAAGTGTGGACCATTTCTTCAGAATACCGCCAAGTTAGCATGGATTGTTTCTTCAGGATGGGCCCAGGTAAGCATGGACCATTCCTTCAGGATGGAGTCAGGTAATTGTGGACCATTCCTTCAGAATGCAGCAAGGTAATCATGGACTGTTTCTTCAGGATGGGCCCAGGTAAGCATGGACCATTCCTTCAGGTTGGAGCCAGGTAAGTGTGGACCATTCCTTCAGAATACAGCCTGGTAAGCTTGGACTGTTTCTTCAGGATGGGCCCAGGTAAGCATGGACCATTCCTTCAGGATGGAGTCACATAAGTGTGGACCATTCCTTCAGGATGGAATGAGGTAAGCAGGGACCATTCCTTCAGAATACAGCCAGGTAAGCATGGACTGTTTCTTCAGGATGGGCCCAGGTAAGCATGGACCATTCCTTCAGGATGGAGTCAGGTAAGTGTGGACCATTCCTGCAGGATGGAGCAAGGTAATCATGGACTGTTTCTTCAGGATGGGCCCAGGTAAGCATGGACCATTCCTTCAGGATGGAGCCAGGTAAGTGTGGACCATTCCTTCAGAATACAGCCAGGTAAGCATGGACTGTTTCTTCAGGATGGGCCCAGGTAAGCATGGACCATTCCTTCAGGATGGAGCCAGGTAAGTGTGGACCATTCCTTCAGAGTACAGCCAGGTAAGCATGGACTGTTTCTTCAGGATGGGCCCAGGTAAGCATGGACCATTCCTTCACGATGGAGTCAGGTAATTGTGGACCATTCCTCAGGATGAGCGCAGGTAAGCATGCACGATTCCCTCAGGATGGAGACAGATAAGTATGGACCATTCATTCAGGCTGCAGCCAGGTCAGAATGAACCATTATTTCAGTATAAAGCCGTGTCAGAATGAACCATTATTTCAGGATAAAGCCAGGTAAGTATGGACCATTTCTTCATGAGGCAGCCAGGTAAGCACAGACTTTTCCTTCAGGATACAGCCAGGTAAATGTGAACAATTCCTTTAGTTTGGAGCTAGATAAGCATTAACAATATTTTTCAGAATGCTGCCAGGTAAGCATGAACCATTCCTTCAGGATGAAGCCAGGTAAGTGTGGACCATTTTTTGAGGATACAGCCAAGTAAGTATGATACATATCTGCAGGATACAGCCAGGTGAGCATAGACCATTCCCTCAGGATGAATCCAGGTAAGCATAGACCATTCCTTCAGGATGTAGCTAGGTAAGCATGAACCATTCTTTCCGGATGGTGCTGTGTGATTGTGGACCATTCCTTCAAAATGGAGTCAGGTAAGCATGGACCATTTTTTCAGGATGCAGCAAGATAAGCGTGGCCGTTCCTTCAGGATGCAGCTATGTAAGCAGGGACGATTTTTTCAGGATGCAGCCATGTGAGCAGGGAAAATTTCTTCAGGATGGACTCAGGTAAGCATGGACCATTCTATCAGGATGCAGCCAGGTAAGCATGGACCATTTCTTCAGGGTGCAGGAAGGTAAGCATGGACAATTCCTTCAGTATGGAGCCAGGTAAGCGTGGACCATTCTTTCAGGATGCAGCCAGGAAAGCATGGACCATTTTCAAGGATACAGCCAGGTAAGTATGATACATGCCTTCAGGATACAGCCAAGTAATCATGAATCATTCCTTCAGGATGCAGCCATGTAGGCAGAGACCATTCCTTCAGGTTGGAGCCAGGTAAGCATGAACCGTTCCTTCAGGATGAAGGCAGGTAAGCATGGAGAATTACTTCAAGATGGAGCCTGGTAAGTATGGACCATTCCTTCAGGATGGAACCAGGTCAGCATAGACCATTTCTTCAGGATGCAGACAGGTCAATATGAACCATTCTTTCAGGATGCAGCCAAGTAAGCATGGACCATTTCTTGAGAATGGAGCCTGGAAAGCATGGACCGTTCCTTCAGATTGCAGCCAGGTAAACAAGAACTATTCCTTCACGATGAATCCAGGTAAGCATGGACCATTCCTTCATGATGGAACCACGTAAGGATGGACCATTTCTTCAGAATGCAGCCAGGTAAGCCTGAACCATTTCTTCACCATGGAGAGAAGTAAGCATGGACCATTCCTTCAGGATGGAGTCAGGTAAGCATGAACCATTCTTTCAGGGTAAATGCAGGTAAGTATGGATCTGTCTTTCATCATGTGGCCTCGTAAGCATGGACCATTCCTTCAGGATGGAACCAGGTAAGCATGAGCCATTGCTTTTGGATGCAGCCAGGTAAGTACAAAACATTCCTTCAGGATGCAGCCAGGTAAGCATGAACTTTTCATTCATGGTGTAGGCAGGAACGCATGGACCATTTTTTAAGGATGGACTCAGGTAAACATGGACCATTCCTTCCAAATGGAGCGTGGTAAGCATGGATCATTCATTCAGGATGCAGCCAGGTCAACACGAAACATTTTTTCTGGATGGAGCCAGGTAAGCATGGACCATTCCATCAGGATGCAGCCAGATAAGTATGGACAATTCCTTCAGGATGGAGCCAGGTAAGCATGAAAAATTCCTCCATGATGCAGCCAGGTAAGCGTGGACCATTTCTTCAGGATGCAGCCAGGTAAGCATGGACCATTCCGTCAGTATGTAGCCACATAAGCATGGACCACTCCTTCAAGATGGAGCCAGGTAAGAGTGGACCATTCCTTCAGGATGCAGTCAGGTAAGCAGGGACCATTTTTTTCAGGATGCAGGCAGGAAAGTATGAACCATTCCTTTAGGATGCAGCCAGGTAAGTGTGCACAATTCCTTCAGGATGGAGCCAGGTTAGCATGAACCATGTTTTCCAGACTGTAGCCAGGTAAGCATGGACCATTATTTCAGGATGCAGCCAGGTAAGTATGAACCATGTTTTTCAGACTCTAGCCAGATAAGTATGGACCATTCTTTCAGGATGCAGCCAGGTAAGCATGGACCATGCTTTCAGATGGAATCAGATAAGCATGTAACATTCCTTTAGAATGCAGCCAGGTAAGTGCGGACTATTCCCTCAGGATGGAGCCAGGTAAGCCTGGACCATTCTGTCAGGATGTAGCCTGGTAAGCATGAATCATTTCTTAAGGATGGAGTCAGACAAGCACACCCCATTCCTTCAGAGTGCAGCTAGGTAAGTGTGGACCATTCCCTCAAGATGGAGCCAGGTAAGTGTGGACCATTCCTTCAGAATGCAGCCAGGTATGCAGAGACCATTTTTTTCAGGATGCAGGCAAGAAAGTATGAACCATTCCTTCAGGATGCAGCCAGGTAAGTGTGCACAGTTTCTTCAGGATGGAGCCAGGTTAGCATGAACCATATTTTTCAAATGTGGCCAGGTAAGCATGAACATTTCTTTCAGGATGCAGCCAAGTAAGTATGAACCATTTCTTCAGTATGGAGCCAGGTAAGCATAGACTATTCTTTCAGGATGCAGCCAGGAAAGCAATGACCAGTTTTTAAAGATACAGCCAGGTAATTATGATACATACCTTCAGGATGCAGCCAGGTAAGCATGAACCATTTTTTCAGGATGTATCCAGGTGTGCATAGACCACTCCTTCAGGATGTGGCCAGGTAGGCGTGGACCATTTTTTCAGGACCAAGCCAGGTAAGCAGGAATCATTCTTTAAGGATGCAGCAAGGTAAGTATGGACCATTCCTTCAGAATGCAGACAGGTAGGAGTAGATCATTTATTGAGGATGCAGCCAGGTAATCAGGAACCATTTCTTCAGGATCCAACCAGGTAAGCATGACCCATTCCTTCAAGATGGAGCCAGGTAACTGTCAACAATCCCTTCAGGTTGCAACTGGGTAAGCATGGACCATTCCTTCAGGATGGAGCCTGCCAAGTGTGGACCATTCCTTCAGGATGCAGCCAGGTAAGCATCAGCCATTCCTTCATAATGCGGCCAGGTAAGCATGGACCATTCCTTCAGGATGGAGCCTGCCAAGTGTGGACCATTCCTTCAGGATGCAGCCAGGTAAGCATCAGCCATTCCTTCATAATGCAGCCAGGTAAGCATCAGCCATTCCTTCATAATGCAGTCAGGTAAGCATGGACCATTCCTTCAGGATGGAGCCTGCCAAGTGTGGACCGTTCCTTCAGGATACCGCCAGGTAAGCATCAGCCATTCCTTCATAATGCGGCCAGGTAAGCATGGACCATTCCTTCAGGATGCCGCCAGGTAAGCCTGAACCATTCCTTCAGAATGCATCCAGGTAAGCATGGACCAGTTTTTAAGTATACAGTCAGTTAAGTATGACACATACCCTCAGGATACAGCCAGGTAAGCATGAACCATTCCTTCAGGATGCCACCAGGTAAGCATGAACCATTCCATCAGGATGGAGCCAGATAAGTATGAACCATTCCATCAGGATGCAGCAAGGTAAACATGGACTAATCTGTCAGGATGCAGTCGGGTAAGCATGAACCATTTCTTAATAGTGGAGTCAGGTAAGCACATACCATTCCTTTAGAATGCAGCCAGTTAAGCATGGATCATTCCTTTAGGATGTAGCCAGGTAAGCATGGACCATTCTTTTAGCACGGAACCAGGTAAGAATGGACCATTCTTTAGCATGGAACCAGGTAAGCATGGACCATTCCTTCAGGATGAAGCTAGGTAATAATGGACCATTCATTCAGGATGCATCCTGGTAAGTATGAATTATTCCTTCAGGATGCAACCAGGTAAGTATGGCCATTCCTTCAGGAAGGAGCCAGGTAAGCAGGAACAATTCTTTCAGGATGGAACAAGGTAAGCATGCACTATTCCTTCAGAAAGCAGTGAGGTTAGCATGGATCATTCCTTCAGGATGCAAACAGGTACGTGTGGGCATTCCTTCAGGATGTAGCCAGGTAAGCAGGGACCATTTTTTTCAGGATGCAGGCAGGAAAGTATGAACCTTTCCTCGGGATGCAGCCAGGTAAGTCTGGACACTTCCTTCAGGATGGAGCCAGGTAAGCATGAACCATTTTTTCAGAATGTGGCCAGGTAAGCATGAACTTTTCCTTTAGGGTGGAGCCTGGTAAGCATGGACCACTCCCTCAGGATTCATCCAGGTAAGCCTGGACCATTCCTTCAGGATGGTGTGAGGTAAGCATGGACAGTTCCTTCAGGATGCAGGCAGGTAAGCGTGGACCATTCCTCCTGGATACAGCTAGGCAAATATGAACCATTCCTTCAAGATGGAGGCTGGTAGGCATGGACCACTGCTTCAGGATGCAGGCAGGTAAGTGTGGACCATTCCTTCAGTATGGAGCCAGGTAAGTGTGGACCATTTCTTCAGGATGGTGCCAGGTAACCAGGGACCATTCTTTCAGGATACAGCCAGGAAAGGATGGACCATTTTTTAAGGATACAGCCACATAAATACGATACATACTTTCAGGATAAAGCCAGGTAAGCATGAACCATTCCTTCAGAATGCAGCCATGTAGGCAGAGACCAACCCTTCAGGTTGGAGCCAGGTAAGCATGAACCATTCCTCCATGATGAAGCCAGTTAAGCATAGGCAATTCCTTTAGGATGGAGCCAGGTAAGCATGGGCCATTCTTTCAGAATGCAGTCAGGTAAGCATGAACCATTCCTTCAGGATCCTGCCAGGTAAGCGTGGACCATTATTTCAGGATGCAGTCAGGTAAGCATGAACCATTCCTTCAGGATCCTGCCATGTAAGCGTGGACCATTATTTCAGGATGCAGTCAGGTAAGCATGAACCATTACTTCAGAATGGAGCCAGGTAGGCATGGACCATTCCTTCATGATGCAGCCAGGTAAGCATGAACCATTACTTCACCGTGGAGTGAGGTAAACATGAACCAATCCTTCAGGATGAATCCTGATAAGTATGGACCTTTCTTTTAGGGTGTAGCCTCATAAGAGTGGACCACTCCTTCAGGATGGACCCAGGTAAGTGTCAACCATTCCTTCCTAATGCAGCATGGTAAGCATGGATCACTCATTCAGGATGCAGCCAGGTAAGTACAAAACATTCCTTCTGGATGGAGCCAGGTAAGCATGGACCATTCTGTCAGGATGCAGCCACGTAAGCATGAACCATTTCTTCAGGATGGAGTCAGAAAAGCATGTACCATTTTTTCAGAATGCAGCCAGGTAACTGTGGACGATTCCCTCAGGATGGAGCCAAGTAAGCATGGACCATTCTCTCAGCATGGAGCCAGGTAAGCATGGACCATTCCTTAAGAATGGAGCCAGGTAAGCATGAACCATTTCATCAGGATGCAGCCAGGTAAGCATGAACCATTCTGTCAGGATACAGCCAGGTAAGGGTGGACCATTCTGTCAGGATACAGCCAGGTAAGCATGGACCATTCTTTCAGATGGTGTCAGGTAAGCATGAACCATTCTGTCAGGATGCAGCCAGGTAAACATGGGCCGTTCCATCAGGATGCAGCCCTGTAAGTGTGAACCATTTCTTAAGAATGGAGCCAGGTAAGCAGGGACCATTTTTTCAGGATGCAGTCAGAAACTATGAACCATCCCCTCAGGATGGAGCCAGGTAAGCATGGACCATTCCTTCAGGATGCAGCCAGGTAAGTAAGAACCATTCTTTCAGTACAGAAGCAAGCAAGCATGGACCATTCCTTCAGGATGCAGCCAGGTAAACATAGACCATTCCTTCAGGATAGTGCCAGGTAGGTGTGGATCTTCCTTCAGGACGGAGCCAGGTAAGCATGGACCATTCCTTCAGGATGCAGCCAGGTCAGCATGGACCATTCCTTCAGGATAGTGCCAGGTAGGTGTGGATCTTCCTTCAGGACAGAGCCAGGTAAGCATGGACCATTCCTTCAGGATGCAGCCAGGTAAGCATGGACCATTCCTTCAGGATAGTGCCAGGTAGGTGTGGATCTTCCTTCAGGACGGAGCCAGGTAAGCATGGACCATTCCTTCAGGATGCAGCCAGGTAAACATAGACCATTCCTTCAGGATAGTGCCAGGTAGGTGTGGATCTTTCCTTCAGGACGGAGCCAGGTAAGCATGGACCATTCCTTCAGGATGCAGCCAGGTAAGCATGGACCATTCCTTCAGGATAGTGCCAGGTAGGTGTGGATCTTCCTTCAGGACGGAGCCAGGTAAGCATGGACCATTCCTTCAGGATGCAGCCAGGTAAGCATGGACCATTCCTTCAGGATAGTGCCAGATAGGTGTGGATCTTTCCTTCAGGACGGAGCCAGGTAAGCATGGACCATTCCTTCAGGATGCAGCCAGGTAAGCATGGACCATTCCTTCAGGATAGTGCCAGGTAGGTGTGGACATTTCCTTCAGGATGGAGCCAGGTAAGTGCGGACCATTCCATCAGGATGCAACTTGGTAAGCATGAGCCATTTCTTAAGGATGGAGTCAGATAAGCATGTAGCATTCCTTCTGAATGCAGCCAGCTAAGTGTGGGCCATTCCTTCAGGATGCAGCCAGGTAAGCATGGACCATTCCTTCTGGATGGAGGTAGGTACGTATGCACCTTTTTTTCAGGATGGAGTCCGGTAAGCATGGACCATTCCTTCAGGATGGAGCCAGGTAAGCATGGACTACTTCCTCAGGATGGAGTCGGATAAGCATGGCCCTCTCCTGGATGCAGCCAGGTAAGGGTGGACCGTTCCTTCAAGATGGAGCCATCAAACATGCAGATCACCCCACAGCACCCTTGCTCCAGTTGACTGGGTTTGGTAACATGGTGGCAAAATCAAAAACTTGTAAACTAGTAGAAAAACGTTTTTTAGCTCATGAGTCCTCTTCAGGCCAAGCTCAGAAGCTGGTGCCATTGGTCAGCCTCCCTTCGTGGTTGGAGTTCTTCTCCCACATCAGCTTCTGCCAGGGCGTGTGCCTGTGCAGCCCGAGTCCAGTGTTCCTGTGAGCTGAACTTGGCAGGGAAGGCTGCTCTGAGGCGGACACCACAGCAACATCGGTGCCTGGGGAACTTCAGATCCAAGGGCACCTGAAGACCTAGTATCCACACGGCTCCCTTCTCCTGTAACCCACCACGATGTGGGCGGCCTCGAAGAAGGCCCACGAGCAACATACCGAGTGCTCCAGGGAAGCGAGAGCACACACCGGGTAAGGGCTCGAGGCAGAGGTGAGCGAGCCAGGGCTGGAAAACTAAAGGTGACGTGAGCACAAGATAATGACAGTGCAG
Organism: Homo sapiens; assembly: GCF_000001405.40. Lineage (NCBI taxonomy): Eukaryota > Metazoa > Chordata > Mammalia > Primates > Hominidae > Homo > Homo sapiens. The sequence goes on from NC_000013.11 coordinate 112,319,796, forward strand.
TTCCTAGAACAGCATGGAAGACACTGCCTCAAGACAAATATTTTTTGAATTCCTAATGGAAAAATGGCATTTCTTTTATTTATTTTTATGTATTTTTGAGTGTTAACAAATAGTTCTAGTGATAATTAGCATCTTTGTATATTTATTGAAAACCAGCACTAAATCTGTATATTTACAGAAAAATGCCTTAGACATAGAAATAGCACAATTCCATGTTTGTGAATTGACAGCTTCCTCTAAACATAGAGTAGAGATTCAGCAATTATCACTACAGCTGTTTGTTAACATTTGACAATAGATAAATAATGACTAGAAATCAATCTTTTCATTAAAATTCAAGAAACAAAAAGTATCTAAAGGAATTTCATTATTCCTTTGAAAAGTCCAGGCTAGTCTTGAGGAGGCTCCTCTACATACGTTGTGGTGTTTCCATGTTCATGGGCCCAAAGTGGTCTTTTTTCCTACAAATGTGTAGCAAAATAAAAGTGAAGATCTGAGATCATATCAGAGAGGGTAGAGGTGATGTGGGCCCTCCAGCCTCAACTCACCCACCCGCCTGCTTTCATTCAATCGAAGGCTCAGGCAACACACACACATGCACACACACGCATGCACATGTACACACATGCACACACACGCACATGTACACAAATGCAATGCACATACACACACACAAATGCACACACGCACACAATTCCCATACACACGGACACACACACCGTATACACTCATGCATATGCACACATATTTGCACACATGCATACACACACATTCACACACACATGTGCATGCAGTCACATGCAAAATACATGCACATGCTTGCACACTGTCACACACACATGCACACTCACACACACAATCAGTACTTGTGTCAAAATCCTCACATGGCTGTTCTTTCTACCCATTGGACCAGCAAATGTGTTCTTGTCCCAAGTAACCTGAGCCCCTCCAAAAAAAACAAAAAAAAAGAAACACCACTGATTTATGTTTTAGATCTTAATTCATCAAAAACACTGAGCTAGGCCAGGCATGGTAGTGAGCTTCTGTAGTCCCAGCTACTCAGGAAGCTGAGCCACAATAATCACTTGAACCCAGGAGGCAGAGGTTGCAGTGAGCCAAGATCGCGCCACTGCACTCCAGTCTGGGTGACAGAGCAAGACACTGAAGGAAAGGAGAGGAAAGGACAGGAAAGGGGAAAGAAATGGAAAGGGAAGGATAGGAGAGGGGAGGAGAGGGGAAGAGAGGAGAGGTGAGGGGAGGGGAGTTAGATATGATCTGTGCCTGAGAATTAATTTGGTTTTCTTACAAACCAAAAGGCAGGATTCACAATCAAGACAAGGTGATGATGGACAGGCATGCACACATGAGCACGTGGAGCACACAGTGTGTTTGGCTGCAGGAGAAGAATCCAGTTTTCAGCAGGTGAATGCAGAGAAGCCCTGCTGCTCAGGACAAAGAATGTTTCCAGAATGAACCATGTTTGCAGCTCTCCATTGCCCAGGATGAGCGGCGTCCCCAGGTGCCTGGCCCTTTTATCACCCAGGCTGATGGTACATCCAGAGGCAGCCATGGCTCAGCCCCCAAGCAAGGCCAGCAATGGCCGGGAAGAAGCTTATTCAATGGGATTCTCTGCAGAGTTGTTCTGACTTTCAGCTTGCAGGGATGTGGGCATAGAAAACAAGAGGCTGACTTCTCAATCAATCGTCACTTAAGGATGCAGAGCCAGTGGAAGCCCTTTCTTTCATGACTTTTAGCATTTTTTCTTCATTTTCAGAAAATCCACACCATCTCCATATATGCATGCACGCATGAGTGTCCGTCCGCCCCCTAACTGTGGGGTTAAGAATCATGTGACTGCTCATGCTGGAAAAACAAGACAATCACCATCATAAAAGCCCACATCATTTACAGATCTTGGAACTTGAACTTTCTTTAAAAGATAAATATAGTAGTTTACATTTTGGAGCTGGAGACATTGTCTTCCTTTCTCTTTTCCCCTTCCACCCTTCTCAAGTATACTTGCCTTTATTTTGAATGAGAAACAGGCAACGGGGGGGTGCCACCTCACACAAAGAAAAAGGCAATTATTTAGAAACTGCGCAGTCAAAAAGTCAGAAGTGTCTAAAAGCACAGTGAGTCCCCCTGTTCATGGCATGGATGCCCTGTCCACTGATGGCACAGCCACACTGCTGGTGCCTGGGTAGCACCTGCCTCCTTGAGCGATGGTCACTGAAGCAAACCCCACTGTCTGTAGATGCCGTTAGCATCCCCCTCATGAGGTCTGCTCTGTGAGAAGGTCGGTCAGTGAGTGGCAGCACTGGGCAGTGATGAGGAGGACCCTGAGTGGGTGTGGGGCGTCGCCTGGATATTAGCTGTGGGTCAGGTAGACACAGAGAAGATGCTGGTGGGCTAGGCACATGTATCCACCCAGAAGATGAATCTGGTTTTGATCGAAAGTCTTCATAGAGAGAAGAACACTTGGATTTGTTTTGGGGAAGGCTTCCCTGTTAGGATGTAGACGGGGACAGATGTACTGTGACTGCTAGTCCAGGAGACAGATGCTGAGTGAGTGAGGTTTGGATGTCTCGCGTGCCCTGGGCTGGAGGCTGAGATTTCCACGTTAGGTAGGACATGTGTCAGCCGCAGGGACTCACCGGCAGTAGGAGTTTATAGAGAGGGATTTCTGTTGAAGTCATTCACTTCCTCATTTACCTCCATCCCCATATTTGCAATCTTGACTGGGTCCCTGATGACTGCATCCTAGAGTCCCAATTTCCTGAGTTAGAGTACTTCATTTGTAAGCAAAAGTAACCCAGTTCAAGCTGGCATAGGAAAGAAGCAGAAGGCATTCAACGCGGCTGCAGGCATGGATGGCTCCAAGCGTGTAGCAGTGGCAATGCCTTCAGTGGTCCTTGGCTCTGCGTTGGCTGGGCTGGCTTCCTCAGGCGGGAGCATCGCACACTGTGAAGGTGACCATGGCATGCCCTGTGCTGGGGGTGGGCAGCAGGAAGCATCCACCACAGGCACTGAACCTGTAGGGCGCCCAAACCAACAGCCAGCCCCATGGTGGCACTCCACGCGTGGGGGGCCAGGAAGCCTTTAAAATCTCGTTCCAAAACTGACTTAATGACCCAGAAAGCGCAAGTCGGTAAATAGCAATGAAAAAGCAGGCACAACTATTGACAATTGCAAAGACATGGAATCAGCCTATGTGCCCATCAATGGTAGGCTGGATAAAGAAAATGTGGTACATATACACCATGGCCTACTACGCAGCCATAGCAAGGAATGAGATCATGTCCTTTTCAGGAACATGGATGGAGCTGGAAGCCATTATCCTCAGCAAACTAATGCAGGAAGAGAAAACCAAACACCGCATGTTCTCACTTATAAGTGGGAGCCGAATGATGAGAACACATGGACACACTATGGGGAACAACACACTGAGGCCTGTCGGAGGGTGGGGCATGGAGGGACAGAGACCATCAGGAAGAATAGCTGAGGGATGCTGGCTTCATACCTAGGTGACGGGATGGTCTGTGCAGCAAACCTCCATGGCACGTGTTTACCTTTGCAACAAACCTGCACACCCTGCACGTGTACCCTGGAACTTAAAAGCTGAAGGAAAAAAGAAAAGTAAAAGCAGGCACAAATCTTTCTCTCTCTATGCCACACACATGCACACACACACACACACACACAGATTTATAAAAGCAAGTACAAATTGGACATGCGTGGACTCTGCACTGCAGCCATGAGGTGGGATTCTCTCTGCAGAAGAACAGAGAATTCTCTCTGGGTGTGGTCTGGCCTCAGAGCCGGTGTGTGCCATCATCCCTCCCTCCGCTTCCTGCCCCTGCAGATTCCTGCAGGCACTGGGGAGTGACTTCTCTGAGAAGTCTTGAGATCATGAAACCTGTGGTCTTGCCCAACACAGTTCCCAAACTCACTCGTGCCCAAGGCTTTATTTTGAAAGATGCCTATTTGATCTCCCAGAGCTCCAGCTCTGTGGAAAACCCCTTGGGAAGGCTGATCTAACCCAATCTCCCCACTCTACAGATGAGGACATTGAGGCCCCGAAGCATGGAGAGGCCTCTCCACGGATGCAGAGTGAGTGACTGAAGCTCTGGCTGGGTGTGTGTTCATCGCTTGACCCATCTTCCTGAGACCCACGGCTGCTGTCGTGGGTTGAATCATGTCCCCCAAAAAGATGTGTTCGAGTCTTAACCCATGGCACCTGGGGCTTTATATGGAAACGGGGTCCTTGCAGATATAACTGGTTAAGATGAGGTCACACTGAGTAGGGGGGGCCCTAATTCAATGGCCGATGTCTTTATTAAATGGGAAAACATGGACACAGACATGCGCAGAGGGAAGACAGCCATGCAGCAGCAGGGCCAGAGACAGGAGTGATGGGTTTACGAGCCAGGAGCGGCAAGGAGCTGGAAGAGGCGGCGAAAGGCTCCTCCCTGCGGGGCTCAGAGGGGCAGGGTCTCAGGCTTCCAGCCTCCTGCAGAGCTGGAGGTAAGAAACTCGTGCTGTCATATGCCACCTGGCGTGTGGCACTTTGTTACGACAGCCACAGGTGGGGGGCGAGGACCATCTGCTGAGGAAGCTTCATTTATACCGGGAGGGATGCGTGGAAACTGAACAGCCCCGCATCATCCCCCGCCGCCCCCACCCCTTTCTAGCCCCAGTCAGTCTAGGGAATAACAAAAACCTGTGATTCTAAAGCATCTTCCAAACCAGTAACGGGCCTCAGAGAGAGAGATGGGGACAGTCAGGAAACTTAGTCATATTAGTCATAATTCTAAAGAAAATTATCTTCCTGTTTGTTTTCAAAAATACCAGTTTTCTTCAAATATGAATATAAGCCTGATCAATTGGTTCATTATATTGAAATGTTCAGTTACGTACAATAATTATAATTAAGCACTGAAATCCAACTCAAACCAATCTATTTAAATGAACCCGAACCTACGAGAAAACATCAAACTCATGTTAAAAAAAAATGTAGGGTTAGAATATTCCGCAATCCTTTGAAGATATTATTTATAATCGTGCTTGGTAAATCAGAGAAACCCCTTAGAGCCCAAAGACAATGTCTAGCATAAAGCACTGTAGAAATAAAACCCTTTATATATTTTTTATAAAGCCTAAAATCAATCCTGACCCAGGCAGCAGTTTCTACATATTTAGATTTGGTTTGTTGCACCTTTAATGGAATGCTATCAATTTTCTGCCTTTTAGATGCTTGGGCAATTGAAGCATTTTAACACTGCTCTAGAATAAGTGCTTTCTGTGAGTTCATCCTCCAGTTCAAACAGAACTGCATTTCCTGGTAAAATTTTACCTCGTAATTATTACACTTTTTTTTATCATCTTCATGCCACAAGATGTGAAGTCCAAAATATTTATGTTCCCGATTGTCAGTCTTTCCTTCTTAGAGATGTCGAAGTGAAAACAAAATAGACAACTCATTTTGTTGAATCAATACAGGCGCATTATCACAGCAAGATTATAATTCAGGTGCACAAAACCTGCATTTTCAGAGTACAGCAAGGAAGTCGGGAGGTGCTAAGAGGCACAGCAGGTAACTAATATCAGTAAAGTGGCCCAGATCTGTGTTCAAACAACAGAATAGGGGGTCTAACTTCAACCCACAAAAATGACAAAAATCAGAGTGAAGCGCAGAGTCCGTCCCTGAACCCGCCCTGCCACGCGGCAGCCAGGGAGGGTGACCTGCTGTCGTCTGGGGTGGTGACGCTGCTTGGTGACCTCGCCACACGAAAGGACCATGATTCCTGCAGGGCGGAAGCAACCGATGAGCAGTAACAACTCTTCACGGGGACACAGACAGGTAACCGGGGCACAGGTGTCCTGAACACCGCGAGGCAGCCCCCTCCTCCGAGCTCCCTCTCTCTCTCCTCTCTCCTGCCGTGGCTCCCCCACTTCCTTCCTCCGTCGCAGCCACGGCCTCTGCATCTTGATGATCTCTTTTCCAGAAACAACGTTATAACGAAATAGAAGAAACCTCAGTCATCCACGGGGAAAGCAGTGCTTTCCAGCATTTAAGCGCATTTCTGAATGCACTGAGATACACGGCATTTGAATGTAAACTTTATGTCTATTTTGGCTTCCAGAGATCACTCTCTCTAGAGCTTAAACTACACAGAGTCTCCTACAATGAGTGAAGAACAGACCCCAAAACACAAAGCATTTTCCTGGCTGCCCACCCACCAGGCCTTCAGCATGCATAGCTCACTCTCAGGCCGAGAAACAGCACACGCGTGCAGACCCCAGCCTCGTTCCCTGCACCGCCCACCGGCACCTCCCCACGAGCCGGACCGAAGAGGGACCCGGTAGCCCATCGCAGCCTCTGACAGTGCTCAGGAGCAGACCACAGCCAAAAGTCCCAGTCACCCATGGAATTTGGAGGAGGTTAGAAATGTTTCTGTTGTATGATTTCAGGACATCAAGACGCTATTTTTAGGCGTGTGAGTCATCACAGTGTTCCCTGACAAGAGCCAGCCCCAGCACGTGCACGACACCCACAGCGATGGGCTCGTGGAAAACAAGCTCAGCCCGGCTCACGGTGCCCGGAGATCCACCTGGCACCCATCAGTGACCACAGTTCAGGGCGTCGGGTCTTGGCCTGAGCAAGGTGAGGGACAAAGTAGCCCCAGGCAGCAGGCAGGGAGAAGACATGTCCTCTGCCCTGGGAGCAGCAGCTTTGCCCTGTGAGGGCTACGTGGGGCCAGTGCCTCCTGCTCAGCCCAGGACACCCACGGCCGGGCACACAGAGGGCAGGTGCTCAATCCCCATCTCCTGGAGGCCTGGAGTCAGCGGGGCCTGGGGAGGCAGGGCAGATAGATAAGGCAGCCGCCCGGAGGGAACGGCCTCCCTAGAGCATCACACTCACCCCACCAGCACACACGAGCACACACGAGTGCAAAGGAGAGCACACACAAGCACAGAAGGGCACACGGGAGTATACGAGGGCACAGAAATGCATACAGAGCATGTGCAAGCACATGCGAGAGCACCCCCGTCATATTCCATAGCAGCCGGACACCCTGATACCCTCCTTGATGAAGCTTCGTGCCCATAGCCTGGGCCCTGGCTCTGAGGTGGCTTTGAGGACTGACTGGAAGCTCGCGTGCAGCACTGAGCTTCGCCTGGCACCACAGGTCCCTGAATAGCATCGCTACGTTCAGCATCCTTTCCTTAGAACACTGATGAAAAGAAATCTGGATTTGGGCAGAGCACTGACTGTGCTCAGGGGCGTGTCCCCCACATCTGCATGGTTCTCACCAGTTCACTGTACAGACAGCAGCCGCAGCCATAGACAGCACCAGGCCCTCCCACTGCTGTGTGATCCCCCAGGAGCCAGCCGCACAGCCAGCCCCTGCCCTCTGCCCCGCCCTGTGTCCCTGAGAGTGTCACTCACCTTTTCTCATCCTGTGGCTTGGGGAGGTTAGAAAATCTGATAGAAGGTTAGAAAACCTTCACGCACAGGTGCGATGGCTCACATCTGTAATCCCAGAGGCCGAGGCAGGTGGATCGCTTGAGGTCAGGAGTTCGAGACCAGCCTGGCCAACATGGCAAAACCCTGTCTCTATTAAAAATACAAAATTAGCCGGGCATGGTGATGGGCATCTGTAATCCCAGCTACTGGTGAGGCTGAGGCAGGAGAATCAGTTGAACTCAGGAGGCAGAGGTTGCAGTGAGCCAAGATCAGAGTGAGACTCTGTCTCAAAGAAAAGAAAAAAAAAATGAAAGTTTAGAAAAGCACACTTCCACAGCACGTGGCTTTAGTAGGGCTCTTCTACTGAAGGAGCACCCAGTGGCCAGGGCTGGAAATTTTAAACTAAGAACAATAATAGTAATAATAATAAATTCTATTCCATAGAATAGAATAAATATCCATGAGCTTAAGCTGATAAAAATAGGTAATCAAATAAGTACATAGGGTGGGGAGAGACAGCCCTTTCTCACAGGAGACTCCCAGTTACTCAGTGTGGAAGGAAAGAAGAAACGGGAAAAGCAGGAGCACCACCATTTGGCAAGCAGCACGGGAAGAAGCGTAGAAGGCAGTGTTCTCAAGGGAGCTGAGATCGGCAGGCAAAAGTATGAGAAACTGGCTATTTCCGTAGTCCCCAGATACCTTTTCATAAGACACCAAATCATGGCAAAGGGGAAAATCCCAAGCTGACAGGGGAGATGCCCGGCAGATGCCACCTACCTGTGTGGTCAAAGTTGCACCACCAGGAGTGAGGCTGGGGGACGTCACGTGCCTGCCGGGAGGCCCCAGAAGGACATTTGGCATTCTGGCCAAAAATGCATAATTTTAATTTATTCATGAAGAAACATCAGACGAACCCAAACAGAGGGGCATCCTATAAAATCAGCTCTCCAGAGCTGCCATGGTCATTGAAGAGGAATCTACAGGGAGGAAGAACTCCCCCAGCTGGGCAGCGACAAATGACACAGCAGCTAGAAGCAACCTGGGCCCTGAAATGGGTCTGGGACCAGAAAAGAGGCAATCACAGGGAAATTGGTAGCATTCACACAAGGCCTGTAGACCGGCTGGTAATAGTGTCATCTGCTATGTGACTGTAAGTTTAACACAATGAATTACGTAACCGCAGCCTTCAGGGAAGCTGGGTGGAGGGTAGGGCAGACACTTTATACTAGTTTTGCTATTTTTGCAACTCTTTTGTAAGCATGAGATTATTTCCAAGGTGTATTAGTCTGTTTTCACACTGCTATGAAGAAATACCCAAGACTGGGTACTTTATAAAGGAAAGAGGTTTAATTGACTCACAGTTCCTCATGGGTGGGGAGGCCTCAGGAAACTTACAATGACAGTGGAAGGCAAAGGGTAAGAAAGCACCTTCTTCACAAGGTGGCAGGAGAGAGAAGCGCAAAGGAGGAACTTCCAGACACTTATAAAACCATCAGCTCTCATGAGAACTCACTATGATGAGAACAGCATGGGGGAACTGCCTGTGCGATCCAATCACCTCCCTCCCTGGACACATAGGGATTACAGGTCAAGATGAGATTTGGGTGGGGACACAGAGCCAAACCATATCGCAAGGGAAAAGCTAAGAGACAAAGGAAGGCCACTGACTAATGGGCGTTCTTCACCATCCTTGCTCTGGATTTGTCTCACCAAGGGCGTTGCCCAAGCCAAACCCCCAAGTTGAGAAGCAGGACTTTCTGTGGTTTCATCTGCAGATGGAGTCCTTTCTCAGCCCCTGGCCTCACCTCCATTCGCCGGGGACCTCACAGGGACCTGGCCGGGCCATCCTGCTGGGACTTACTCTGCTTCAGGGCCCCATTAACTAAGGGCATCAGCGACTTGCCCTACACCAGCCCCTGGGTCCTTCTGTCCACCCTGCTCCACACAGGAGCATGACCTTCCTGGAAAACTATGATAGTGACCACCCTGCACATCTGATTTGCCTGCCTCCTCCAAGTGGATCCCATCCTCTGCCTGCAGCCTCCACCAAAAAGCCTGGCAGGAGTTCCCGAGTCCTGAGTTCTGAGCCAGGTGTTTTGATGTTTTTGCAGACTGGTTTTAAAGATTATGGGGTGAAAGCAAAACAAGAAGGAAGGAATGTTCTCTATGGACTTGCCTGTAGTCACTCAACAAAGCTGATGAACCCCAGGAGCTGCCCTCAGCTGCCCTGGGTGCAGAGGGTCCTGCTCCCACTCTCAGGCACAGAGTCTCAGGCCAAAGGGCTGAAGGCAGAGCTCGCTTTGTTCTGCCGGGGCTCAGAGTCTCCTGGGCACACTCCCCCAGCTCCATGCTCCCACTCAGGAGACCATCAGGGGATGACGGGCCAGGGGCAGGGCACGTACACTGCCACCTGGGGCATGGTGGCCGGTGCTCCCCAGAGGTATGAGGGGCACCAGAAAACGACTACAGGTGAATCAGGTGTGGGGAGAAGGTATTATTGTAAACATGTATACAATAATTTTTTTAGTTTTGTTGTTGTTGTTTGGAGATGGAGTCTCACTGTGTTGCCCAGGCTGGAGTGCAGTGGCACAATCTCAGCTCACTGCAGCCTCTGCCTCCTGGGTTCAAGTGATTCTCCTGCCTCAGCCTCCCATGTAGCTGGGATTATAGGCGCGCACCACCACGCCCGGCTAATTTTTGTATGTTTAGTAGAGATGGGGTTTTGCCATGTTGGCCAGGCTGGTCTCGAACTCCTGGCCACAGGTGATCCGCCCACCTCAGCCTCCCAAAGTGCTGAGATTATAGACATGAGCCACTGCACCGGGCCAAAACATGCTTTTTAAATCACAAAGGAAAGCCGTCAGGGATGCATGTTACATGCCCCATGTTTGCATACTTACCGGAGCAGCCCCTGACAGCGCATCCTGCGGCCCTCTTCAGTCTCACCCATGGCCGAGGACCTCACCCTCTGCCTGCCGCCCCCGGGACGTAGCCTCCCACCACCCGCTCACCCTCAGTCACACTCGGCTCCATGTGAGTGACGCCTCTTGGCTGGAAGCTTCCTGGGGTCACTGTCCACATGCCACGAGGCCCCATCCCCCCACCCCACCCTCCACATGCCACGAGGCCCCATCCCCCCACCCCACCCCACGGGGCCACCCTCTTCGAAGCTCCTTCAAACACACGCCCGCGCCCCCATCTGCTCTTTCTGGAAACGCACAGAACCCTCTGCGGGAACTCAGAATGGAGCACTCGGTTCTCCCGTCATGAACGAATTGTTCCTATTGGCGCTCAGAGCGAGTGTCTGTGTTGTGGGCAAAGAGCATTAGAAATGTGTCATGGAAAGAAGAGACTTCTAATTAAAGCCTCTAACAACAGGGCCAAGAAACCGAAGGTCACGGGCGAGGCGCTCACAGCCCCGCCTTCTGCATCTCTAGACGGAGTCTGCCGAGCCAGGCGCAGCCCTGGGACCTCAGGGACCGAGGTCGAGGCTCCGTCGCGGCCTCTGCTCCCACTCTGAACTCGCCGCCTGTGGGTGCCTCCTCTTCTCCCCATGCCCCTCCTCCGACCCCGGGCCCGTGTTCCTGGCGGCTTGCGCCCCACCTGCCGCGTGTGTGAGCTCGTCCCTGTCGCCACGCTCGAGGTGGCGGTGTGGCTGCGTCGGTTCTCGCCGCCTTTGAGCCGGCCCGGGCTGCGCGCAGCCTCCCGCGTGCCTGGAGAGGCGAGTGCTGCGGGCACCACCCCTGCGCCCCGAGACCCCGGGAAACTCCTGCCGCGCCCTCTTCTTGCACTTACTCGGAGCCTGTGAGGTGTGTTCGCGGGCTTTCTGGTGTCTGTGAAAGGAACCGGGGGGACATCGATCCGTTTCAAACACACGCCTGTGTCCGTGAGGAGTCCGAGAGGCAGAGCTGGAGCGTCGCCCGGAAGCTGCCCTCTGTGGCCATGAGCGGGTGTCCAGCCCCTTCCAAGGCTGCACCGGGGAGACGCTGGTTTTCTGCTCGCTGTGACCGAACAAAGCCCCTAAGAGTCAGTGCGCGGAACAGAAGAGCCGGACCCCGACGGGCCGAGTCCCAACGTGAGGCACCCGGCAGAGAAAACACGTTCACGGCCCCAGCCTTCCGCAGCCACAGAAGAACACGCACGGGGCCACGCGGCGTTCACAAGGGATTCATGGCTGTGTTTGAAGTTTTTTTTTTTTTTTTCTTTTTTTTTCCAGTGAGACAAGTTTTACTGAAAACTTTTCCTATCTGGCTCATCAGATCTCAGGCCGTCTCTGGTGGTTTTAGCTCCTTTAATTTAATTAACTTTAAAAGAGCTGGAGAGTATTAGTAAAATATACTCCCTGGTCACAACTCCACGAATGTTAACAACCTGTCCAATTACAGGGAAGGGGGTCCCGACCCCTCGCACCTGCTAATTAAAATTGCTAATCACCAGCAATTATCTGGCCGAGCTTTAGAAACCATTTGACCCTTCGCCCACCAAGGGAGCGATGTTTGCGGCCCCTCCCCGGAGCCGAGCCAAGCTGTCCCCAGCGCCTGCCTATTAAGTGCCACTAATAGGAAATCAACAAAAGCGCCGTGACATCTGTGTAGACGTCCCAGGCCCCAGGTCTGAGTGCACAGGTGCTGGCCATGAGGCTGCCAAAGAAAGTGCCAAGAGCAGGAAATTCACCAACAATGAGGCGGACTGTGCTCGCGGCGGAATCGGCAGCCCCATCACCCGCAGCCGCGCCTTGGCCTCCGGATAATTAGGTCCCCAAACCAGGCAGCCCTTTGTCCTGAGCGGCTGGCTGGCCAAAAGCATTGGACAGGGATTTTAAAAATCTCTTCTTTTTAATGACTCTTCTCCCTGCTCAAGCATAAATGAAAGATGTTATTTTTTTAAAAAGTCCTCTGAGAGGATCTCAAATGTGTAGCCCTTATGTTGTAGGGAGAGTGGGGTTTCCTACTCTTACTGCTGGCGTGCAGAAGTGTCCTTTCATTGCTGGCTTGAAGCGGGCTCACAGAAGAGACGGTGATTGTGATCTGCTACTAGGAAAAAGTTCTGGGATAGTTCGGGCTCCCAAAAGGCAGCTTCCTGGGAAGCTCGTAGGTTTTAGCACCCCAATCCATAGGTTTCTGCAGTGCCTGCTTCTTCCCCGCAATATGATCTTTTAAAAACACCCCTCGGCCCATTCAGCAGATTCACAGACACATCACACTTTCTTTCTTGCCGTTTGAGGATGAGATGGTCTAAGTTTAGAAATTCATCCTAGGAGTGGTTTCAACAGCTCTGGATATAAAAACAGCGCAAGAAGGAAATGTAAATGTAGCTGAGTGGGACGCGTGTGATTTCAGACCCAATTACCGGCAGACTGCAAAGGAGACAGATGCAGATGGCTCCAGATGCGGGGAAGTGCGCTCCGGTCGAGGGCCGTGATTGGGGATGATCATCGCCTACAGCGGCCTTTGGTCCTTTATGAAAAAATAAAGTGAATAAAATAGTTTTACCCCATGGGTTTCAATTCCCTGCTCACCCTCTCTTGGCCTCCCCCTCCATCTCCCTGCAGCCTGGGTGAGACCTTCAGTCCGCAGGCGGGCATTGAGGCCTCGGCACAGTCTGGCCTTATTTCTACAAGGGGAGAAGGAGCCTGACACGGTCAGAGTTTTGCCAAAGCCACGGCCATTGCCAAAGTCCACTCTCCACGTGTGTCTTGGCTGGAGTGGCTGGTTTCTGGAATTCAACATGTAAAGGCACCAATGATCCCTCTGGAAACCCAGAAAAAGGCAAGTTGGAGGCTACTGCCGCGTTCCACCTGGCGTCTGTCCCCACGCCACAGCTGGGCACCTCCACCCTCCCCCCACACAGAGAGGGGACTGCCGGACACAGGCTCCAGAGAACAGGGCTGCCAAGACCTACGGAGGCCTCCCCATCCCTGTACTGGGGAACTGAGATGAAAGCCACCCCCGCATTTGTCCAGAATGAGTGGAGACTGGACTTCAGAGCTGGACCCACCTGTGGGGCTGAGCAGGGGTCGGTAGGCATTTGTTGAAGGTGTTCCTGCCCCTCCCAGCCCCTGCCTGGCTTCCGCACTAGCCCCGGCACCTGGGATCCTGCATTTTCTTCCTAATCCTTTATCCAAGGCCGAGCTTGATAGTTCTGCCTATTCTCCTTCCCCACGTTTTCCTCCCCTCTACCTAACAGGTTTCTGGGCTTCTGACCCATACCCCTGACCTCACCACAACCTTTGTTTTCAGTGTGGTAAATACATAAACCAGGACCATAATTGTTGATGATCATTCTCAAGTACTATGTACTGTACACAGCTGTCTGTGCTAGACTCTTACATGCCGGCCACGCAGCAGGTTTGTTCACACCAGCATTACTGCACCCACGTGAGTGATGCACTGTGTGACCCCAGGATGGCTGTGATGTGACAAAGCCCAGCACACACAATTAGCTATAGCAGTCATATTTGATAATGGTAACAAACGATCATGTCACAGGTTGGTGTATTTATTATGCTGTACTTCTCATCATTATTTTGGAGTACTGCTCTTTCTATATATGTGTAAGTCAACTGCAGAACAGCCTCAGACAGGTCCTTCAGGAGGTGTCCAGAAGAAGGCATTGTCATAGATGACGGCTCCGTGTGTGTCACTGCCCCTGAAGACCTTCCAGTGGGACAACATGTGGGGGCGGAAGACAGTGATGTCGACGGTCCTGACCCCAGGACCCGGCCGAGGCTAATGTGTGTGTTTGTATTTTTGTTTTTAACAAAAAAAAAATTTTTTAAGTAAAAAATTAAAAATAGAAGAAAAGCATATAGAATAAAGATACAAAGAAAATATTTTTGTACAGCTGTACAATGTGTGTTTTAAGCTGAGTGTTATTATAAGAGTCAAAAAATTAAAAGTTTATAAAAGTAAAAAAAGTCATAGTAAGCTAAGGTTAACGTATGATTTAAAGAAGAAAACTATTTTTGGTCAGTGTAGTGCACCGAAGGGTACAGCGTTTGTGAGTCACCCGTAGAGCGCAGTCATGTCCGAGGCCTTCACAGCCAGTCCCCACCCACTCCCTGACTCACCCAGAGCAACTTCCAGTCCCGCAGCTCCATTCGTGGGAGGTGCCCTGTGTAGGTGTGCCCGTTTTTATCTTTTGTACTGTATTTTCACTGTATTTTTTCTATGTTTAGATATATTTAGACACATAAGGGCTTACCATTGTGTTGGAGTTGCCTACAGTGTTCAGTAGAGTCACACACTGTGCAGGTTTGTAGCCTAGGAGTCAGAGGCTGCACCATAGAGCTGAGGTGTGCAGCAGGTGCTACCATCTAGGTTTGAGTCAGCACGCTCTACATCAGGGGTGTTCAATCTCTTGGCTTCCTTGGGCCACATTGCAAGAATTGTCTTGGGTCACATGTAAAATTCACCAACACTAATGATAGCTGATGAGCTAAAAAAAAAAAATCTCATACTGTTTTAAGAAAGTTTACGAATTTGTGTTGGGCCACATTCAAAGCCATCCTGGGCCACATGCGGCCCATGGGCCATGGGTTGGACAAGCTTGCTCCAGATGTCCACACAGTGATGAAATTGCCTAACAACACATTTCTCAGAAATCGCCCCGCGGTTAAGCAACGCATGGCTATATCTTTGGATTCCCATGTCATAACTAACCTTAAATAAACTGCCTAATTGGTGTATCATCAAAGAAGATCCACATGTAACTGAAAAGGCCATTAAAAGACTCCTCTTACCAACTGTGTATCTGAGAGAATGGAATTATCTTCATCCACTTCCACCAGAAAGAGATGTGAGAATCCACTGACTCCTGCTAAGCCAGGCATGAAAGAGATTGGCAAAGGCACACACACCAAGACCACTCTTCTCATTAAATTTTTTGTATTTGGAAAATATCACTTTTAATAAAAATATGCTAGGTTTACACAAAATGTATTTAATATTTTAAATTTCTCAGTTTTCGTAGTTATTATTGTAAGCACATTAAGAGCGCAAAGTTGCCCAGAGACTAGGCCACTTGAGAACAGCAGCTCCACCCTCCCACATCCGTGCTGTGAAGCCACCCCACGCCAGAGGCAGGCCAGGATTCGGGCACGCGTTGGAGAATTACTTCCCCTGGAAGCTGGAGAGCCTTTGGAATGAGATCCAGAAAAGCTGCCACCATCAAGATCACCGCCTCCTCTGTGTGCCTCTTTCAACCCAGCACCGAAACACCACCATCCTGTGGGCCCAGAAGCTTTGGCCTGGCTCTCAGAAGGATGCTCAAGCAGCTCCTTGGTGAGAACCATGGCAGGGAACGGCACCGGGGCCTCCAATGTGGTGCAGGTGAGCTGCACACAGCTGAAGGAGATAAATGATGTTTTGCACATCGGCCACAAAACCAGATTAAGGAACTTCTGGTTCCAGACAACATGAAGTAGGTCCATTTCTCTCTATTCCCCTCACTAAGAACAGCTAGAACTGTATGTATTATACATCAAACACTCAAGAAAAAGCTGTGAAAATTCGAGAAGGCAGACGGACTAGAGACAGCAGGACCTGAGGAAACATGTAGCATTTTCTTTATCCTCACTGAGGCCTGGAGAGTCCAGCCACGCAGAAACACTAACAGACACAGACCCAACAAAAGGCCAAAGAAAAGCCAGTTCTCTCTCTAGGTCAAAGGAATGGAGCAACTTAGCAGGAAGGAAAATTTTTCAACAACAATGGCCTCCTCCAGCCAAGCACCAGAGGAGAGGTTGTGGCCCCGCCCACACTCCTGATGGGTGGATCAGCAGAGACCTGATGGAGAGTCTGACCTCCACCCCCTGCACTCAGAAGGCACCTCCCAACACCCCAGGTGTCAGGGCACCTGTGGAGGAACCCAGACTTCTATGGCTAATTGACAGTAATGAGGCAACAGCCTCCTCTCCTGATGGTGTGCTGTCAGAGGAGACCTGCTGAAGCAGAAGGTGAACATAAGAACGTGGTGTGATACTGAAGATGTTGAGATACAATTAAAAATCATCATCTGGTGATTCCTCAAAGACCCAGAGCCAGAAATACCGTTTGACCCAGCAATCTCATTACTGGGTATATACTCAAAGGAATATAAATCAGTCTATTATAAAGACATATGCATGTGTATGTTCATTGCAGCACTATTCACAATAGCAAAGACATGGAATCAATCCAAGTGCCCATCAATGATAGACTAGACAAAGAAAATGTGGTACATACACACCATGGAATACTGCACAGCCATAAAAAGGATGGGTTCATGTCCTTTGCAGGAACATGGATGAAGCTGGAAGCCATTATCTTCAGCAAACTAACACAGGAACAGAAAACCAAACACCACATATTCTCACTTACAAGTGGGAGCTGAACAATGAGAGCACATGGACAGAGAGAGAGGAACAACACACACCAGGGCCTGTGGTGGGGGCAGAGGGAGGGAGAGCATCAAGAAAAATAGCTAACACATTCTGGGCTTAATACCTAGATGATGGGTTGATAGGTGCAACAAACCACCATGGCACACATTTACCTATGTAACAAACCTGCACACCCTGCACATTGTACCCCAGAACTAAAAATAAAATAAAATGAAAACCACTCATCATACTAAGAATCTGGAAAATCTCAACTTAAATGAGAAAAGACAAGCAACAGACACCAACTCTGACGTGGCACAGATGCTGGAACTATCAAACAAGCAATTGTCACAATTACAAACCTGCTGGAAACATATGTGAAAATAGAAAGCATCAGCAAAGAAACAGAAGATACAGCAAAGAACCAAATGGAAATGTTAGAACTGAAAAGTATGATAATGCAAATAAAATAACCTGCTGGATGGGCTCAACACAAGAATGTAGAAGACAGAGGAAATAGCCAATGAACTTGAGGATGGAACAGTAGAAATTACCCAATCTGACCAGCAGAGAGAAGACAGGTTAAAAAAAAAAAAAAGAATAAAATGCCTCCAGTATCTTGGAAGTAAAACAACAACCTAACATTCGTGTTGTTGGAACCCCAGAAGAAGAGGAGAATGAGGACGAGGCTGGAAAAGTATCTAAAAAAATAATGGAAGAAAATTTCCCAAATTTGGCAAAAATCATACACTTCAGAATCAAGAACCTGAGCAAAGCCAAGGCACAGCCCGTATCCCAGTCAAACTTCAGAAGCTGCAGGCAATGAAAAACTCCCAAAAGCAGCCAGAGAGAAAGGAGGCATCACTCATAGGGAAAAAAAATACAAAAGATAGCAAATTTCTCATCAGAAACCCTAGAGACTAGTCCCAATAGGGCACAAATTCTTCAAGGGCTGAAAGAAAAGAACTATCAGCCCAGAATACTATATGCAGCAAAGATTTCCTCAAGACTTAAGGGAAAATCATGACATTCTCTGATGAAGAAAAATGGAGAAAATTTATCACAATCAGACCTGTCTTAAAACAATGGAGAGAGGAAGTTCTCTAAACAGAAGGGAAATGATGGAAAAGGGAATCTCTAAAGGTGAGGAAGGAAGGAACAGCGACAGAAAGAAAGGAAATGCTGGTGGAGACAACAGACCTTCCTCCTCCTCCTGAGGTTTTTGAGGTTTTTTGTTTGTTTTTTGGTTTTTTATTGTTGTTGTTGTTGTTGATGTTGTTGTTGTTGTTTGAGATAGAGTTTTGCTCTTGTTGCCCAGGCTGGAGTGCAATGGTGTGATCTCAGCTCACTGCAACCTCTGCCTCCCAGATTCAAGCAATTCTCCTGCCTCAGTCTCCCAAGTAGCTGGGATTACAGGCGCCCATCACCATGCCCGGCTAATTTTTGTATTTTTAGTGGAGACAGGATTTAGCCATGTTGGCCTGGTTGGTCTCAAACTCCTGACCTCAAGCAGTCCACCCACCTTGGCCTCCCGAAGTGCTGGGATTACAGGCATGAGCTACTGCCCCCAGCCTCCTCCTGAGCTTTCTAAACTTTGTTTGAAAGTTTGAGCAAAAATAATCATGCTGTGATTCCCAATGTATGTGTAGGAAATTGCAAAACAATGATTTTACAAAGGCAGGAGGTGATAATGAACTTACAGAAATGTAAGATTTCTGCAGTTCACTCAAACTGATAAAATGTCAACACTAAAATAAAATAAAATAAAAAGTTTTAAATTAAAAAAAATAATTCAAAGACTAGACAATTTTAGAAGAGAAAACCCACTAAGGATAAGCGCAGTCCCTGAAATGAAGAATGTGTGATGGGCATCACCGGTGGGGGCTGGGGGCATGTGCCAGGGCAGTGCTCAGTCCCTGGAGCGAAGAATGGGTGATGAGCATCACCAGTGGGGGCTGGGGGAGTGTGTCAGGGCAGTGCTGGTGGCATCTGTCTGCCACCATGGAGACTCATCAAGGAAAACGGTGCTGTCTCCAATTTATGGGTCAAGACAGATCTGGCGACTTGCAAAGTCCAGCATCCAAAAGCCAGGAAGTGACTGAATGAGAATTCAAACCCGAAACCCACCTTATCTTCTCCCAGTGCTGTGTGGCTCCATGGCACCTGTCTGTGTCCAGCATCCCCTCTTATTCATGGGGACTCACTGCAAGACCCCAGTGGATGCCTGAAGACGAAGCTCCTTCGGAACCCCGTGCAGGCACACCTCATTTTATTGTACCTCACTTTATTGTGCTTTCCAGATACTGTGGGGTTTTGTTTATTTGTTTTTTACAGGTTGAAGATTTGTGACAACCTTGCGGTGAACAAGACTGACAACACGATTTTTCCAGCAGCAGGTGCTCACTTCATGACCCTGTGGCACATTTTTGTATTTTCACAATATTTTAAAGTTTTCATCATTATTCCATCTGTTATGGTAGTCTGTGATCAGTGACCTTTGATGTTACTATTGTAATTGTTTTAAGGTGCCACAAACAGTGCCCATATAAGACAGTGAACTTCACGGAGAAACATTGTATGTTCTGACTATTCCATCAACCAATCGTCTCCCCACCTCCCTCCTTCTCTTCAGTCCTCTCTATTCCCTGAGACACAACAATATTGAAATTAGGCCAGTTAAGAACCTTACAATGGCCTCTAAGTGTTCCAGTAAAAGAAAGAGTCGCACATATCTCACTTTAATCAAAAGCTAGAAATGATTAGCTGAAGGAGGAAGGCATGTCAATTGCTGAGATGCCAAAACCTAGGCATCTTGCACCAAATAGCCAAGTTGCAAATGCAAAGAAAAAATTATTGAACAGAATTAAAAGTGCTACTCCAGTGAGCACACAAATGATGAGAAAGTGAAACAGCCTTATTGCTGATGTGAAGAAAGTATGAGTGGTCTGGACAGGAGATGAAACCAGCACAATATTCCCTTAAGCCACAGCCTAATCCAGAGCAACCCCCCAACTCTCTTCAGTGAAGAGAGTTGTGGAGACTGAGAGAGGTGAGGAAGCTGCAGAAGAAAAGTTGGAAGCTAGCAGGAGTTTAGTTCATGAGGTTGAAAGAAAGAAGCCGTCTCCATAACATAAAAGTGCAAGGTGAAGCAGCAAGTGCTGATGGAGAAGCTGCAGCAAGTTCTCCAGAAGCCCCAGCTGAGGTCACTGATGCAGGTGGCCACAATAACAACAGATTTTCAACATAGAAGAAACAGCCTTCTGTTGCAAGAAGATGCCATCTAGGACTTTCATAGCTAGAGAGGAGACGTCAGTGCCTTCCTTCAAAGCTACAAATCACAAGCTGACTCTCTTGTAAGGAGCTAATGCAACCAGTGACTTTAATGCAACTGGTGACTTTAAGTTGAAGCTAATGCTCATTGACCACTTCAAAAATCCTAAGGCCGTTAAAAATTATGCTAAATCTACTCTACCTATGCTCTATCAATGGAATAACAAAGCCTGGATAACCGCATATCTGTTTACAGCATGGTTTACTGAATATTTTAAGCCCACTGTAGAGACCCACTGCTTGGACAAAAAAAAGACTTATTTTAAAATATTACTGCTCATTGATAGTGCATCTGGTCACCCAAGAGTGCCAATGGAGATGTACAAGGAGATGAATATTGTTTTCATGCCTGCTAACAAAACATCCATTCTGCAGCCCATGGATCAAGGAGTGATTTTGACTTTCAGGTCTTTTTTTTTTTTTTTGAAAATGCATTTTGTAAGGCTATAGCTGCCAGAGAGAGTGATTCCTCTGATGGGTCTGCACAAAGTAAATTGAAAACCTTCTGGAAAGGTTGCACCATTCTAGATGCTACTAAGAACATTGGTGAAGTGAAATTTGAAACCAAAATGTCAGCATTAACAGGAGTTTGGAAGAAGTTGATTCCAACCTTCATAGGTGACTTTGAGGGGTTAATGACATCACTGGAAGAAGGAACTGCAGATGAGGTGGGAACAGCAAGAGAACTAGAATTGGAAGTGGGGCCTGGAGATGTAGCTGAACTGCTGCACCTTCATGAGAAAACGTAAATGGATGAGGAGTTCTTCCTCATGGATAAGCAAAGAAAGTGGGTTCTTGAGATGAACTGGTGAAGATGCTGTGAACATTGTTGAAATGACAACAAAGAATTTAGAATATTACATAAACTTAGTTGATAAAGCATTGGCAAGGTTTGAGAGGACTGACTCCAATTTTGAAAGTTCTACTGTGGGTAAAATGCTATCAAATAGCATTACATGCCACAGAGAAAACTTTGATGAAGGGAGGAGTCCATCAACGTGGCGACCTTCACTGTCTTATTTTAAGAAATTGTCACAGCTGCCCCATCCTTCGGCAATCACCACCCTGGTCAGTCAGCAGCCACCCATATTGAGGCAAGACCCTCCAACAGCAAAGATTACAACTTGCTGAAGGTCCGGATGATTGTTAGCATTTTTTAGCAGTAAAGTATTTTTCAATTAAGGATTGCACATTGTTTTTAGACAGAATGCTACTGCACACTTAATAGGCTACAGTACAGTGTAAACTTTATATGCACCAGGAAACCAAAAAGTTTGTGTGAGTCACTTTATTGCAATATTCTCTTTATTGCAGTGGTCTAGAACTGAACCTGCAATATCTCTGAGGTATGCCTGTATGTACTGTTTTTTCCTATACCTGTATACTCACGATAAAGTTTAATGTATACATTAGGCACGGTAAGAGATTAACAACAATGGCTAATAACAAACTAGAACAGTTATAGCAATCTACTGCAATAAAAGTTATGTGAATGTGCATGTTCTCTCTCTCTCTCCCCCCCCTCCCCCTCTCCTTCTCTCTCTCCCTCTCCCTCTCTCTCTCTCCCTCTCCCTCCCTCTCTCTCCCTCTCTCTCCCTCTGCCTGTCTCTCCCTCCCTCTCTCTCCCTCTCTCCCTCTCTCTCTCCCTCCCTCTTTCTCTCTCTCCCTCTCTCTCTCTCTCTCCCTCTCTCCCTCTCTCTCTCTCTCTTTCCCTCTCCCTCTCCCCCCGCCTCTCTCTCTCTCTCTTTCTCCCCCTGATACCTTATTGCACTATAGTAACCGGTTTTCAGACCACACTTGGCCTTGGGTAAATGAAACACAGAAAGCAAAACCGCAGATGGGAAGGACTGTGGCTTAAGTGTAAGAAACTCTCAAAGCCTATGTATGTTTTCTTGTACCAAAATCTGAGAACGGTTTCATGATTGTTAAAGAACCATAGTGATTAGAAGGAAAATAACTGGGAAATCAACTGATTTCTGTCTATTTTGTAATTTCTAGGACAACGGTGCTCAGGGTGCTGCTCATTCGGGATTCGCCGAAACCCCTGCTCCTCAGAGCCCAGCCCAGAGCCTGGACCCGGCTCTCAGGCCCCCCAGTCAGCCTGTGTGAAGTCTAATGTCACAGCTGTGTCCTGTGTGCGGCCAGGGGCGGCCGGGATTGAGAATGCTGCTCCAGGGTGATGCCAGATCTTCACCTGAATTCAAAACCCATTTGAAATGTCGCTGTGAAAACCAAAAGAAAAGCAAGGGACAGAGCCCCACGGCGCCGCGCTGGCCCCTGCCACAGACCCAGCCCTGTCCTCATCAATTCTCGCTACCACGAAAGTGTCCTGACCTCATGAGGTCTCACTTTCCTCGCTGCAAAATGGGAACAGTCCCACCCTTTCCTGGTGTGATCAGGATTAAACTAGAGGAGGGGGTTGGGCAGTGGTCCTAAGCCCCAGACCCTAAGAAGGAGACCGTGTCTGGGGAAGGCTTCTCTGCAGATGTAGCTAAGGACCTGGAAAGGAGATTGTCCTAGATTAGGGCGGGCCCCGCATCCAACGCCAGGTGTCCTTCTAAGAGACACGGGAAGTGAAAGCACAGCACAGTGTGGCCGCGAGAAAAACGAGGCAGAGACCAGCGCGATGCAGAGCAAGCCAAGGAGCTCCCGCGCCACAGGAGGCTGGAAGGGGCAGGAAGGACCCTCCCTGGCCCCCCGGAGGGAGTGGGGCCCTGAGACGCCTGGATTTCTGACTTCTGACCCCAGAACTTTGAGGGAAGGAATTTCAGTTTTAAGCCAAGCACCGGGGCAATCTCCAACAGCAGCCACGGGCGGCTCCAGGCACTGGCTCATGTCTGGGGGGGTCTCTGCGTAAGCGGCCATGGATGCCTAGTAGCCACGCTTTCAGAGACTTATTCCGAAGCCCCCCCTCCACCTGCCCTCGGCGTGAGAAGCAGCCTTCGAGCCTAGGTTGGGACTAATGAAAACGCAGATTAAACAGCGTCCTCCCTCCGGGCGGGCCTGAAGACCACCTTCCCTTCCAGGCGGGCAGCGATGCCCGAGAGCCCAAGGTCCCGGGACCTGGTGCAGGAAGAGCCGCCTGCGCGGGGGAGACGCGGGGATCACCGGCCACACCCCGGACGCTCAGTCGGGGCCTTACTCGGGGGGGCGGCAGCCCCAGCCTCCCGGGAATCCAGGGACGTCGCGGCGTGGCCCGGGTCTGCCCCCAAGACGCTGCGTCCTAGGCCCTGCCCAGGGCGGATGGGGTCCGCGTGAGTGAGGCGAGTCCACGGGGCAGGCCGGGGTCTGCGGGGGAGGAAGCCGACAGCAGCGCCCCTGGGCCCGCGGGGCCAGGCCGGGGAGGGACGGGGAGGGGACCCGAGCCCACCGCGCGCCCTCCGGGGACTCCCCACGCACAGGGCAGGTGCTAGCCAGGCGCCCACGGGAGACGCCCCTTCTGCCGCCCGGAAAGTGGGAATAAAACAAGACAGGACAAACGCTTCACGTGCAGCTTTGGGAGTGGAAAGGAATCATTCATTTTCCCTCTTCTTAACAGAGGGTGTTTCCAAGTAAGGATGCATCACTTCAAAAGCTTGTGTTACTTTCGTAATTAAAAATACATCTGGTAAAAGAATTTGAGTACCTTTCTATCTAACCGGTCCGGGGAACGGGATGAAGTCGACCTTATATCCCAGTGGTCTCCGAGCCAGCCCTGGGCAGGCGCCTCTGCAGCCAAACCCATGCTCATCTCAGGATCCTTCTGCAGGATGAAGGACCGAACACAGGGCCTCGTCTCCAAAGGTGCTCAGTAAATGGTGGCTGCCGCATGCTGGCCGCCCCCCAAACAGCCCCAGCGCGGCGTGTCCTCGCCGTCACCCTCCTCTCTGTCCAGGGCTCGGGGGAGCTTATTAATAAATAGCTGTCCCCTAGGGGTGCATACGGCCAGGGCTGCGGCCCTTCAGCGCCTCCGCCCGTTTCTCAGATGGCACAGCCCACGCCCATGCTTCTCTCCGTGGAGACCACGTCCCTGTCCTGAAAGCAGGGGGAGTTCGCACATGGGCTGGCGAAGGAATCACCTCCTCACCCCATGCCAGACCATCGTTTTCATCCTTCGTTTGTGCACGTTTTTCTAGGGATTTCTCTCGTTGACAATTCAGAGACAATGTGACCTCCATGGCCATGGAGGCCCCTGCGAAGCATGCCTTTCCTTTGTCTAACTCTTAGTGCTCAGACTTCCAAAATACGGGCTAGAACAAGCGCGCACACTCATCTCTCTGCTTCTAGTGACGAGATCCCTGCATCAGGGCTCAGTGAGGCTCAGACAGTTCTTCTCTGCCTTTTCCCTCTGCTATCCCAAAAACGCCAATGTGCAGACGAGACAGCATTTCTTAGCCTCAGGTTAGAAAAAGCACAAGATGACGCTCCCTGCGTGTACCTAGGATTCTGACATAAGCAAAAATCTTACTGAATTAACTCTCCAGGGATGAGTTGGTAATCCCGTAATCTGAAGAACAATCAGACTCTGCCACTACTGGCTGCGAACCAAGAGAAAATGTTGTACGGGCAAGCTGCTCTGGAGGGTCGTCCTCACATTACGGAGTCCAAAAGATGGTAAACAGATTTGGGAAAGTACCAGCGATGTGTCTCGTTACCAGCTCTGAAAGGGACTCGACCCTGGGTAATCAGCCAGGAAGTAAACCAGAAGGGAAATAGCTGTTACCACGGTGAGGTCTCAGCTCCTGCCTCTTCCTTGTCTGTCGCTCTGAAGAACGCGGCAAAATTGGCCTAGTAGCCCCTCTGCCTTCTGAATCAATGGTGCAAGAAAAAAAATGTTTAAATTCCTCTAACTTCTGAGCAAAAAGACTTATGTAAAAAGTCTTTTCTGTTGTTCACGACGCGTGCCCCTCACCTCCCCTGACAGGCTGTCAACATGTGAGCTTTGCCTTTACTGTGAGGAGATTTGAACCCCCAGCCCTGAGAGGAGATTTGAACCCCTAGCCTGAGTCCGCGGGTTCCACTTGTTTCCAGGAGATGGTTGCAATGACATCATAAACAGTATCCTGTGAGTTGGTCGTCTAGACTTCTGGGTTTTTTTTTTAATTATGGTAAAAAACGCATATATTAAAATTTACCATTTTAACCATTTTTCAGGGTCCAGTGCCACGGTGTCAAGTACATGCACACTGTCGTGTAAGATCTCTAGAACTCTTTCATTTCCCAAAATTGAAACTCTGCACCCCGTAAAGGACATCTCCTCACTTCCCCCGCCCCCCACCACCCTGCCCTCCGCAGCCTCTGGCTTCAGTTGTTGTTGTTGTTAACTATCAGTAAGGATCTAATTAAGGAATGCAGAAAGAAAATTCTGACCCAAGGAATTGGGGGCTGTGAAAATGAACAGAGGTCCCTCATCTGGAGGGAATGTACATAGGCCACATCAGGCCTGCCCGGGGTCTCTGTGGTGAAATTAGTAGCAAATTCTACAAAGACACTGAAATCACGGCCCCTGTGCTGGAAGCAGGTGCGTCTGCCTTTGACTAGAAAGCCTCTTCCCAGTGAGTTCTTCTTTCATGACTACTGCTGCTGGCCTCCCGTACAAAAGTTCATGTCCTCATTCAATCAGGTTGCTGTCTCCCCAGCAAGTTTAGGACTTGCTAGAACTATTTGCTTCTGTGTGTGGGATCAATCCCATGTCACTCATAGGCTAGACTTTTAAGTTTTGACATTTGGATAATGCAGCTACACAAACCTCTGTTCCCTGCCTGGGACCCCCAAGGCTGCAGTCGAGGGGCAGGAGTTCAGAGCACGGTTCAGAGTCAATGCCTATCAGGTACACTAAGGGTCCCACACGCTCTGTAGCTAACACTGTGATGTTTCTAGAATATCAGCTTCAGAGATACACAATACAGTTTTGTATTCTTTTCACATGCTGAGAACTAAACAACCATATTCATTATGTAGTTCTCCTATCAAGCAGTGGCTACTTTTCATCAAGAAATTCACAAGGTGATCAAACATTTGGGCAAGGTCACTCCTCAAGGGAGAAGGAGAGGAGCCCAGGAGAGCTGTGCTCTGGGCGGGCGCCCGGCACTAAGCTTAGATGGAAGGTGTTCAGCAGAGGGCTGGGCATGCAGCTGCGAGGTGGGCCGGGCAAAGCCCCACACACTGAAGCTTAGAAACTCGACTGCACCAGGCCTTTCTCATGTCCCTGCGCTGTGATGTGTCTGATGAGGGCAATGAGGGCAGCATTTACCTGAGCCCGTGAACACCTCCTCCACCAGACATTGGTGTGGTGGTGTCAGGCCATTCAGGCAGGGCTACGAGTTGCCTCCACCGGATGCCCCTGAGGCTCTCCAGATCACATCTGCCAGCTCCCCAGAGAGAGGACGCCGGCAAGGCAGGTTCAGAGCAGTTGCCGAGCCTCGAACAGCCTCTGCTGGACCGTTGCCGCTCCAGGGAGGCTTCAAGCAACGCCCTCCCCTGGCCGAGCCGCCCTCTCATCAGTCATCAGGAGCCGTGGGGAAATCACTCTGAGCCCCGAGGCGGGAGCTGCCGGCAATTGCCTGTGATTGATAGCACTAAATATGAAACCGCATGTACCTCATCCATGCAGCATGGAATCAGAGGCATATTGTTAGTGGGGGAGATGAATAGAACTTGAGATAACCTCGGCAAATTAGGCATATGTTAGCGTTAAGCTTTGTCAGTAAGCAGGCTATAAATTACAGACAGATTGTAACTCCATAAACTCTCCTAATGAATTGGATGACAGTGGTAATTCAATGCGAACACAGCAGCTTAACCCTTTTAAGAAGTCAGCCCCAGGCCTCCAGGATGCACCCAGCCAAAAGGCCCTGTCAAAGTCTGTCTTTAATATCTCCCTTGAGAGCATCTGCGGCAAGATAAAATAACTTCTTAACATTTTCTGCATATCAAAAACAAAAGTTCGAGACCCTATAGACAATTACATTATTTCATAGTTCATTCCTTTTTGAGTTTTTCTCCCCAGCACATAATTTTTATTATAGTTCTTTTTTCCTTAAAACGATCACACTAAATGCTAGGAAGGCAGAAGCCCTAGCGTGCCCTGCAAATGTGGGCGATTACCGAGCACATCGGGGGGTATCCTGCACTCTCAGGCTAAAGGCTCAGAGACTTTCACCAGAAGGAGAGGCGGTCTTTCCATACAAATGCACTACCTGCAGTGTCTTGTTGCAATAATGAAGTGGAATTTATAAATAAAAATAAGGTGCCGAGACAGACCCTGTGCGATTTGCGGCCATTACTGACAGAGGAACGACGTCAGTGACAGCTAAACTGAGGCTGTGAAGCTGTTTCATAATTTGCTGTATATTTTAGTAAAAGTTGCATGTAGAAATAACTGACAAATCAATGTTGATCAAAAGAAAACCTTAAATTCAAATGGGAAAATTAAAGGTAATATGTCATTATTTAAAATGTGTTGACATAGTAAAAAGCATTCTTTAGTTCCTGTTCAAAAGGAAGTAACACAAAATAGCACCAATGGGTATAATTATTGTATATCAGGTACAGCTACTGGTACTCATGTTACAAAACTAAGAATTTTAAAAATAAATTACCCTTATCTAGGTGTATTTTCTCTTCTACAGAACACAATCCTCTTTTACTACAGATGTTAAAGGAAACATGTTCTTTACTTCTTTTACCATGGTGTTAACAGTAGCCATCTCTTTCTTCATAGACCCACAGCACGTAATTCCAGCCAGACATTCAACCCCTGCGGATTTTATGTGAGCGGATCCACAGTATCATTTTCTATGGCTCTAGTAGAAGGTGTCTGTTCACAGAGCATTTCTACAGAGCCCAAGGGTCATATTTACAGTAGCGGGGAAATGAATAACAACTGTAACTATTTTACATATTCTGTTTCATCATTTGCTGTATATTTTAGTAAAAGTTGCAGGTAGAAATAACTTAGAAATATACAGCAAATTATGAAACAATGTAACTATTTTACATATTCGAGTTACACCTTTAGTCTGATGATCTTCCAGGACT
Organism: Homo sapiens; assembly: GCF_000001405.40. Taxonomy (NCBI): domain Eukaryota; kingdom Metazoa; phylum Chordata; class Mammalia; order Primates; family Hominidae; genus Homo; species Homo sapiens. The sequence goes on from NC_000013.11 coordinate 112,347,974, forward strand.
TCGGAGGGCAATGTTAGAATATCGTCTGTTTCAGTGACTCAGGCGCTGCAATCATTAAGGAATCTGAACAGTGCACCTTAAAAAATCTAATCTGGAAAACAATCTATGTACTTGTCCTTTGCCACTCAGACAGGAAATGGATAAATTCTGAACTAGCAAACTTCCACCGCTTTTGTGAGGCCGAGCGCATTCTTTTGTTAAGGTCAAGCGCACAGCCGTCATCTCACCTTTCTGGGATTCACTGGAAATCACTTTGCCTTCTCGGAGGCATCAGGCACAGCTCAGCTGGCCCTGTGTGAATGGAAGCCACAGGGACGGGAGGTTTTCAAATGTAGGAAAAAGTGACCCTGCTTCCGGGACCCCTTTCCCTGTCCCCATGCCAGGGACACTCCTGGTCTCAGCCTACCCCATGTCGGCCTCCTTGGCTATTTGTCCCCTGAGGCTCCGTGCATGCACTGGGTCTCAGGCAGACATTCTGTGGTTCTGGTGACAGACAAAAACACAGCCACTGATGCTCCAAACTTTGCAAATATTCTCAGCCCCTAAGGGTGGCCCCAGGATCTGAGCAGGCCCATTGGCCTGTTTTATTTGGCTTGCCTACTACTCAGAAAAGACAAGATTTCACATAAAAATCCAGCTTCCCATCCATTCTCAAAAAATCTGAAGAGCAACCATGCAGAGCCCACTCACCAGGGAACAATGCCTGGAGCCCCATCTCTGTGATTCCTTCTTTGGCCACAGGCCTGGCAGCCAATGCAGCCCCCGCCTAGCCTGGCATGAGCCTTCCCCTCTGTCCCTCTCACCCCTGGGCCACCCACAAGGATGTCAGTGTATGAGCCCCGGATGAGAACACCTGGGGCAGGTGCCACTGGCTGGCCTTGAGTGTGACTGTCCCCTGCTGGGAATTCTTTTTCTGTGTGTCTCTTTTGAAGTCCTGGTTTCCCAGTGAGCTTCAGTGAGGAAGAGACATGACTTTCATCGTTCTGACCTTTAAGGCGAAGTCCTTGACCAGCAGCCTCACACCCACCTGGGGGCCTGTTTGGGATACAGAGTCTCAGGCCTGCCCGGGGCCTGCTGAGTGTGAAGCTGTGATTTCACAAGATGCCCAGGAGGTGCTGTGCTCATTAACCTGTCCTCGAAGGCACCTCCAGCAGGACTTGGAGCAGGTGCACAGTCGGCACTGGCCAACGGCTGGCAAGAGGGTGGTGCTGGAGAGTGGAAAACCTGGACCCGATCCTGAAACAAACCAAGAAACCAACAGAAACCGCACGTGGGCCAATCAGCAGGGGGAAGCCACCGCCCCAGAATTCTAAGACCTTCAGGGAGTAACATGAAGAAAATTGTGGCCAAATTATGCAACCCCATTTTTTAGACAGACTCTGTGCCACAGAGTTGAATGATGCCTGTGAGTTTTATTGATAAGATTTCAAGAGGACTCTGAGAATTTGTCTTCCTTCTCAGGTGAGTGGGCTCTGCATGATTGCTCTTCAGATTTTTTGAGAATGGATGGGAAGATGAATTTTTGTGTGAAATCTTGTCTTTTTTGAGTAGCAGACAAGCCAAACAAAACAAGCCAATGGGCCTGCTCAGATCCCGGGGCCACCTTTAAGAGCCGGAGCTCAGCAGTGTTTAATGATCCTCTTCCACAAGCCCACAGCTCTGCTGGGAGGTGTGCTCCAGGGCAAAGAGGACTAGAAGGTGACTCCATTTCCTACATTTCCTACATTCCTCTCCAGTGCAAAGAGGAATAGAAGGTGACTGTTGTCCTCAAGGAGCTTAGAGTCTAGTGAGGGTGTTTGCAAATTTCTGTTTGTGGTGGGAAAATAACAAAGAAGAGGCCGTGAACCCTGAGGTCCTCACAAGCCCGCCAGCTTGTTAGTGATGCGGGTTCCCGGGCTGTAGCCCCGAAGACTCGAGCCCAGTAGCGCAGTGGTGAGACAGGCACCCCCCTTGGTACGAGCACCTGTAGACTCCCGCAGATGTGGTCAGCACCCTTCTCTGAAGCCCCGCAGGTGTTTGTCTCCCTCACACATATGCAAACACGTGTGCGTTTTTTAAATGAATGGAGAATACGGTACTCACTTCCAGCTCTGGAACAAGGGAGGCTTCATGAAAGAGGTGGCCCTGGAGCCACCCTGCCTGATGGCAGGACTGGCCTTGCCTTCTCACTGACACTTGCTCTGGTTGTCTTTCTAACTTCACCAAATTCAAGACTACATGGGAGAAGCTTCTTCTGCTCAGGCCCCACGTGAGAACAAACCACAGGCAGATTTGGGTTCATTGAGATAAGTGAAGTCTTTGTGCTTTCCCTTGGTCCCGACCTCCTGGCTGCAGCCTCAGGAATCCACAGCCTCTCCCATGAAGGGACTCAACTCTCCTCCCTTCCTCTGCATGCCGCAAGGAGCCATGCGCGCTGGGGTAGGGTGGAGGAGGAAGCCTGTGGATGTCACGGCCCCTCTGTCTCAAGTGCCTCTTGGGTGTCTCTCATGCGTGTCACCATCCACTCAGCATGTCTTCACAGAACTCCTGAGAGCAGGGCCTGACCTCCTGCCACCTCCCAGACAGGCTCTCCAGCGCCCTGGGCCCTGGCTCCGGCCCACGAGATGTGCTGAAGCAGCCAGCACAGCAGTGAGCCACTGCTCTGGTGACCCCATGATGGCCCGCTGTGCAGATGAGGCAGCAGCAGCTCCATTGAGCAAGCCAGCGCCAGCTCCTGTCCCGCCACAAATACACACATTCTCAGGAACAACCTAGTTTTTCTCATCTGTAAATGAGGAGCTGAGAAAAAACACCTCTTCCAGCACTTAAATACTATGATCAGAAACTGTCACTACCTTAAACCATCTCCCAAGTACTGTTCACCATGAGTAGCACCTTTGTGTTCCATTTGCTGGTAGCTCTCTTTGCAGATCTGTGTCAGATGTTGTGCACAGCTGTGCATGGCTGTAGGTGGTCGTTCATGTCTAAACGGTTGTAAATGTCTGCATTTGGCTGTGCCTGGCTTCTGGCAATTGTGAATGTGCATGATTGTGCATGTCTGTGAAAGGCTGTGCACAGCTGTTCATGGCTGGGAGTGGTTGTACATGATTGTGCTTGGTTGTGTATTACTGTGAATGATTGTGAATGTGCATGGGTGTGCATGTCTGTGCATGGCTGGGAATGATTGTACATAGTTGTGCATGGTTGTGCATGGTTCCACATGGCTGTGCCTTCCATGTGCATGACGGTGAATGTTGTAAATGTGCATAGTTGCACATGACTGTGCCTGGTTGTGCATGGCTTTGCATGGTTTTGTATGACTGTGAACGGTTGCGAACGTGCATGGTTGTGCATGGCTATGCACAGCTGGGAGTGGTTGCACATGATTGTGCATGGTTGTGCATGACTGTGAATAGCTGTGAATATGCATGGTTGCACATGGCTGTGCATGGCTGTAAGGTTGTGAAAGTGCACAATTGCGCATGTCTGCACATGGATGGGAATGGTTATGAATATCTGTGAATGGTTGTGCATGGTTGGTTATGCAGCTTTGAAGGACTGTGTATGGCTGTGAGTGGTTGTACATGGTTGTGCATGGTTGTATGTGGTTGTGAACTGTCTTAACAGTTCTCATGTGAGCAGGGTTTATGAGTTTCTACAAACACTGTATTTCCTCACATCCTCCATAATATGTGCCACATCTTCATCATAAACCTTATACTCTCTGTCTCTCTCTCTTTTCTCACTCACTCTTTCTCTCTCCCTCTTCTTTCTGCCCCTCCACAAAAGACAGAAAGCATGTGTACCTTGGTCTGTAACTTAATGAAAGCTCAGTCTCAGAGGCTGTAGGTGTCTGCCAGGTTGCAGAGATGTTGTGGGATCCAGTTCAATTGAAACAAAACAAGAACTTTTGCTAAAAGCTCTGCTAGAGATGCTTTCTGTATTAGATACATGTTGTCAACAACTCAGAGGAAATAAACACGTTTGGTTATAACTAACATGCACTGAGCACTCCGGGGAGCAGGTGCCATGCTAAGCCCTTTACTCAGGTTCTCTCATCTAATCCCAAGAACGCGGTCGGGGGGTATTGTTGTGATTCTATAGATGGGTTTGCATAGCCAGTAAGCAGTCCGGCAGGAATTTGAGAAAAAGGCACCTGGCTGCAAAGCTGCCAGTTGAACCACTGTGTCGTGGCCCTCTTAGTTTACACCCTCACGTCCATGAAGCATTTGAATTTCTCAAGATTCAAGGCATTTTTCAAATATGTTTTAATAGTGCAAAAAAATCCAGTGAATGTTGAGAAATATTTTGGGAATGGGAGCAATGTTTGTGAAGCTCCTGCCAAGCTGGCTGAGACTTAGGGCCTCTTAGTCTTGCTCAAGAAGGGAGTATTTGGGACACTCACAGTGCAAGGGTGGGGCCTTTCCAGCACCTGGGGGGTGAGGACCAGGGGCGTCAGGACCCCAGACTACAGGGAAGACCTCACCACGACAAACTTCCACTCAGAACAATCCTGTAGGTGAAAAGCCTGTTTCTATCTACCAAGGCCAACTCTGTTTTCTTCTGTAAACACAATAATATTTGTTGTATGGTTTTAGTATATACTGAATTCTCCAGTAATGCAACTACTTTGAAAATCAAGAGAAGTCAGTACTTTATTTTGTCAGAACATTATCGAGTGTTGTTTATCATTGAGGAAAATCATGCCACAGACAGGAAAATCCTGTCTTTACTGGCGTCTATGATGCATAGAGAGAATTGCTGGTGTATTGGTCTGCATTTGTAACCATTGCATTCATGAAAATCCTCTCTATTAGGATGCGTAAATCCAAATATCTTTAGATAGCTTTTATTTCAAAATACTGAACATAAAGTCTTCGTAACAGGCAGCCGAATGTTGCTTCACTTCTCTGAAACCCGACTGGCTCATGTGAAGGAAAGGCATGTGTTTGTCTACTTCATTATGTTTGTTCACACCGTCATGCCCAGGTGTTTACATATCGAAATACAGGCCGTTGTAAATTAACGTCCTTTGATGACAGTTTATTTTAATTAATTTCCTATCTATAATATTATTTCTCAGGAGTGTGGATTACTCATACTAGCTGTGACTTTCATTCCAAGTAAAGGAAAGTGACAACGTGTTTGTCATGAAAGCGGGTGCCATTGGTTTTCGATGGGGTTGGAAACCACAGCTCTGGGGGACACTGCCCTGCTTTGCCGCACGTTCAGATGATAGCGAATGGCTATGTGTTCAATGAGGCAGCTCTCTGTGCACGCAGTGGAAAACACACGTGTGTTCTGGGATAAATAAATAAATAATCCCTTTGATAAAGCAGGAAGTCTCTCTACAGCTTTCTCACTCTGCCACTGAAAAGCTGCTAGCTTAATAAAGCCATCAAAGTTTTCGCATTCTGACGCCACAAAGGCAGTGAATAGCGACAACTTTGACTTTTAATCGAAGCTGCAGCATTTGAAGAACAAGGAGCTCTTGAAGGCCTGGAAGCCCAGCACCCCCGGCCGCTCTCGTCCTTGGGGCTATGCGCCCGCCAGACGCTCATGATCACAGCACGAGGACGACTTGCTTTTTGAAAGGAGACCTCAATCTTGTTGCTTAACCCCCAAAACATTCATTATTTTCAGCCAAAGGATAACAAAAGTTATTTCAGAAATTTTTTTCAGCCTCATCTCTGGAGCACACTTCACCTCCTAACTTCCATTGACTTCGTCCCTCCCAGACACTCAGGAGGAGCTGGAGGACCTGGCCCAGCGATCGGAGCCTCACGGGGAAACAAGGTAGACTGCTGAGTCTCAGGAGATAAACATCTTAAAACGCTTTCAGATGTCAAATCAGTGGGCAGCAGGATTAAGAATGAGGGGGACAGGAAAGAATGGCAAGGGTAGCAAGGAAACAAGGCCTTCAGTGACAGGTGGATGGGACGGCGAGCTTAGAAAACATCAGCAGCTGCTAGAAATCTTCCTGGAGGTGATGATTCCCAGGCCCACTGGAAGCAGCACGAGGGTGCATTGTGAGCTGGGAGCAACTGAGGATCCAGGACCCACCGAGGATCCGGGACCCTGGGACCTCCCTGGACGTGCACCCAGGAGCTGAGCCACCCAGAAAACACCCAGCCGGGACACCCAGGGAAGGCCGGACTCAGCAAAGGAGCCCCCCACCCCATCCAGGTGGGGTCCTGGAAAGTGGGGCCCCAAGGCCTGGAGGTCAGGGAATTGCGTCGGGGGAGATGGTGGCAAATGGAGACTGCGCCCTGGCCCAAGAGCCCCAGAGACTGTGCCAGGTCTGCAGCCTCAGAGGGGCTTTGGGGAAGCAGCTTTCACTCTCTGGGCTGCCAAAAAGGCGTCCGGTGATGTGACCGTGACCTCTGAGCCACTGGACCCACCACTGGCCCTCTGTGGCCACCGCAGGCCCCACCTGCCAACAGGGCCCCCGCCCATGGCTACCCAGGGACAATCCTCTTGTGTCACCTTTAGGGGCTCTCCAAGCTCAGCTTCCTCCGACCCGGCCTCCCTCCCTGGGGCCAGCGCAGAATTGTGGAGGGGCAGAGGGTGCTGAGTGCCCGCACCCCTGTCTCACCCCCGTCTCCCCGAGGGGATTGCAGGCTCCTCACTAGCCGGGAGGGTTCAGATCCATCAGACGGGCCTGGCACGGGGTGAAGCTGTGAGGGCAGAAGCCAGAGTCCAGGGGCACAAGGTGACCCAACACCCAGCACTCGACGCAGAGCACCACTCACCTGATCCTCCCTGCTTCCGGGGACCATGCTTTACAGACAAGGAAATGGAGGCTCTGGAGCTTAGGTGGCATCTGAGGGCACAGGGACGCCGGGACCACCCCCTGCTCCCCAAGGCACGGCGCTCTCCTGCCTCTCATGCGCAGGTAGACCCTGTGCGTGTGATTGTCCCAGCACCGTGGTGCAGGAGCTCAAGCCCGGAGCAAGGCCTCAGGGGAGGGAAGGGAGACAGAAGGGGGAGGGCCACCTGTCTGGCCATGGGGGTCACATGGGGTGGTGCCGTCAGAAGCCGCAGGTGTTTTTATTCAAATCAAATCAATGTTATATTTAAATTAACTTTAATCAGGTGTGTCATTCAAGGCTAAGCCGGCGATGGGGGAAGGGGGCGTCTGTGGAAAGGTCCAGGTGGAAGTGAGAAAGGGAAGCGGGCACCAGGCCCGTGGCCCCGGTTGGAACACCAGGTGTGAGCGGAGCCCACTGGGGGCTCTGCCTGCTGGAGACGGCCACTCACCCCTTTGGCCTCCATCTCAGTCCATTTGGGCTGCTGTCAAAATACTATAAACTGGATGGCTTGGAACAAAAGTGTATTTCTCACAGTTTTGGAGGCTGCAAGTCTGACATAAAGGCACCGGCGGATTTGGCATCTGGAGAGGGCTTCCTGGTTTGTGGACGGGGCCTTCTCACTGGTTCCTCACATGGTGGAACGGGTGAGGGAGCTCTCTGGGCCTCTTTTGCAAGGGCACAAATCACACTCGTGGGGACCCACCTTCATCACCATCTGAACTGATCCCCTCCCAAAGGCCCCACCTCCCGCCACCATCACCGTGGGGCTGAGCATTTCGATATACGAGTTTCCTGGGGGACATGAACTAAGAGCATGGTGGCCCCCACCACGCCCGCTGCGTCCCCCTGGGGGTCTCCTCCTCCCGTCCTCATCTTGGTCTATGCCCCTTGCCCTCCTGGAACCCCTGCTGCCTCCTCTCCCTTTCTCTACTCTGCACATGCAGGCAGAGAAGAGCTGGCAGTGTGGAGATGGGGCGGGCACCCACAGAGGGGCACAGGAGCCCACCCCAAGCTGGGCACAGCAACGCTGTGGTCCTGCAGAGCAGGCAGCCCTGGGATGGTTCATGAGGGCCTAGCACACAGGGCACCTTAGAGCCTCCCCTAATGTGAAGTCCTTCCGTGAAGCTCACAGAGCAGGGAAATACATCTGAAAACAAAACCAAACTTGGATGAGACATCACCTCCAAGGTGAAACAAATTTGGAAAACTTTCCAGTGAAAGTACCTTGAAGAGACTTTAGGTTTGTATTAATTTAGATATTGCATGATTATGCTGCTATCTCACCCCCAGGAGGGAGCAGTGGGGCCCCCTCCTGCTCCAGCAACGGCCTTTCTCCATCGCCATCTCATTTCCGAGCCAGGCAACGGACGACCAGGGGCAGAGCGTCCCTGCTATGGGGGCCAGATCAGGGTTCACCTCCACTCCTAAACTGAGGAAAGGACACCTTTTTTAAGGTCAAAATTAATTTTTAAATTGCATCAAATTATCTCAAATAAAAGCATGTAGGGACATGCACATGGCCCCCTGGCTGTTTCTCAGCGCGTGTTAGAGAAGGAGGGCGTTTTCAGCCCAGCCACTGGGACGCCTGTTTCCCGCGGTCTCCAGAACAGTGCCTCCATGTGCTGCGTGGAGAGAGACTCAGAGTGTTTTACCTGCTCACACCCCAAACGCCAGGCTCCTTGTGCTGAAACGATGGCTCTGGTCTATGCCCTGCTAAGCGCTTGGCACGACTACGATCTCGGAATAAAATTAGTCTTTGATTCTTCATCCCAGTGGAAATTGCAGGGCTCCAGCCTCTCCACTTTCTTAATGGTTTCTTCACTACAAAGACTCAATTGAATGACCCTGTCAGCCATCTCCAAGGTTTGGAATTAAATGTACCTAAGTGTAAATCAATAGAAAGGGAATCAAAAACTAAAAGGCTGGATTATTTTTGCAGATCTCTTTGTGCAAAACAAGTTTGCATTGAACCCGGGACCACCTGCGACCCCAGAGCAGCTCCGCCTTCCAGCTTCAGGTACATGAATATAATGGAGGAGCTTTGATGAGCAAAGATTAATCACAAGATCTATCAAAATGGAATTATGATTTTGACCCACTCACCTCCAAGAGCTGCTGGATAGCAAAATTAGAAAATCCGGAACTATAAGTGTTCCATTTTAAACTGCAAGAGATACTGCGCTGGCAAGCATCTCCTCAGCCCCTCCTCATTCCAGACTCAGGTGACCCCAGTCCTTCATGCAGATTTGGAATGCGTTGCATTCTCAAACAGTGGGATATGCAAGAAAGATCCACAGGCGTATATAGAACCCAGTGCAAGGCAGCTCTCGGCGCTGCCAGCACCTCCCCACTCCCTCTAAGCACAGTACCTCCAAAAACTCTGGAGCTTCCTCTGGTCTCATACCTCTGGCAGCGACCCACCTGCCACCTTTGCCAGTCTGTGCATGTGCGAAACCTCAGACTTGCCAACCCACTACCTTGGCTACAAAACCTGTTTTTAATTTCCTCTTAGACACCAGTGCCTGGTAAATTATTAGCACGTCGTTTCTTCCAGGAGTGTTTCATGTTGCAATGGTAGCCCCCGTAACACAACATGTTAAGCAAAGGAAGAACATTCTGACAGTAAAAATGCAGCCACCTGAGCTAATCAGAAGGCTTCTTTGTGCCTCAGGTTGTAAGGAGCTGCACCTTCCCAACCTCTGGTTGGTTCTATGGACCACTGCCAAATTTCCAGTGGTCAGCAGGAGCCCATACAAGATGGCAGAACTAATATTCTATTCCAAACATTCACAAATCAAAGTGCCAAAGCTGTAGGGTTTTATTCATTCTGCATTGCTGTAGGAAATACGAGTTTTGCCTTCAGCTTCAGTAAAGCTGAAGCCTGGGTGAGTGGGCGCTGGATGCTTAATTTCGGGGTCAGCAAGTGAGAAAAAGTTTTCACTCATCCATCACAAAATTTAAGAGTAGTCAGAGTGAAGCTTTTTTGCTAAGTTGACCTTATCTGTAAAACATGTGAATGACAGAGATCTTTGAACATTAAAAAAACAACAACAAAAACAAACAAACAAAAAAACTGACACGTTCTACATCTTATCTGGGACCTCGGAGTTCTGGAATGCACCTGTCTAAATGAAGGCTAGAAAAGAGCTTGGGAGATGTGGGGGAGTGAAAGAAAGTAAATGGAGAATTTGGGGTCAAAAAGAAAAAAGTGTGTGTGTGTGTGTGTCTTGTGGCTGTGTCGTGGTTTTATGTATGTAAGTGTGTGTATGTGTATATGTATGTGGTGTGTGTATATTTTCTGTTTGTGGTGTGTGTATGTGTATATGGGATGTGTATGCATGTTGTATGTGTGTGGTGAGTGTGTATGCATGTGTATGTGTATGTGTGATTATGTATGTATGTGTAGGATGTGCTTGTGTGCGTGTTGTGTATAGTGAGTGTACATGTATATGTATGTGCGATGTATATATGTATGGGTGTAGAATGCGCACGTGTGTATTGTGTGTGTGGTGAGTGTGGATCCTTGTGTGTAATGTGTGTATGTGGAATGTGCATGTGTGTTGTGGGGGAGTGTACATGCATGCACATGTGTGATGTGTGTATGTGTGGGTATGTGTGTATATGTGTGTAGACTGTGCATGTGGGTGTTGTGTGAGTGTACATGCATCCATATGTGTTGTGTGTGTGTGTAGAATGTGCATGTGTGTTGGAGTATACACATATGTGTATGTGTGATGTGTGATGTATGTATGTATAGTGTGTATGTAGGGGAGGATGTTTATGTGTTGTGTGTGTAGTGTGTATATGCATGTGTATGTGTAATGTATGTGTGGGTGTATATGTGTGTATGTGTGTAGGATGTGCATGTGTGTTGAGGGAGTATATATGCATGTGTATGTGTAGTGTATGTGTGGGTGTATATGTGTGTATGTGTGTAGGATGTGCATGTGTGTTGGGGGAGTATATATGCATGTGTATGTGTGATGTGTGATGTGTGTGTGTGTATGTAGTGTGTATGTAGGGGAGGACGTTTATGTGTTGTGTGTGGTGTGTATATGCATGTGTATGTGTACATGGGATGTGTATATGCATATGTGTTGTGGTGTGTATGTGTGTATGGTCTGTGTGTGTCTATAACAAATAACCAAATGACTGGATCTCTATGTTTTGAAACAGAACCCCTTAATTCTGTTTGGAAAACGATGTTCTTGCTGTGGACATCGGGATTTCTGTTCCCCAGGAAGAGTGATGGGTCTGCCACAACCTGATATTTCTCCAAGAATAATTTCAGGTTAAAAAACATCCATAGTAAGGTGAAGGTCTCAGCAAATGTGAAATAACATCTCACTGCCAGTTCCCACGTCCCAGGCAAAAATTCCTTTAAGTTAATTATACATTATCTGAACCAGTGTGTACATGTTCAGTCTCTTCATATCTGTACACATCTTCTAGCACTTTTGTTCTGATTTCTAAAGAACCTTGACTAATTCACTTTAGCAAGAAGCTAATCCCGCACTGTAGGGCTAAGTATAAAACAAGTGACATTCTCAAATGGGTGACAGAAACGTGCAGGCGAGGGATCATTAAGTGTTCATTAGCCACGTGCCGTCACGTTAACCATGGGGTGTCGCACCAGTTTTCTCTTCTTTGTCATGAGCCAGCACTATCCCCCTTTCATGGAGCAAACCACCAGGGCGAATGGTGCCCACACCTCCCGCTTCCACTCTGCTTGTCACACAGTGGTCCCTGAGCTGCATTTCCATGACCACAGTCTTAGAAGTCCACTCAGAAGAGGCTGTTACCCAGGCCTGTTGGTAACAGTGGTGAGTAACTGAAATGGTCAAGTACCAGAAAAAATATATTTTTTCAGACTATTCAATATATACAACTGTTAGAGCCATGTGTGAATATAGTCATTTTCTTTCAACTCATGATTTTAGAATCTTAAAGATGGCCACGTAACCCAGACATTTAGGATTCCCAGGTTTGTTTTTATTTTATTTTCATTTTTTAATAATTTCCATTTTATTTTAGATTTGGGGGTACATGTGCAAGATTGTCACATGGGCATGTTGTGTGATGCTCACAGACTGAGGATAGTACCAACAGTTACTTTTGCAGCCCTTGCCCCACTTTCTCCCTCCCACTTCTAGTCCTCCCCTGTGTCTATTGTCGCCATCTTTATGTCTATGAGTACCCAAAGTTTAGCTCCCACTCATAAGTGAGAACACATGGCATTTGGTTTTCTGTTCCTGCATTAATTTGCTTAGGGTGATGACTCGTAGCTGCATCCATGTTGTTGCAAAGACGTGATTTTGTTTTTTTATGGCTGCATAGTATTCCATTATGTAAATGTACCACATTTTCTTTATCCAGTCCACCATTGATGGGCATCTAGGTTGATTTCATGTCTTTGCTATGGTGAATAATGCTACGATGAACACACACATACATGTGTCTCTTTGGTAGAATGATTGTTTTCCTTTGGGTACATACCCAGTAATGGGATTGCTGGGTCAAATGGTAGTTCTGTTCTAAGTTAAGAAATCTCCAAACTGCCTTCCACAGTGGCTGAACACTTTACATTTCCACCAACAGTGCATGAGCATTCCCTTTCCTCTGCATCCTCACCAACATGTGGGGTTTTTTTGTTTGTTTGTTTTTGTTGTTGCTGATTTTTACTTTAATAATGGCCACTCTCAGGTCCACCTACACTAAAAATGGCCCCAAAATAAATCGGTTGAAGAAATTAGATCCCAAAGATTCTTGATTTTTTCCTAGGTGAATTTTGAAGTCTTCATCAGTCTATCCATATTAAAAGGAGATGACAGAAGCCAAAATAAAAGAATTATAGGCTGACAGGACCACTGGATTAAAATAAGCATCAGTTTCATTAAAAAGGGCTAACTTGAAAATAAATCTTTTGAAGACAAATTGTTACTCCAGCTCTCTAAATAAAGTGACCTTGATGGACAGAGGAAGAAATCACACCATGGAATTCCTTGAGTAAATTTATTGACTTTAAAAATAATAATAATAATAATGGCCATTCTGACTGGTGTGCAAAGGCATCTCATTGTGGTTTTGACTTGCATTTCTCTGATGATCAGTGATGTTGAGCATTTTTTCACATGTTTGTGGGCCATTGGCATGTCTTCTTTTGAGAAATGTCTATTCATGTCTTTGGCCCACTTTTTTAATGGAGTTATTTGGTTTTTGCTTGTTTAATTCATTAAGTTTCTTATAGATTCTGGATATTAGACCTCTGTTGGATGCATAGTTTGCAAATATTTTCTCCTATTCTGTAGGCTGTCTATTTACTCTGTTGATAATTTCTCTTTCTATGAAGAAGCTCTTCGGTTTAATTAGGTCTCACTTCTCAATTTTTGTTTCTGTTGCAATTGCTTTTGAGGACCTAGTCATAAATTATTTACCAAGGCCAATGTCCAGAATGGCGTTTCCTAGGTTTTTTTCTAGGATTCTTATGGTTTGTCGTCTTATATTTAAGTCTTTAATCTGTCTTGCATTGACTTTTGTATATAGTGAAAGGTAGGGGTCCAGTTGCACTCTTCTGCATATAGATAGCCAGCTATCCTAGGACCATTTATTGAGTGGGGTGTCCTTTCCCTGTTGCTTATTTTTGTCAACTTTGTTGAAGATCAGGTGGCTCTAGGTGTGCAGCTTTATTTCTGGGTTATCTGTTCATTCTTTTGGTCCATACGTCTGTTTTTGTACCAGTACCATGCTGTTTTGGTTACTGTAGCTTTATAGCATAGTTTGAAATCAGGTAATGTGATGTTTCCAGCTTTGTTCTTTTTGCTTAGGATTGCTTTGGATGTTTGGGCTCTTTTTTTGTTCCACGTGAATTCTAGAATAGTTTTTTTTTTCTAATTCTGTGAAAAATGACATTGCTAGTTTGATAGGAATGGTGTTGAATCTGCACATTGCTTTGGGCATCGTGCCATTTTAATGATGCTGATTCTTCCAAGCCATAAGCATATTTGTTTGTGTTATCTATGATTTCCTTCAGCAGCGTTTTGTAGTTATCTTTGTAGAGATCCTTCACCTCCTTGGTCAGATGTATTCCTCGGTATTTTATTTCTTGTGGCTATTGTGAATGGGATTATGTTCTTGATTTGCTCTCAGTTCAAATGTTATTGGAAATGCTACTGAATTTTGTATATTGACTTTGTATCCTGAAACTTTTTACTGAGGTCATGTATGAGTTCTGGAGCCTTTTGACAGAGTCTTTGGGGTTTTCCAGGTATCAAATCGCATTAGTGAGAACAGATAATTTGACTTCCCCCTTTCCCTGCTAGGATGCCTTTTATTTCTCTCTCTTGCCTGATTTCTCTGGTCAGGACTTCCGGGATTCCCAGTTTTAATTCTTAGTCACTCTTAGTTCCAACAGTTGGAGCACCGACAACTGTGAATTTATGACTGTACTCCACAAAGAATGTCTAGGCATTTAACCATGCTGTCTGCATTCAGTAGCTATCGGGAATAACAGCTGTTAGACTTGAGCAAACGTATTGATGGGAACATGGCTAGGAAACATCTTTAAAGTTTCTTTAACCCTGTTTCCCTGTTTGTCCTGCCAGCTAATGATATTCTTTGAAAGAAAAACTGAATTTAAACTCTGCTAACAGAGGCCTAACTCCATAGCAATGTGTTTTACAAATAGTAGGTCTTGATAAACATTTCTAGCACAGTTTTACATCGAACTCATGATCAACACTTTTCTCCTAGTTTTCCAATTAATAATTCTATGTAATCAAGTATTTTTTTCTTTCACTGTGATGTGACTCCATCCTCATACAATGTATTTTGTATTTGATTTTGCCAAAATTATTTCTTAAAGCAACATTGGATTCTTTATTTGAATTCAAGAAACTAATACAAAACGGAGCCTGAATATATGGAATTGGTCTCAGAGAACACACTTGCCCAGATTTTCCAGGCCAGTCTTGGCCATCCTGGGAAACTCTGCCATTTTGTGCTACTGGTTTCATAGCCAATCGTGGCCAATATACTGGATTGTATCACATGTAGAAATCTACAATTAATCTGATTCCATGTAATCTGATCCTCTCAGCAGACATACTCCATAAGAAGACAAGAAAAAGGAAGGAAAGGAAAGGGAAGGGAAGGGAAGGGAAAGGAAGGGAAGGGAAGGGAAGATGGATAGATGGATAGATGGATGGATGGTTGGATGGATGGATGGATGGTATAGAAAGCTTTTAGGAGATTTTCTTTCTCAGGTAAATATTTTGCTTTCCCAGAGGAGACAGCATTCCCCCTTGGCATTTCACTTTTGTCTCCAACACTTAGAATTTCTAGTAGCGGGACCTCTGGACTGCAGGGCTATTATAGACCACTGAGGTCAAGGTTGATGCATCCAGGAAGGTGCCCTGCATTTTCTTGCTAGTCTTCAAAGACTCCTCCTGTGGACACTTCCTGGGCAGGAAGTGTCATTGGCCACGATCCTGCTGTGACCCTCCATTCTGCATCCAGGTTCTTTCTGCCTTTTAAAGCATCGGCATAATGTCTCTACAATTAATCTGTAAAGCAGCAGAACTTTGTGATTCTGACACAGTTAATCGTTCCCAGTATCTCTATTTAAAGCTTTCTAAAGACAAAAGTAAAGAAGACAATTATACAGATTGCAGAGACCAGAGTAAGATAAGCTTGGAGAGAAAGAGAAACTCAGAGAGCCAACAACAATATAACATAAACAGCTCAGCAAATAATAGTGCAATTTCCCAGCTAATAGAATGGTTTAACACCTGAATACATTCACATGCCTGATTAAGCACTAACAACATACATCCATAAAGGAAGATTATAAGTTGTAATATGCCTTTGCAAGAAGCAGCATATTAACCACTATTTGTATACTTCTCCAATTACATTCCTTTAATTCTTTCATTTAGAAAACAGTTTACATTATAATAGCCAGCATCACTTCTGTTTTTAAAACAATTGGTTATGTGTATATTGCCAAATTATGGGTCTACGGGATATTTTCATAAGAGAAAACAATTGCCAACATGCCTGGAAAAGGATCTTTAACTCCCCTGGAAAAGGGGAGTCTGGTGACATACGGATGCATGGCCATTCCTTCTCACTATGCCAACGCTTCCCAGTGGGTTGAACAGCCCATTTTTTCTTCTCAAGTTTTCTGTGAGCAGAGATTTGTCTTGCAGACATGAAACCCGGACAGTGTGGGCCTGTCCAGCTCCCTTCTTGCTCCCTGTGTGCTCCATCCAGGAGCCCAGCCCTCCCAGGTCACTGCACCCACCGGGGTCTGCATGCTGGTTTGTCGCCAGCTATTCTGTGGCAAAGGCCTCCAACACACCTTCCCTACCCAAATCCCAGCACCCTGCTGGTCCCACCCAGCTCAGTATCTGGCCTGCACAGGGTCTCCCCTGGGACCCAAACATGGCAGAAACCAAGATGCAATCAGCAACAGCAACAGAGCCTTGGAGACAAAAGCCAAACCAGCGAAAAGCACCACCGTTCGGACCAGAGCAAGCCAGGCACTGCCTCCTTGTGATAAGCAACAGGAAACTCCAGGTGGAGGCAGGAGGAGCCTGGGCGGTGTTGGGGCTCAGAAGGCCACACCCCAAAGCCTGGCTGGGACCAGCTGAGAGGCCCAAGGAGCTGTCTCCGAATTAGGGCCCCCTGGCCTGGACGCCAGCCCCGCCAGGTGCTGAGAGGGGCTCTCTCTGGAATTCCTTGTCTGCCTACCAAAGCAGCTTCAATGCAGTTGTCTTACATCTCCCACCCTGGGAATCTCATCAATGGCCACGAAAGCTCAACCATCTGGGAAGGGAGGGAACAGGGGTTCCCCACACCTGGACTTCTCATCTGTTCTTCCAAGAGCAACTTCAAGGGAGGTTTTGGGGGACTTGATCTGCATAGTGAGGCGACCTTTATTCTCGTGCAGCTCCATCCCCCACCTTCCTGCCTCCACCTCCCGGGGCCATTCACTTTTCCCTGATGATTTATTGTCCCTCAGAAGAACTTCCCACCCTCGCCAACCCCCCACTCCCCTGTGGAAAAGGACACATCAGCCTCTGCACTGTGCAACACATTTGGGAAATCACTGCAATTTCCCCCAGGCCCAGTCATGAACTGCACGTGCCTTTTCTCTGATCAATCTGCCTTTTATCAGTTGATTTTGGACCAAACCTTCAGAGGGTGGGTAAAGGGGAAGTGAGCACACAGAGAGGCAGGCACAGCCAAGGAGCCACCCTGGGCAGGTGCAGCCTAAGCTTTGGCTCTAAGTGGAGAAGCTGAGCCTGAGAAGTGAGGTCTGGCAGGGCAGGTTGAGTCGGCATGGACCTAGGGAGGGTCCTGCCCCATGGCCACACACCAGCAATGCTGCTACCAGGGAAGTCACAGAGGAGGGGCTGGGCCCAAAGAGGGTTGAAGGGTTGTGCTTTGAAAGCCAAGTTCGAGGTCAGGGACGGTTGGCACTGAGGGATCCCAGGGCTTCACAGACCTGCTCAAAGGAACACAATTTTTCCCAATGTCCTAGGAAAGTATGACAGCAGAGGGAGGGGCTTGGTCCCAGTCTAATGGTGTAGAAAGAATGCCAAGACAATAAACAAGCAAGCCACCCTTCTATGCATTAACTTACTGCTATCAACTGGATTCTGTGCCCCCAAACACGTGTGTTGGCGCTGTAACCCACAATGAGATGGTATTTGGAGCTGGTACTTTAGAAGCTAATTAGGTTTAGATGAGGTCAGGAGGGTGGGGTCCCCATGATGGGATTCCTGTCTCCATAAGAACAGGAACAGGTCAGGGTCCTCTCTCTGCCATGTGAGGACACAGCAAGGGGGCTGCTGTCTGCACATCAGAGAGAGAGCCCTCACCAGGAAATGAATCTCCCAGCACCTTGATCTTGGACTTCCAGCCTCCAGAACTATAGGAAATCAATGTCTATTGATTAAGACACACAGTCTGTGGTATTTTGTCCCACAGCCTGTGATGACCAAGACACTCACTTAACACCATAAAGGGGTGTGGTAAGAACACAGCACGAAGGACCCAGCTCCACCCTCACTGCTCCCACACCTGTGTCCTCCCACTTGGGGCTGGTGCCCAGCTCCACCCCTTAGCCCTGGCTGAGCCCCATGCACTGTGGTTTGTAAGCAAACAACACACCATCAAAAGCTGGGAAGTACTTACACCCAAGTCCTGATGGCCCCTGCTCCTTTTCCACCACGGTCATGAGAACATGCCCAAGCCAGCCTGAGGGGAGAGGCACACGGTCTGCATCTCCACAATACCAGCTGAGAGCCAATTGCCGTGAGTGAATGAGAATAGCTGAGTGAGCCCAGCCCAGACCTGAAGAACTGCCCAGCTCAGCCTAGCCAATGCTGCTGGCCACAGACTGAGTTTTGGGGTGGTTTGCCATGCAGCATTATGGTGAAAACAAATGGCTTAGGCCTGTAGGAGCTATCAGCTCAGAGGCTCAGAGGGGTATTTGATTTGTCTGAGGTCATCAGCTAGTAAGCCACTGACCAGGAATTAAATCGAGCTGGTATGACCATGCTGAGCACTTAGCCTAGTGCACACTGCCTCCCAGAGCCTAACCCACCATGGACACATGTCCTGCAAGCATGCACTCATAGAGATGCATGGATTGGACTAGAGGAAAATAGGAGTTGCATCTGCTTCCCTGCTATTCCCACTGAGGACAAGAGAAAGCCCCGGATGCTGTCCACAAGACAAATAGAAGAAGTCTTAGAGAGGTGGAGGGAAGAAGGCAGATCAATTGGGGACCTTGGATTGAGGAATTGCCCAGGAGGGAGTTCCCTGGGTTTTCCTTTTGCCTCATGTCTCCCAAGTGGGTGCTGGAGAAGCTGGCAGCACAGAGATGGCCATGGATTCAGACCAAAAAAGACTCTGGAAAAGCCTACCCTCTGCAGCCACAAGACCAAGGAAGTAGCAGCCCTGCAGGACACAGTAACTTCTCTCCTCCAGCCAAACACTACGGAGCTGTGGCCCTGTCCCCACCCCTCCAGCAGAAGTCAAGTGGGGAGCCTGGACTTCTGCCCTCAGCACACTGTCATGAGATGCCCCAAACCCCTCTTTGGGTGGCATGGGAACAGGCTGATGGAGGGGGGCTTGGACTTCCACCCCCACCTGGTGGTAACAAGGCCATTCTCCTCCCCACCAGGATGGTGACAAGGGAGGCAGCAGGAAGTGGGAACTCTCATCACCCCCCCCAGCAGTCATGAGGCCACCACCCCTGTAGTATCACCTGGGGCCATGTGGAACCAGTAACAAGGCACTCCTGCTCCACCTGCTGCCAGCCGTGCAGAGGAGCCCCACCGTGCCAGTATCAATGAGGGCAGAGAGGGAAGCTGGACTTCCACTCCCAGCGTGACAGTGACACGATGGCACCTGCCCTCACCCAGGGTCAGAGAAACCTGCTAAATGGCAAGATGCAGGTAAAATGCAGAGTCTTACAATATGACACACAAACTGCCCAGGTTTCCATCAAAAATCACTTGTCATATCAAGAACTAGGAAAATCTCAAATGGAACAAGAAAAGACAACTAACAGAGACCAACACCAAAATAACACAGACATGAGAATTATCTGACAAGGGTGTTAAAGCAGTGATCATAAAAATGCTTCAACAAACATTTACAAACACTCTTGAAACAAATGAAGAAATAGAAAGTCTCAACAAATTAAAGGTTTCAGCAAACAGTAGAAAATTTAAAAAAAAGAACCAAATGGATATTTTAAATCTAAAAATACAATATCTGAAATTCTAAAAATCACTAGATGGGATCAATAGCAGCATAAAAAGACAGAAAATAATCAGCAATAATATAAATTTCTCAATGTAATCCACTATATTAGCACACTAAAGAAAAAAGAATTACATGATCATATGTATTCATGCAGGAAAAAAATGACAATTCTTTCCAAAATGACACACAGGTTTAACACAATTTTCATCAAATTCCAGCTTTTCTTTTGCAGATATAGACAAGATTATCCTAATATGTAACATGGAAAGCCAAAGGAAGAGGAGTAAACAGTTTTGAAAAATAATACTAAAGTGGAAGCAATTGCCCTTCCCATTTCCCAGACTTTCATGTTGCTTCAGCAGTCAGGACAATGTGGCACTGGAGAGGCATAAACACGCAGATTAACCAAATAGCAGAGAGAGCCCAGAAATAGCCCCACACACGCATGGCCAGCTGGTTTTTAACAAAAAGCCGAAAGCAAGTCAATGGAAGAAGAACAGAGCACCAATTTAAATGTAAGTCTTATCACGGAAACATCCAGAATAATTTTTTTTTTGAGACAGTTTAGTTCTTGTCACCCAGGCTGGAGTCCAATGGCTCATCTTGGCTCACTGCAACCTCCACCTCCCAGGTTCAAGCGATTCTCGTGCCTCAGCCTCCAGAGTAGCTGGGATTACAGGTGCGTGCCACCACACCCAGTAAATTTTTGTATTTTTAGTAGAGATGAGGTTTCACCATGTTGGCCAGGCTGATCTCGAACTCCTGACCTCGGGTGATCCACCCGTCTCAGCCTCCCAAAGTGCTGGGATTACAGGTGTGAGCCACTGCACCCAGTCCAGAATAATTTTTGACCAAATGTCTGGGTACCATGGCCCAGCCAAGCTGACATAAATTTAATCATCGCAGAGCCCAATGGAAGCACAAGGTCTTTATAAATCAAGAGAAAGGCAGAAGACAGAACTGGAGATGGGGAGACTTTGCTGCTGGAGAAATGTGGGCAGCCCCGGATGGTGGAGGAGACAAGGAGACAGATTTCCCGGAGCCCCCAGAGGAAATGCAGCCACACAGCACCTGGCTTCAGCCTCGAGGCCCAATTTGGACTTCTGGCTTTCAGAACTGGTAAGATAATAAATCAGTGTTGTTCTAAGGCACTAAATTTGCAGGAATTTGTTAGAGAAGCAATAAGAAACTAGTTCAGGTGTGAACAGACATGTTCCCAAGAGGGTGCACAGGTGGCAAGCACGCAAGAAGACGTGAGCATCACCAGCTGTTGGGGAAATGCAAATTAAGGTCACAAGAGATTGCCACTACACTCCTATCAAACAGCTACAATGCAAATACAGCCAATAGCACATACGGGCAAGGACAGCGAGAAGCTGGATTTCGCATATGTTGCTGGTGGCCATGGAAAATGAAACAGGGACTCTGGAAATAGTTGGGCACTTTCCTGAAAAACTGAACCTACACATGCCACATGACCCAGCAATTGCACTGCTAGGCATGCACGCCAGGGGAGCGAAAACTTACGTCCACACAAAACCCATACACAGTTGTCTATATTAGCTTTATTTGAAACAGCCTCAAACTAGAAAGGACCAAAGAGTTCTTCAATACAAGAACAGATAAGCAAAGTGTGGTGCAGCTATGCCATGGAGTGCCTGCTGCTCAGCCATGAAAAGGAACTGTTGACGCAGCCAGTGACTTGGATCAATGTCGAGGGCATTATGCAGAATAAAAGAAAAGCCCATCTCGGAGAAATCACCCTTCTAGATAATATTCTCACACGACAAAATTACATACAAGGAAAACAGATGAGTGCTGGCTATGGGAGGACGTAGAGGGCAGTGTGATGGAGAGCTCATGGATGTGGAACAGTCCTGTGTCTCAAATGCAGCTGTGGTTACACAAATCTACACATGATAAAATGACAGAACCACACACATGCATTTCACCAATAGAGGCAGTCCCTGATGTATGTTCAGCTTACAACTGTTTGACTTTATGACGAAACAAAAGCCATCCACATTCAGTAAGAAACTGCACTGTGAGTTTTGACCCTTTCCTCGGCTAGTGATACGTGCTGTGATACTCCCTTGCCCTGCAGGGCAGCAAGGTGCAGCCCCCAGTCAGCCGGGGAATCACGAAAGTCAACAGCCCACTCTGTGTGTTGCTAGAGATTTTTGGATACTCTGTTTTGTGTTTTCACATCCCATCATGTCTACAAAATGCCCACCTGTGTAAAGTATTCAACACTTTAGTATAAAATAGGCTTGATGTTAGATAGTTCACCCAACCGTGGGCTAATATAAGTGTTCCGAGTAAGTCAGGCTAGCAATCTCTGGTTAATCTGGTAGGTTAATCACCTAAACTACCAACTGTGATTTGGTGTATTAAATGCATTTTTGACTTGTGATATTTTCAACTTATGATGGGTTTTTCAGGAGGTAACCTCATCATAAGTTGAGGGATGTCTGTAATGTTATTTTGGTCTGTCTTTTGCTTGATATTTCTTTATATGTATATATCAAGGAATTTCAAGAAATGTATATATATATTTAAATATATACTTATTTATTTAAATATATGTAATTATTTAACCATATGTACTTATTACTTATTTTATATGTACTTATTAAATATATATTTAAATATATACTTATATATAAATAAATAATATATAAATATATATTTTTTTAGTGTGCAGCAAAAAACAGAAGGAACTGTGATGCATTAATCTATTTTGCCCATTTACACTTACCTGGTTTTGCTACTGTACTAAGTTATGTAGAATGTAAACATGGAGTAAACTGAGCAAAGAGCATGCAGGACCTTCTTGTACATTTCTTTGCAACTTCCTGTGACTCTGTCATCATTTCATAATTAAAAGGCTCTTAAAAGAGTATGAACAATTAACCAGGTGTGGTGGTGCCTGCCTGTGGTTCCAGCTACTCAGCAGGCTGAGGCAGGAGGATCTCTTTAATCCATCAAGGCTGCAGTGAGCTGTGATCGCACCACTGCACTCTAGCCTGGGTGATGGAGCGAGACCCTGTCTAAGAATAAAACAAAAAGCACATGAATAAAGTTATCCAAATCCTACAAAACTGTAACTCGAAACTTGGGTCCTTTCTGAAAGAATAAAGGTTTAAAAAACTAGACTTGATAACATGAGCATTGCAATCTGGAACCACTTTGGGCCATAAAGGACTGATTCTGTTGAAGTTTGACTCCAGGGTTGCACAGATTGACATACCGCCCCACCCCACCCCACCACCAAACAAGGAAACGGAGTGTAGCCCTCAGACCGTGGCATGGACCTTGGTTCACTATATTTAACAAAATCCCAGCAGAGGAAAGACAGGCCCAGCTATTCCTGCAGAGATTGTCCCGCTCCGCACACATACTTGTTCCTTCTTCCACCACTCATCCCAGCACCACCAAACTCAGCCCTCAAACTCTTGCTTAGAGCAGGGTGTACAGGAGAATGAGGAGGAAAGAAACTGGGCCTTAAAAAGTTGGAGGACAGACAAGTAGTTGCTCACCACTTTTCAGAGCAACTAGAACTTATGGGAGAACTTTCCAAACACAAGCGAAAGGAGAAGAAATACATGGCAATTCTGCAAACATACTAAAACAGATCTCTATAAAATAAAAGAACACCAAGCAAAAGACACACCAAAATAACAACACAAAAAAAAACAACTCTAAAGGCAGAAAGCTATGGAATAACCGGCAAACTATAGAAAAGCTCAAAGGTGAGATTTTACACACACAAAATAGAATTGGATGAAAATGAAGCTATTGAAACACATTGAGGACCTAAAATGTTATAAACAGCAATGATATAATGACAGAAACAGTAAGAAACAAAATAAATACCTCTAGAAATTATTACCACAGATAAAAACACAGTGAATACAGATTTTTTTGACGACAAGAGGGTTACAGCAATTAAGGAAAAGCTAATGGTTAAGGAAGACAGATGGAGAAGGTCCAGCGTAAGGAAACAGGTGCCTGGGGGTAGAGAACCAGAGAGATGGATTGATGACATATTCAAAGACATGAGATTAAAAAGTGCCTGAAGTGAATAAAGATTGGGTCTGCAGATCAAAAGGACATATCTTCTTCCTGGGAAGTTTAACAGAGAACAGAAATGCCAAGGCAAATCCTAATTCTGCTGCTTAATTTCAAGATAAAGAAAGAATAACTCGGGTCTTCACACAGCCAGAGCAGATCATCTGCAAGAGGGGGTCCATGTCAGGTGGTCCACAGAGCGCTCCACACAGCACTCAGGATCTGCAACGGGGAAACTGTAACAACTCTTAGGGAAGGAGGGCTGGCCCGTGAATCTTGTTCCCCCACAAGTCACTGTTAGATTCTAAAGCCAACAACCTAAGTTCTCAGGTCTGAAGATGTCCTGGGATAGAACATCTCTGAGCTCTTCTTAGGGGAAATAAGAAGTTCATGGCCAATTAACATTGAATCAAAAGAAAGGAAGTGAGAGGAAGGGAGAGTGAAGCCGTCCTCGTATTTCAGATCAGGAAGTCGGCTGTTCCTGTGGAAAAGTGAAACTTGCACGTTTAAAAAAAAAATGCATTGACTCCAAATACCTAAGTTTTTCCCCAGAGTCTCCCCTCCTCTCCTGTGAGCAATGACTGAGAGAGAGGAAATACTGGACGTTCATCAATTCCTTCAGTTGTTCTTCAGGTTTTTTTCCCTCCATTAAATCTGAGTAAATTTGAAGAATTACTTTTGTTGCAGGAGTGAGGTGGTGTGTTCCCACCTTTATTACCTTATGTTATTACCCCACAGGTGTTTGCGTCCACAGAAGAGCTCCTCACACCATGTCTATCTCTCCACGCGCCCACCAGCCTGTGCACGTAAACATAGATGAAGAGGTGTCTGCCACGATGTTAACCTGATATTCATGGTGGTCGTGGCTGCGGGACAACTGGGGTCATTTTTTAATTTTCACGTTTTTGTCGTTTCATTGCTTAAGTTCTCTATAGTGAGTATGTATTATTAGCGTATTTATAAAAACAAAACCATGATTTTTCAAAAATTAAAAACATCAAAGGCAAATATTCTAAGATGCTAACAGTGTTAATTTTGTACAATGGAACTAAGTATGTTTGCATTTTTCTTGTTTTGTTTTGTTTTGTTTTTGTGAGATGGGGTCTCACTCTGTTGCCCGGGCTAGAGTGCAGTGGCATAATCACAGCTCACTACAGTCTCTGTCTCCCCAAGGTCAGGTGATCCTCCTACCTCGGCCTTCTAAGTAGCTGAGACTACAGGTGCATGCCACCACACCCAGCTAATTTTCGTATTTTTAGTAGATACAGGGTTTCACCTTATTGGTCAGGCTGGTCTCGAACTCCTGACCTCAGGTGATCCACCCGCCTCGGCCTCCTAAAGTGCTGGGATTACAGGTGTGAGCCACCGCACCCAGTTTTTTTTTTTTTTTTTTTTTTTGAGATGGAGTCTCGATCTGCTACCCAGTCTAGAATGCAGTGACACAATCACGGCTCACTACAGCCTCTGCCTCCCCAAGGTCAGGTGATGCTCCTACCTTAGCCTTCCAAGTAGATGGGACTGCAGACATTTACCACCATGCCTGGCTAATTTTTGTATTCTTTGTAGAGATGACGTTTTGCTCTGTTGCCCAGGCTGGTTTCAAACTCCTAGGCTCAAGCGATCCACCCACCTCAGCCTCACAAAGTGCTGGGATAACAGGTGTGAGCCACTGGACCTAGCCTTGCATTTTTCTTTTAATTTTTAAAATTTTTACATTTCCAAAAATTAAAAAAATAAGGAAAGCCTGTTTATTTTAAAAGAGCCATAAAGAGTTCTTTCCTCTTTCCCCTGGAAGATGCAGGAAACAAATCTCTATTGGTATATGACAGAAACAATCTCTCAACTGAAATGCAACCATGGAGAAAAAACTTCTAGGAGTCATATGCTGCTGCTATGACAGTTATGCAAATGAATTAAAGTCCCCATTCAAAGAAACTGGTATAAATAGATTAATTTGTTAAATTCCCTTCTGGTTTTAATGTTGCATGCAAATACAAATGCAAAGGGAATTATGTGTAAAATTGTTGCTAAAAGACAGCAAAGAATAAGAAAAATAAATTTGCCATCAACCTCCCAAGGGTTGGTGAGAGATTCTTCAAACTAGAATCTCATAAAGCAACTGATTAAAAACACATACCAGACACTCTAACCTCTTCTTTCCAATTAGCTAAGCAAATCTATGAAACGCGGGGGGCAGAGCTCTGTGAACTAAGCCAGTCTGACTACCATATATATTTTTTAGACAGAGTCTTGCTCTGTCACCCAGGCTGGAGTGCAGTGGCGCGATCTCCGCTCACTGCAAGCTCCGCCTCCCAGGTTCATGCCATTCTCCTGCCTCAGCCTCCCGAGTAGCTGGGACTACAGGTGCCCACCCAGTTAATTTTTTTGTATTTTTAGTAGAGACGGGGTTTCACCGTGTTAGCCAGGATGGTCTTGATCTCCTGACCTCGTGATCCGCCCACCTCGGCCTCCCAAAGTGCTGGGATTACAGGCGTGAGCTACCGCGCCCGGCCTCTGACTACCATATTTTAGTGCTCAAATCTGTTCCTCCACTCCTGCATCTGGGATTAGTTTGACTCATTTGGCCGATGAGACATTAGCAAATGTGGTGCAAGAAAAGGCTTGTTTGCATCGAGGCTTACTCTCCTTTCTGCTGTGACCAAGCCCAGGCTGCCTGCTAGAGGCCGAGAGACCACATGGAGGGAAGCCTCAGCCATCCCAAGCCCCAGCATCCTAGCTAAGGCCTCAGACATGTCCATGAGGCCACACTAGGCCAGCAGCCCCCAGAGCCAACCCACAAAGTTGTAAGCAATCACACATGGGCTGTATCAAGTCACCGAGCTTCGGGCAGCCTTGAGAATGACTCCTTCCTCGACCAAATCAGCGAGGCTCCTCTGACCCCTCTTCTCAACGAGGCCTCGCCCCCAGCCCTGATCAAATTCCTCATCCTCCGCCTTGAGGTGGAAGTCCCTGGCCTGCCTTAGCCAGACATCCCTCCTTGGTGCAGTGGGTGTCGTTCGACAGGCAGCAGTGCAGGGTTCTGCTGTCATGGGAGCTCTGGCTGCTGTCCGTTTGTACATTCAGCCTCTTAGGCCCATGCTGCTGGCCCCAAAATGACATTCTGAGTAGCAAGAGCCTGGGTTATAGAAGCAAGCATCTCACTTGGACCATTCATTAACTCAGAGTGGGACTTGGAACCCACTGGGTTTCTGTAAATGTCAACCATGCTTAGTGTGCCTTTATGGACACGCTGAAAATCTGAAATATACTCCCCACACCTTGAGGTAGATTGGCTACCACTGCATCTATCAAAAGGAAAACCTGAGCAAAAATGTGCTGTGGGTTCCCATACAAGCAATAAAAATTAAAGAGCCAGAGACCCATGGTGGGTCAGCCATCCTTGGGGTCCTGACCAGACCTCGGGGGCATTGTTAGTCTTGTGCGTCCAGGGCCCCAGTGATATGGTTTGGCTCTGTGTCCTCACCCAAGCATCATCTTGAATTATAATCCTCATAATCCCACGTGTTGAGGGAGGGACTTGGTGGGAGGCGATCTGATCATGGGAGTGGATTCCTGCATGCTGTTCTCATGATAAGTGAGTTCTCACTAGAGCTGATGGTTTTATAAGTGTTTAACAGCTCCTCCTTCATGTACTCTCTCTCCTGCCGCCTTGTGAAGAAGGTGCCTGCTTCCCCTTCCGTCATGATTGTAAGTTTCCTGAGGCCTCCCCAGCCATGCAGAACTGTGAGTCAATTAAATCTCTTTTCTTTATAAATTACCCAGTCTCAGGGAAGTTCTATATAGCAGTGTGGGAACAGACAAACACACCAGCCCTCTCCACCATGGAGCTGGGATCTGAGGGCTGTTCACCTGGGACCCCACCACCGGCCGAGTCTAGACCAGCTGCCCCACTCTGAGCCCTGGATGTAGGAGTCAGTCCAGGGGTGAGATAGGATCCAGGGGAGCCAACCAGAGTGACTCCTTTGGGGTTTTGTCACTGCACGGATGGAGAAAGCTCTAGAAAGTCTAGGAGATAGAGCTGGGAGGATGATAACATGGAAATGCAGCCATGTTCTCCTCTCGTGATTAAAGTCTCACTGCCAGGGAAAGATTGGGGCTGATGCTGAGAAAGAAGGTGTGGGGGAAAGGAGGCTGAAACCTGGGTCATCTGTCTCCTGTTCTTCATGATCCTGGAACTTTGAGGGTGGGGGAGGGTGGGAGGGGACATGGGGCCACGGGCCTCTGTTCTTCAAGGCTCTGTTCTTCAAGGGACCTTTAAGAGGTGATTAGACCCTCTGGATCTGTCGGTTCTGGCACTTGCTCTGTAATTCAACCACCTCTCCAGCATCCTTCAAATACGCCTCTTTCCATGGGAGCAGATTTTGTTGGCTTTTGGCCACTGGCCCTTAAGTCCTGATTAGTATCTACCCCTTGAGTCCTCAGGGTGCTCAGGACAGAGGAAGTCACCAGAACAGGCAATAAGAAAGAGTGGAGAGGATCTCTGTTACCTTAAGACCCCAGTGAGCCTCCTCCCTGCTTCCCAGTCACAGACTCTGGACAGAAACCCTGCCCCCCGCCCCTGGCAAGATGCCAGCTCCCTTCCTGGTCCTGATGTCACAGGTCCCTGGACATGACCTCCCCACCAGGGCAGGACCCCAGCTCCCTTCCTGGTTGTGATGTCACAGGTCCTGACATTCCACAGTGTCCTGGAGACCAAGGATGGGAAACTGTCAACCTTCAGAACGTCCTTCTCCCTCAGCTGGAGGGAGCATGGCAGTGAGCCAAGGAGACGGGACCCTCTGCTTTGTCCTCCTGCTGTGCTGTTGGCAAGAAACTGAGCTCCGGCCGAGAACCGTGATTCCAGGTAGGGCCCCACAGGGATGTCTCAGCAGAAAGAGAACTGAACCAGGTGGGGAGCGGCGGCCTCTTCTCCCATGGGTTCCTCTTATTCCCAACCTACATGAATTTACCATTTATTCCTTGGGGAATGAATGTAGCTGAAAAGTCTTTCTATCTTTGAAGACTTTTTAAAATCTAGATGTCCATAGGAAAGTTGCAAATGTTACTTATTTTAACTTTTTATTATGGAAAATTTCTAACTGGGAAGAATATCATGAACCTTCGTGTATTCACCCTCAGGTTCAATTATTGTGCATATTTTGTTTTTTTCTACACACACACACATACACACTCCACACCACATACACACACTTTTCTTGTTTGGGGAGTATTTTAGCACCATCCCAGATGCCTTACCACCTCATGTAAAACATTTTCTTGCGAAGAGATAAAAGCATTATCTACAATGTCATAATCAGACTAACATAATTACCAAAAGCCTTTATCTCAGCTCATACCGTTAAAAAATATTTGTGATGCTTGCTAAAGATGGGCAGGCAGCCTTTATTCAAAGGGGGCTACTACCATGGTGTCTCATAATAGTGGAGAGTGGGCTCAACTCCAAATACAGGGAAAGTGGAGATTTGCAGCCAAGGATCAGGGTGGGTCAGTGGATGAACATTGCTAAAAGGTAGGAGAATTCTTTGCTAAACTGATTCAGCAAAGGCCAAGAGGGCTTTTATAAACAAAAATGAAGCATTTATATTTTTTGTCCCACCTGATTACTCTAGAATTTGGATATTATGATTTTCAGGACCATACAATTGTTTGCATAAGTTTAATAAAAATTGATTATCCTTGCAACAGGACACAAAGGTCTGCTATCTTTGAAGACCTTTTAAAATCTAGACATCCATGAGAGAGTTGCATATGTTACTTATTTTAACTTTTTATTATGGAAAATTTCTAACTTGGAAGAATATCATGAACCTCCATGTATTCACCCTCTAGTTCAATTATTGTGTATATTGTGTTCGGCCAAACAGGAGGCCAGACCTGAAAGGAAGCCAAGGCAATAAAATAATCAAAGATGGAGGGTGAGGAATTTGATCAGATATCAAGGGTGACCAGGCCAAGACTAGGGGATTTCCACTAAAAGACTTCACAGGATTCCTACTAAACATGGGGAAAAGCAGACAAAAGCAGAAGCTAGGGTCAAGGCCTAGTCAAAGAGAAGACTCAGAGGAGCCTGGCATGAGGTAAGTCAAGGAGCGAGGCTTTCTCATTCCCTCCTCTTGTTCAAGAAAGAAGAGACATTCCTTTTCTCTTTGAACAAGATAAGTCCATGTTTCATCTGGTGGAGGATGTGTGCTGGATGGTACAAGTAGTCGGGAATTTAATGAGGGGAATGTCTACGAAAAAGAGAAGAAAAACAAAGATTTATAGTTGGAAACACAGTTTCCGAATCCAGAGGGCAGTCTGTTGAGAAGATTTCTGGATTTTGGGCTCAAGGTATCTTCAGCCGATGGGGCAAGGATGGATTTCCTAGTTTGCAGGGGGTGTGTCCTTGGTGACATCATGACCATCAGAGCCACAGTCATGGTTATGCTGGGGGCAGAGCGTGGATGTGTCCAGCTTCAGCCTTTCCAGATGGTCCCACGGAAGGCCTGAGTTGTCAGGCTTTAGTTCTCACTAACACCCAGTCAGGAGGGCAGAAGAAAGACTGGAAATGTTAGCCTGGGAACATTGAAGGACTCTAAAAGGCTTCAGGATCCAGTCCAGTTTACAGGTAGATAACAAAGTAGAAAGTAAGGTGGAGTTTATCAAAAGATAAAAAAAAGTAGAATACACAGGGTTATAACTCACAAGGGTGTGCTACCATTTTTCATTAAAACATAAAATATGGCTCTATGGTCACCCTCTTTTTTTGATCAAGATAACCAAAGTAATGCTATTCTTGTCTCAAAAATATATCACATCTTACAAGATTTGGTCTGATTATTTACATAAGTGCAGCAAGAATGGTAATGGACCACATAAACTGAGTTTTCTCTGCTGGAGCTTTTTACAAGGAATCTCAGATTAGATTTTTTAAAAGCTTTTTGAGGCTAGGAAGCCCAGCCAAAAACTCACCATCAGACTTCACATGTGGTACCTAAAGACTTGGGTGAATTTCTCTCTTCCGAAGGTCTCGAGGTTCCCAAAGTTCCTGGATCTGCCAGCAAATGACCTTCTTCACTCACCTGTGGGATGGGGACCCGGTGAGCCAGGTAGCAGGTCAGTTTCTCCAGCTCCATCAAATCAACCTCAGTTTTTAAAAACTGTCTGGTCACCTCTGATTCTATGTATCAATCTCAAATATGACATTCCAGTCAAAGCCTTGGTAATATGACCAATGTTTCCAATCGTGTCCTGTTGCAAGGAGAATCAATTTTTATTAAACTTACGCAAACAATTGTATGGTCCTGAAAATCATAATATCCAAATTCTAGAGTAATCAGGTGGGACAAAAAATATAAATGCTTCATTTTTGTTTATGAAAGTGTAATTACCAAATTGTTGTCCGTTATGCGTAGCCTAAGAGAAACCGGAAGCAGAGAGTTCTTTAAATCTGGAAAACAAAACATTAAAAAACCAGAAACATTTCCAAGAAAATTCAGAAAAATTATAATCGTCCCCACATTGAGTCCCACATCATTAATTCTTGTTCTACTTGATCTTGGGTTAGCAGGTTTACAAATCCGTCAATGTCTCCCTGAGTTCTGGAAAAGTCCAGTCTAATAGTGCAATCTTAGAGGCGTCAGAAACCTTACTCCAGAGTACTTGGCAGAGTCTTACCTAAAAATCTCCTTGAAGACAAAGAATTTTTGGACTGTAGCTGATTGCAAAAGCTTTCAAAAAAGCATCAGAGTAAAACAATAATTGTCTTGAATGACAAAAGACATAAAATGCATAAAATGGCCATGGTTAAAAATCTGATGAGAGTTCATTATGCTGCAATTGACAAGGAAATTTGGTTGTTTCTGTGACATACAACATTACAAGACAATAACGGAAATTAGGACTCATAACTTTATACCAGGACATATCATGGACAGTAAGGACAGTGAAAATTTCTAGGAATTTAATACAATTTCTGAAACACTTATAACATATATGCATACAAATATAAAGAAGGTTAAACATCCCTTATTTGACAATGCTTTTTACGAATTTAATGTATCAAATAAAGCTAATTAGTTTAACATCTTTCTTTTCACCAAGTGAGAGAACAAATCCTTTGAGATTTTCTAGTGGCCCTCTGGGAAATCTCAAAATTAGTTTGAGGTCAAAATTCTTCATTTAGAATTTTACTTGGATGAAGTTGTCAAAAATTATAAAAGTTTTGAATATTTGGTTAAATAGGATCATAAGTTACTATGAAATGGTAGCTATCCATTTAAGTTAAATGACAGTAAAGAATTTTTAAAGAAAATATAGGAAGTAGCATGGTTTTTAAAACAATTTAGCTCTTTTAATATTGAGGAGACTCAGTTTTCTTAAGTAATCAAAAACATGATAAAGAAAACATGAAACACAGGAAATATTTGATAAGACACAGAATCTTTGTTTCCTAGTAAGACTACTCAACAGGTAAGAAACAAGTACCTCTTACAATCTCTTATTAAGAACAGACCAGGCCTGGCGTGGTGGCTCATGCCTGTAATCCCAGCACTTTGGGAGGCCAACATGGGCGGATAATCTGATGTCAGTATTTCAAGATCAGTCTGACCAACATGGTGAAACCCCATCTCTACAAAATTAGCCAGACATGGTGGTGCATGCCTGTAACCCCAGCTACTTGGGAGGCTGAGGCAGGAGAATCACTTGGACCCAGGAAGTGGAGGTTGCAGTGAGCCAAGATCACGCCATTGCACTCCAGCCTAGGCAACAAGAGCAAAACTCAGTCTCAAAAAAAAAAAAAAAAAAAAAACCAGACCAATAATTCAACAAAACTTTGGCCTTTTAGCAGACAGAGAAAATCAAACTCCAGTACTGCATTGCTACACTCTTGATACTAAAGCTCATCTATAAAATCTTATAATAAAATTCATTTACTGCTAGTGTATCTTCACCACATAAGATTTTTCTCTCTCTTTTTTTCTCAGAGACTCGTTACATCTTTCCATACTAATTTACGCATTTTGTCCGGTTTTTTCTCTTCCTGAAAAAACAAATTTTAAACCACTGTAGGACAAAATTACTCACTTTTTTCGTCAACAAAAACACATTCTTCATATCACATAAGCTTTCTTATCAAAAACAGATCTTACTTTCCTTTATACTTTGCACAGGAAGTTGTTTTTCTTCACCCTCATTATTTCCAATAGTTTTAATTACACATGTTGATTATGTTGATTACAATGTTCAACAGAGAAAACTAGGAGTAGACAGTTGTGAATTGTGTCACATATAGCATTCTGTAACAAAGTAGCAAATTGTATGACTATACCATCTTACAATTTTTAGAGATATATTTATCTACAGCATAATTTTTCAAGGTGGCAAAAACAACTTTTGTTAACAGACTCAAATACATTTAGTCTCTCTGTATCATATAAAATAAGAAAACTTTGCTTAGTACTGAGTGTTTCAATAGCTTATCTTATTTAAAAATTATTAATGAAACTCTTGTTTTACTTAACTGATCATGACGCCAGGGTGATGAGTCACCAAAAAGATGTTTAGAAACTGTTTTTAAAAGGCAAACACAGGTTGGGTGCAGTGGCTCATACCTCTAATCCCAGCACTTTGGGAGGTTAAAGCTGGTGGATCACTTGAGCCCAGGAATTTAAAACCAGCCTGGGAAATATGGTGAAACCCCATCTCTACCAAAAAAAATGCAGAAATTAGCAGGGTGTGGTGGCATGTGTCTATAGTTCTGGCTGCTTGGGAGGCTCAGATGGGAGGATCACCTGAGCCCAAGAGGTCGAGGCTGCAGTGAGTCATGATCACACCCCTGCACTCCAGCCTGGCTGACAGAATGAGACCCTGTCCCCCAAAAAAAAAAAAAAAAATGCAGACACGCTATTGTAACTGCCCAAGGGGTTCACTTGCCCCCTGCCCAGGCAGAGCCAATTCTTCAAGACAGGGGAACTGCGATAGAGAAAGAGTAATTCACGCAGAGCCAGCTGTGCAGGAGACCAGAGTTTTATTATTACTCAAATCAGTCTCCCCAGGCATTCGGGAAACAGAGTTTTTACGGATAACTTTGTGGGTGGAGGGAAGCCAGTGAGGCAAGAGTGCTGACTGATCAGGGATGAAATCACAGGGAGTCAAAGCTGTCTTTTTGCACTGAGTCAGTTCCCGGGTGGGGGCCACAAGATCAGATGAGCCACTTTATCCATCTGGGTGGTGCCGGCTGATCCATCAAGGGCAGGATCTGCAAAATATCTCAAGCACTGATCTTAGGAGCAGTTTAGAGAAGGTCAGAATCTTGTGGCCTCCAGCTGCATAACTCTAAACCATATAATTTCTAATCTTGGGGCTAATGTTAGCCCTACAAAAGCAATCTAGACCCCAGGCAAGAAGGAGGACTGCTTTGGGAAAGAGCTGTTACCGTCTTTGTTTAAACTATAAACTAGGTTTCTCCCAAGGTTAGTTCAGCCTACGCCCAGGAGTAAACAAGGACAGATTGGATGTTAGAAGCAAGAGGGAGTCAGTTAAGCTGGAGCTCTTTCACTGTCTCAGTCATAATCTTGCAAACGTGGTTTCAATCTCTCCCTTTGGGTTTTATAGCACCTTAATCTTTTTTGTTGTTTTGTTTTGTTTTGTTTTTGACAGAGTCTCACTCTGTTGCCAGACTGGAGTGCAGAGGCGCCTCTCGATTTCTTGACCTCATGGTCCGCCCGCCTCAGCCTCCCAAAGTGCTGGGACTACAGGCATGAGCCACCGTGCCTGGCCAATAACACCTTAATCTTCAGGTGCAGGCTGTGAAGATGGGAAAAGGCTGTCAATGCTCTGGCTTCTTCCCACTGACAGGGGACGTAGTGGGAATGGGAATGAACCCCAAGGTGAGAACAGTGGAACCGTTTTGCAACTATCTGGGCGACACATGCAGGCCTGGCTGGGCTTCCAAGGCTTGTGTGGTAAAAACATTATTACCTTTATCTATAGTTTTAGTACAGTATTTAAGTAAACAGCATACTATAGGTAAATAATGAGTCCTAGGATAAGGAGCACAATTTTTAATTTTAAAAGCAAAGATTTGAGGCCAGGTGCGGTGGCTTACACCTGTAATCCCAGCACTTTTGGAGACTGAGGCAGGTGGATCACCTGAGGTCAGGAGTTCGAGACCAGCCTGGCCAACATGGTGATACCCTGTCTCTACTAAAAACACAAAAAATTAGCCAGGCATGGTGGCAGGTGCCTGTAATCCCAGCTACTAGGGAGGCTGAGGCAGGAGAATCAGTTGAACCTGGGAGGCAGCAGTTGCAGTAAGCTGAGATCGAGCTATTGCACTCCAGCCTGGGCAACAAGAGTGAAACTCCGTCTAAAAAGAGAGAGAGAGAAAGACAGAAGGAAAGAAAGAAAGAGAGAGAGAGAGAAAGACAGAAGGAAAGAAAGAGACAGAAAGAGAAAGAAAGAAAAAGAAAGAAAGAAAGAAGAAAGAAAAGAAAAGAAAAGAAAAGAAAGAAAGAAAGAAAGAAAGAAAGAAAGAAAGAAAGAAAGAAAGAAAGAAAGAAAGAAAGAAAGAAAGAAAAGAAAGAAAGAAAGGAAAGAAGGAAGAAAGAAAGACTGAAAAAGATTTAAAAGCATTAGTTTGGGGATTCTAACTCATAAAGAATTTATAATTTAGTCTAAACTGCCCAAAAAAACCTTAAGAAGCACTAACAGCAATGTACTATAGGTTTTTTGGAAGCATAATTTTTCTCTCTCCAGTCCCTATTTTTTAAAGAAAAACAAATCATGATAGAAATTATTTACAGTTTACAAAATAAACTTTACTCTTATAGTACTTGGCTTGATTATTTGCATGAAGTACAACTAGAATAATTATTTTTCACTTAGATTTTAATGGGCTTTGATGGAACTTTGTTCCATGAAGAATTTTAGATAAGACTTTTTAAAAGCCGAGCCCAGCCATGGATTTGTAAGCTTAAATACCTATGAGTTGAGCAAATTCCTCTTTTCTTGAGGTCCCAAGATATCTTGCAGTTCCTGGGCCTGTTAGAAAGTGACATTTTTTATTTAGCACAGGTCAGGAACCTTGTACAGGGACTCTGTGTGGACAAGGCATGAGGCCAGATTTCCCAACGGGCTTTAATTGGCTTTATAAGTTAACTTTGATTCTTTAAAGAAGCATGCCAGTCCAGTTAAAGCCTTGGTAAAATGACCAATTTCTCCAATTTTGTCCTGTTACAAAAGAAAACAGATTTTTATTGCACTTATGCAATTAACTATACTGCCATAAATTGAGAATACTTAGAAATAGTTTTCAAATTTTGGAGAAATCAGGTAGAGAGAAACAAATATGTTGTAAATTTTGTTCACAGGAGTATATTTTACTCACTTGTTAAAAGTTGCAAATAGCTTTAAAGAAATAAGTTATCTTGACTTGGAAAACAAAAGGTTTAGCAATGTTTAATACATTAGTTTTCCATAAGAGTTCTAAAGTTTGGGTTTTTTCTTTATTCCAATAACATAATTTTTAAAGTTATCTGAGACCTATACTTAGAGTTTTATATTTGATTATAAACTGCCTTTTGAAAAGGACTAAAGCAAGACAAAATGTTTGTGGATGACAAAAGAATTAGTATAGCCACTATTAAAGACACAGTTGACAAGGAAATTTGTTACCTCTGTATCACACAGTCATTTAACATAATAATTAAAATTATTACTGATAACATATACTAAGTTATATTAGAATTATAGGAGTTTTACATAATTTTGGAACATATATTAATAACACATTTACACAAATATAGCCCAAAGAAAGCCAAACACCATTTTGTATTTGACAATGTTTCCTGTATGGTTTTTATACCAAATAAGCCAAATGTCATTTCTGGACTTTAAAGGACCTAATATTTAAATATTAGGTTAGAAATAGACAAAATTTATAATTTGATTTTGGAACGTTTGTCAAATAGCAAAGGTTTAAAACACTGGATATCACAAAATAGAATCCCATGTCATTATAATAAGTCATTTATTTAGCCAAAATGATAACTTCAAAATCTTAAAAGAAAAACCTTTACTCTGATAGAGGACACTTAGCTTTCCAAACAAGACCCAATAAAGACAGCATGAGGCTAACTGACCTTGTCTCTTCTCTCTCCTCCCTTTTTTCCCTGTCATTTACCCAAAGGAGAAAACAAAACTCTTTCATTATATTTTAACATTACATAAAATTTGTCTTCAAAAGAGAAAACCAAATTTCATGTATGTATTGGTGCATTTTTAATGTTGAAGCTAGTTTATCAAATAAAATTTTATATCTCTATCAGGTTTTAATTAGTTTGACCATAAGGTAAGATTTTTATAAACTTTTAGAAACCTTTACAATTTTCCATCAAAGAGCAGATTAATTTTCTAAGAAAACCCTATTATTCGGACACATGGGCCCAAATTCTGGCCCCACATCAGTATGATTTTAATATTTTAGCCTACAGAAAAAAGCTAATTAAATCTCAGCCAACTTGTTTAAACCCACAGAATTTTGTATAAGATTAACCCTTTACAAACCCTTTTCACTTTGCTTAAACCTTTAGTTTTGTCCCATTACTCTTTTAGGTTAAGACAATCTTTAAAACTCTCTGAACTAGACAAAATTGCATTCCCTTTAACAAAAGCCATATTCCTATGCCTTCTTATAATCTTCTACCAAAAACACGTTCCCTACACATCTTGTATATAAAACTGTTTCTCCAGTAATCTTAATTTTATGTTATAATGTTAATTCTTAGCAACTTTTATTTTTAGTGAAAAACCTGGTAAGTAAGCTATTTTAATTATGTACTAGGGGTGCAGCCTAGGACATGAGACACAAATGAAGATAAGGTCTGACTCTTTTCAGCATAGCTAGCGGCATGCCTCTCCACATGTCTCCAGGCCTTATCTATAATCTAATGCTTCAAAGTAGGTAAATTGAACAATTTTTAAAAGTCAAGGAAATAGTTTGACCTTAAAACATTTAGCAAATCTGATATTTGACCTTAATTTAGACCAAATGTCTACATTTTTAAAATATTTTATTTTACTAATAATTTTTAAAACTGCTTTTATTTCTAAAAGATTACTGGTCACGTGAACAAAAATGCATTAAAGTTTCTACTTTTCTGACAAAACATTTGATTTAAGTGCTTATTTTTTAAGTCAATTAATCAGAGTGCTTTTATATATAAACAAGCATACAACACATATAAATAGACAGACAAAAGATTCAGCACTTGTAAGATTTTTCATTGGCCAGTTTTTTAATTGGATGACTGGCTTCAGGGTGGAGCCCTTGGAGGAACGGAGCTGGGAAAGCATGAAACTTCTAGGGCCTAATAAGCAGGCAGAGCTGGATGGCAAAGACAGATCCCTAAAATTAAGGGTGCCATTTTATACTGAACACTGGATCCCCAAAAGGAGAAAAGTACTACGGGAGAAGACAGTGCAATGCTTCTACTGCGCATTTTATTGCGAGGCAACCCAAAGCCAGTCAGCCCATGTTGTAATTAGACCATCCCCCATGGGAGTCCCATCTGTCAGTGGGGGTGGGGATGTTTCCCTATCTTCCAGATGCCCAAGAGCATGCATCTCTGATCCAAGTAGGCAAAGAGTCAAGTATTCCTCCTTAACTACTATTAGCCACCCCTTAAAGTAGATTTCCTACCTAGTTATTACACACCAAAGCTTTTTTATACTGCGAAGTAGTTTCTGATACCCCCAAAACTCAAAACTGTCAGATGACACAATGCAAAACAGAACATAGCCTTTTATTTTGAGAGGGATTTATCCACTTTTAATTCCTGGGGTTTCATGAGGAAAACAGAGTCTTTTTTTGTTTGTTTTTTGGTGTTTGTTTGCAAAACAGAGTCTGTGGTGCCTCCTCTGTTTTTCCCAAGGAGTCCCCGGCTACCAGAAGTTATCTTAGGGCCTCTCATGTGTGCCTTAAGGGTGACGAGACAAAAAAAAATGGAGACAAATAGTACAGTTGACTGAGAAGAAAAATAAACTTTTTCCAGAAAAACAAGATCCAAGAAGAGAAAAACATAAAGGCCTTTTAAATACATCTATACCTTGTTTATCCACTTTTAATTAACCTGACTTTTAACCATGGTGCTCTTTAAAAAAGAAATCCCTTCAAATCTCTTATTACCTGACTTTAGCCAGGCCAAGTGGCTAATATTTTTAGCTTCTGAACTTTACCAAAGGTAACCTCCTAGGTGTTTCAAAAACATGGTAAGAAGTTTCTTTCTTTACAAGATTTAGAATCTCCACAAGTTCAGAGAAAGGAAAATTCAAGAGAGGAAATCAGAAGCTATCTATGAGGGAAAAAACCTCAATAAATGGCAAAATTACATAAATAAGAAATCAGAAAGGAATCATTACAGAAACCAAGACTAGAACCCAGGCCACCATTGTCAAAAAGCAAAGTCTTAGCTACTGAGTTACAGCATTGAGCAGTTTCTATTGCTCTTTCCAGAAGGAGTCTAGAGAACCAGTTTCAAGCTCGCAAAGGCTTTTAACTGCTTAAGAAAATGTTTAGGGCTAACTAGGACATGAATCCCCTAATTCCTGTCTTCTAGATGGTGAAACCAAGGGAAAGTAACTGCACATGATCACAAGGTTAAGCTCTTAAGGACACAAAACAAGACAGAAAAATTTCATCCAGTATTGGTTTCAGGGACCCACAGCAAAGTTTGTAACTGACCAGCCTGCCAGTCTGGCTTGAAAAGCAGGCTTGAAAGTGAGTCCTAAACCCACATTCTATCCTGTGATACTTCTTTCTCCATTACAGAACACAGAAAGACAAATTCTTAGCACAAAGTACACCAGATTTGCTACCACCTAAGACTAGTTTCACAAATCCTTTCTCCATTAATTAAACCCTTGCAGAGAGACAAATAGTTTACCATTTACTCAGAGAAAGAGAGAGACCAGAAATTTGGCTGGTAAGAATTTCTTATCCTTTTTATCGGCATACCAGGCTTGCGGGCTCCCTTTCTATGCAGATTTCAGAAGAACGGAGTGGTTTCTGATGACCCTGCTCACTGCACCATAGCTGTGGGGTTCAAGCCACTTTACAAGAGAAAATCACCATTTCCTGTTTTATGGAACCATAGGCAAGATTCTTAATTTGCAAGATGCTGCCCAGTGGGCTGCAAGGAGAACGGAATTAACATTTTCTATGCCAGCAAAACACACATAAGAAAACAAACATTGGTCACCTCGTTCAGCACCCAATGTCAACCTGGCAAAGCTCAAACATTTTCCCATTGGTCCCTGTTTTCTTTGATCCACTCCAGGTGGTGATGGACAACCTCTGAATGGTAATTCACAATGAGATCTCTGGGCAAGGCGAAGACAGGCCTATTGAGCCTTCTCTAGGGCTCATCAAATGTGACCAGACAAATAAGGAGGGTTCTGAGTTAGGCCTGCTGGACTTCCATCAGCAACCCCTTCGGAGATCCCTTCCACATACACAAACACACATTAAGATGAGATGGACAGAAGGCCTTCCAAATCAGATCCCCAACTAAGAACTCCAAGAGTATCCCTTTCAAACTATCCTCCTATTCTCCATCTGGGAAACCTCCTCAAAATCTTCCTGAGTGAGAAGTCTCCCAAACCAGGAATCTTCCTACTAGTTAGAAAGAGCCAGCCGAGACCCCCGAGGAGCCAAACAGACACACTACAGTGGGGCTACAGACAGATACCCTACCATGGGGCTACAGACAGACACTCTGATAGGGCTACAGTTAAGGGACGTTTCCCCAGACCTACTTCTCCATTGCAATTAAATCCATGCAAATTGGGTTGGCAGTGCCCCGCCAGTAGAGAGAGTACCAGAGTCAGCCCCTAGTCCAAGAGAACTAGGAAGCTGCTTGGGCTGGCTGGCTTCTGGATCCATTGTTGAAGGGGGGCCACTGAACCATGGGTGGATATCCAAAAAGGCAGTATTGTACAAGCCCCCAAATTTGTAACCACCCAAGGGGTTCACTTTGCCCCCTGCCTAGGCAGAGCCAATTCGTCACAACAGGGGAAATGCAATAGAGAAAGAGTAATTCACCCAGAGCCAGCTGTGCAGGAGACCAGAGTTTTTTTATTACTCAAATCAGTCTCCCCAAGCATTCGGGAAACAGAGTTTTTAAAGATAACTTGGTGGGTGGGGGGAAGCCAGTGAGCCAGGAGTGCTGATTGGTCAGAGATCAAATCATAGGGAGTCAAAGCTGTCTTTTTGCACTAAGTCAGTTCCTGGGTGGGGGCCACAAGATCAGATGAGCCACTTTATCCATCTGGGTGGTGCCAGCTGATCCATCAAGTGCAGGTTCTGCAAAATATCTCAAGCACTGATCTTAGGAGCAGTTTAGGGAGGGTCAGAATCTGGTAGCCTCCAGCTGCATGACTCCTAAACCATAATTTCTAATCTTATGGCTAATGTTAGTCTTACAAAGGCAGTCTAGTCCCCAAGCAAGAAGAAGTTTGCTTTGGGAAAGGGCTGTTACCGTCTTTGTTTATACTATAAACTATGAACCTTCTCCCATAGTTAGTTCGGCCTATGCTCAGGAATAAGCAAGGACAGCTTGGAGGTTAAAAGCATAATGGAGCCTGTTAAATCTCTTTCACTGTCTCAGTCATAATTTTACAAAGGTGGCTTCACTATAACACCAAATAAAGCTACCATCATCTCCAGTTATTTCCCTGTTAACTATTTTTAAGTTTATTTGGCTAGTAACCCAAGTAGAATAAAATTATGTCTGCATTATATCTATAGCTGACAATTCCAAAGACAAACTGTCTTTATTTAACAAACAGTCTCAAACTAGCTTTATATATCAACCATCCTAGTAATGTAAACTTAAAAAACATTTGGGTTAGCTCCTCTGTTTCTGGGAGTCCTGGGAATATTTAATCAAGCACATCTTTTTTCTCTAAGCCAATTTGAATAGAACTCCTTTAAGGAATTTTATAATTACTTCAGCAATACCATCCAGAGGTAGAAAAATATCACATATATGTAACATAGGTACATACACATACAGACAGACACATGAAAACAGTGATTGTATGGCTTCATTCTTAAATTTCAGCCATGAGTCCGGCAACACAGTAACACAAAACTCACTGGTTTATCTCCACTCTATATTTTTATCTGAATTATGTTTCTGATAAAAACGGGATATGTTGAGGTTACCCACTCAATAAGGGCTAAAGATTTTTCTTTCTTAACCAGCATTTGTGAAGGGGAGTTTCAAGCCTTTCTTTTCCCCTGATATTATTTAATCTCACAGAGGCTGTGATTGAAGCAGCCATCTGGATATATCAAAGCCTTCACTGAGTAGATAAAATGCCCCACCTGTTTCCAGTTGGTCTTTTTCCTTTTCAGCC
Organism: Homo sapiens; assembly: GCF_000001405.40. Classification (NCBI taxonomy): domain Eukaryota; kingdom Metazoa; phylum Chordata; class Mammalia; order Primates; family Hominidae; genus Homo; species Homo sapiens. The sequence goes on from NC_000013.11 coordinate 112,390,039, forward strand.
TCAGATCAGGTAGTTGATCTGGGATTGTCTGGGTCCATAAAGCTCCAGGGACTGTTGGGAGTCAAGGGGCTGAGTGGGAAGAGAAGGGTGTAATGGGGGTGGGGGGAGGAGTGGAGGCCCAGGGGGACACATCCAGTGGTGCAAGAGGGCTAACGGAGATTAGATGGTGAGAAGAGAACTCGAGTGCAGAGACTACATCTAGGAGAGAACTCTGGGAGCCAGTGTGGGGAGATCTGGGCCATGGCCACTCTGTATGGTTTGCAAAGTCACGGCAAAAAGGAGAGGAGCAGAGCCAGTGCCACAGTGGGGCAGGTCAGGAGGGTTTTAGAAGGGGTTTCAGTAAACGGAAGAACCTTGCCCACGTGCAATTGAGCTCCATTCCTTTTCATGGGCATGTGTTCAAAAAATGGCAGTGTTAGCACAATCCGAGAGCAGCATTTTTGGCCCTCTGTATTAGTCAGTTCTTGCACTGCTATAGAGACATACCTGAGACTGGGTAATTTATGAAGAAAAGAGGTTTAATTGGTTCACTATTCTGTGAACTGTATAGGCTTCTGCTTCTGGGGAGGCCTCAGGAAACTTACAATCATGGCAGAAGGCAAAGGAGAAGCAAGTACATCTTACATGGCCAGCAGGAGGAACAGAGAGCGTGGGCAGGTGCTACGCACTTGTAAACAACGAAATCTCAGGAAAACTCACTATCACGAGAACAGCAAGGGGGACGCCAGCCCCCGTGATTCAGTCACCTCCCACCAGGCTCCTCCTCCAACACTAGGAATTACAATTCAACCTCAGATTTGAGTGGGGACATAAATCCAAACCATATCAGCCTCTGACATCCAAAGGTGAAGCAGAAGACAGGAAACCCTCACTGCGTGTCCTACATGGACTGGCCAGAGCCTCCATGGCCAGTGGTCTCTCACCAGGAAGGAATGCTGGGGGTGCTGCACTGTTTAAACCACAAAAGGGAGGAGAGTCTGGTCACAGACTTGGATGATTGGCTCAAGGAGACAAAGGAATAGGTCTTTCGTTTCTTGTTTTCCAGAGCTGGCTTCTTCTTACTCCTTAGGAAAGCATTCAGGTCACAGTTGTGTAAGGAATGGGTAAGAGAGAAAAAAGGTCAGAGTTTAGTCCTTACCTCCCAAGATCTGATTTCCTCATCCAAACAGTTGAAACAGGTGACCAAGGTCTTCCCCAGCTTGAAGACCAATTAAGGGATCATTTCTAAATCACTTTCTCACGAGGAACATTGGGTTTCCTTACTCTCCTTGGTCCTTAATGACTCAGTGGGCACTTCAGGCATTTGCCTCAGAAATTGAGTTGACCATGTTTTGTGGCTTTCTTGAGATGTTGGACCTTTAGGGAGAGAGGAGAGCAGTTAACGTGGTCCTAGTGATTGAGAAGGGTGCAGTGCTGTTTTCCCCAAATTAACCAGAATGAAGTCTCAGAACTCCACAGGGAACCCTTTCACGGAGGCCAGCGTGTGCACGATGTAAATATCGAGAAAGAGCAGTGGATTCTTACAATTACATGGCGTGCGGCACCTTAAAACCGTGAGGCTGAAGTCAGAGGTGACACATGAAGGATATGGCAAAGCCACTCCACTTGACAATGCACTTTAAAAACCGCACGGATGTTATAAAACCCAAATATTTTACTCCACATGCTTACTGGCTGACTTGCACAATACTTCCATTATAATTACGGGACAGACACAAAATGAAAAGAATATTTTTAACAAAGCACTTGCACGATGCAGCTGTACCCATTCTTAATGATCATTAATGTCTCATCCAAAGAGAACTGTACTTTGTTTGTTTCGTTTACCGAAGGTCAGCATACTGGGAAGCAATTGCCATCACATCTCAGACCTTTTTGCATATTTTCCCGCATTGTTCTGAGCCTGCATGTGCGCAGACGAGTCGATTGGTATGCAGATTGTCTGTCATTAAAGCCATTTGGAAATCAGCTTTGTCACTGGTTTAGTGTTGGAACTTCAGATCCTAGAAGCCACCACTGGAAAGCTCTGTGCACTCTGAAAGGGAAGGTGTGTGGCCCTGCTGAGCCCAACCTCGGGGCTGGAGGAAGAAGCTGACCTTGACCTTGAGCCAAAGCAATGCCCCAGGACGCTGAGACGCCACACCTCCAATAAAGAAAAACTGTGAATGGCAGAAGCAGGGAACTACTGGGAAGGGGCTAACAAGGAGAAAGCAGTGCTCAGAACCGCCACCCACTCTCAGGGTCACTCAGCACAGTCAGCTCCCATCAGTCAGGCAGCCGAGGCCACAGGTCAGGAGGCCACGGGGCCTGTGGACAACCCATATTCCAGACCTCGGCATTTCACCCACATGACCCCACCTCTTATCTGCAGATGGGACCACCCTGAAATCACTTTGCTTATGAAGGAGGAGAAAGGGGGGTGGCCCATCTCTCTGAGTCCTGCCCCTCCTAAAACAGAGCCATGAAGCCAGGTCTTCATGATGCAGCCACAGCATTGCACAATGTTTCCCATTTCCCCAGAACATGTTTCTAAGCCTCCAGGTGCATGCACTGTGGGCGCCTTTCACGAAGGAGGTCCAAATGCTGCTTTCACAAGAGGAACATGCCCTCTTACTCTGCTTACCTCAAAGCAGCTGGGTGAGCCCAGTCATCCTTGCGACCGGGATGTCGTCTTGACCTCTCAAGGGGTGATTCTAGGGACCAGGAGGGCAGGCTCAGCTCAGAGCTCCTGGACAATTGTCCTCCATCCTCACAGCCACCCCGGAGGTGGCTGTTTCTCCGCATTTTCCAGACAAGAAAGCCAAGTCCCAGAGAACTTTCCTGGGGCCATCTCTCATCACCCGCAGGAGAGACTGGAACTTGGGCAGGGCTCCTTCCTCTAGAGGGGGCTGGTGGGCACCCACAAAACCATATCCATTTAAAGAGAAAAATATGCAAATTCAATGAACATTGTTAAACTGTAGGGTTTTTATTTCCTTCTAGGTTCACCTACTGAAATACCATTCAGTTCAAAACAGGAGGATATGTCTGAATTATTAGGTAAGGAAGCCCCTCCTATCAACCTCTGGCCTGTACGTGAAGAGGGCTGGATGGTTGTCTGTGGCTGTTTCCCAGATAACCTGGTACCAACTGCAGACAGTGGAGGGAACTGATTGGTTTGGGGCTAGAATCATATACCAATGGCCCATAGCTTTACTGCTGACATCTAAGAGTCAAACTCTCAAGAAATTAAGGAAGACAGAATTTTAGACCATTACACCTAAAAAGTGCGTGGGAGCCTTGCTTCTCAAAGTGAGGTCCAAGGACCCTCAGCGTCTGCATCATCTGGTTTGGGGAGCTTGTTAGAAACGCCCAGCGGCAAGCCGGGCCCAGCCCTCCAGCACCAGCACCGCATTCAACCTGATGCCACCGATTCCTGTGCACCTGAGAGGCCCCATGGCTGAGCCGTCCCCTCCTCCACCGCCTCAGCCCTGCCAGCCCCCTGGAAAGATGGTGGAAACTACAGACCCCCTGGCCTCACCCCGGGGATGCAGGCCGTGCTGGTTTGGCTGAGCCTGGTGCCTCTGTGCTTCTCTAGGGCTCTGCAGGTGATGCTAAAGTACAGCCGGCTGAGAACCGCTGCCCTGGGCCAGGGCCGTCCAATAGAAACACAGCATGAGCCGAAGATGTGCTTTTCATTGTCTAGTGGCCACATTAAAAAGACACAGATGAGGCCAAAGCGGGCAGATCACGAGGTCAAGAGACAGAGACCATCCTGGCCAACATGGTGAAACCCCGCCTCTACTAAAAATACAAAAATTAGCTGGGCGTGGTGATGTGTGCCTGTAGTCCCAACCACTTGAGAGGCTGAGACAGGAGAATCCCTTGAACCCTGGAGGCAGAGGTTGCAGTAAGCTGAGATCGCAGCATTGCCCTCCTGCCTGGCAACAGAGCGAGACTCTGTCTCAAAAAAAAAAAAAAAGACACAGATGAAACTCATTGTAATAATATTTTATTTCACGTGATGATTTCAACATGGGATCAGTGTCAAATTACTAGTGAGATGTTTCAGTCTTTCCATCACACTGGCTCTCCACAGTTCCATGTGTCCTTTGCCTTCACGGCCATTTCCACGTGGACAGCCGCGCTCCAGGGTGTGAGCGCTTAGCCAGTGCCTGCACTTCTGCTCTGACCTCTCGTTTTACATGTGGGGAAACTGAGGCCCAGAATGCTGGGACTCAGAGCATGCAGTCCTGACCCCTGCTCACATCGATGCCCTTGGGAAACAGTCACCTCCCAGGACCTCTCTGCCAGCATTGCCTGTGGAGTGGGGTCGGGGTAGAGGATGGGGCCACCTTCCACCCGGCAGGGCCCGGGACTGCGGCTGTGAAGGCTGCACGGCCTCGAACAGGGGCTCCCGTGGGAACGCAGGGCCCCCAGGTGCTGGGCCCTTTCCAGGAGCTGTCGCTGTCAGAAGTCAGGCTTTGCTCCCTTTCCACATCTGGGTGGGAGAGGCCTGGGAAAAGCTCTGCCTGCCTGCGTGTTTGATGGGTTAGGTGGATGGATGAGTGAGCGCTCCAGTGAATGAATGGATGTTCCCATTCTCGCTCCTGCCGCCCCGTCCACTTTCTGGGTACTCAAGGGAACTGCCCCAGGCAGGAGTTAGACTCCCCAAGGTCAAGGAATGGCTGTGACTGGACTCACTTTCCTAGTGAAGCTGGCGGGTGCCAGATTCTGAGAGTTTTAGTCCTGAGACCAGCACCTGCTCCAGCCAGTGTCTCAGCCACCCCCAGAGAAACAGTGGCCTCAGAAAAGGATTCTGGAAGAGGAAAGAGTGGCTGGCGTTTCTGATATTTTTCCTGGGTCCTGACCAACTAAACCTAGAAGGAAGCAGCAGCTCTTACCCCCATCCACACCCCCAGATTTCTTCTAGGTAGAAAGCTGAAAGCATTGACAGTGAGAATTCAAATCCCTGTGGAGGTCAGCGAAGCCCACCCAGGCAGGCCAGGCCGAGACTCTCTGTCCAGAGCTTGCTGTGGGAGGGCAGTCACCACCATCACGTGCAATGTCAAAGCCTCCGAGTCACCATCACGTGCAATTTCAGAGCCTCTGAGTCAGGCAGGGGATGGGGCCTCACTAAGGCAAAGGAAGCCCAGGTCCCGTGCAGGCTGCAGCTGGGTGTGCTGGGGATGGCTCATCAGACGGGCGGTGAGGGGTTGGTGAGGGAGCATGTGTGGCTTTCTCTGGTCGGCTCCGAATTGGAAGCGAGGACAAAAGCCAGAGGAGCTGTCGATGATGGATGCATTCCTGGCCCTCTGGGGCCGGCTGGTCCAGGGGTTGCGCTTCGGCTGCCTGAGTCGTTGCTAGAGGAGGTCTGACTTCCTGCAGGTCTTACTGCGGAGCAGGCCAGCCCCCCGGACTGGCTGCTGCAGGTGTGGTTGGCTCTGTTTCTGTTTTTTGTTTTTTTTGAGATGGAGTCTCACACTCTTGCCACCCAGGGTGAAGTGCAGTGGCGAGATCTCAACTCACTGCAACCTCCACCTTCTGGGTTCAAGCGATTCTCCTGCCTCAGCCTCCCGAGTAGCTGGGATTTCAGATGTGCACCACCTCACCCAGCTAATTTTTGCATTTTTAGTAGGACAGGGTTTCACCATATTGGCCAGGCTGGTCTCAAAGTCCTAACCTCAGGTGATCTGCCCACCTCGGCCTCCCAGTGCGCTGGGATTACAGGAGTGAGCCACTGCGCCCAGCCTGGCCACAGCTGTTTTGATGGATGGTCTGGTCATTGTATTTCAGCTTCTCCTCTCTCAAAAAATTCAACCATCAGCAGTTAGACTTGGTTTTAAAACAAAGAGCTTCCTAACCTTGTTCCACCTGCTGGCTTCATCTCTACCTAAAGCGTTTTTCTAGCCCTGACCAATCTCCCCGAGGGTAGGGAGGCCCGTGGAAGGGTCAAGGCAGCCTTTCGCCCTGGGCAGCTCACCCTGGGGTGGCTCGGCCCCCCGCCTCTCTTTGGCCCCCAAAGCCATGACTGCTCTCCGAGCAGGAACGCGCCTCCTCACAGCTGGGCCACCATCCACCCGCCTCAGGGAATCCCAGGGTGTCTGCAACTTGAGGAGTTTGGGTCCCCAGGAGGCCACTCCCGGCTTCGGGCATGGAGTGGACTGGGTCACACTGGGACAGGTCAGGGACTGTGGGTACAGTTGTTAGAGATGGAGAGTTGCAGAGACAGCCCATCCACCATGGACGGGGGTGATCCCCAGTAACAATGGGGCAACCGAAGCCAGAGTTGGCCAGGAAGTTCAGACAGTGCCCCAGGAGGGCTCACTTCTTAGGGCTGGTCAGCTGAATCCTATCCTCTGCCTGCCCCCATTTGCCCTGGGAGCCCATCTGCCCTTGGTGGAAGCTCTGTTACTGCTGACCTGCTGTGCCTGGTCACGGCTGTAGAATGCTGCCTCCTGGACATGGCTGGCTGGAATGGGGTAGAGACCAGGGACTGAGGCTGGGCCATCCTTGGCCCCCCAGTGCCTGTGCAGTGTCTGGTTCAGAAGAGTGCCCAGTAAATGCTTGCCATTCAAATGCATATCCACTCTTCTCCAAGACCCCTATCTCACTGGACACCATGACTGTTTAGGAACTTGGAATTCCTAAGATTGGTGCTTCTGTCCAATCACTGGCCCCAGAGGACAGAGCCTGAGTGGCAGCGCCCAGCCCCTTGGCTGGGATCCTGGGGCACCCGCGGCTAAGAGGCAGGTGGCACGCAGCTCTGGTCCGGCAGCTCCGCAATACAAGGCCATGTCCCTGAGGTTGTCCTGGCCTCTCCTCAAGCTCGTGCCTCATGATCAAGGATGGTGTCCACAGTGCCAGACACCTCGTCCACTCCCAGGGCAGGAGGCGGGGGTGCAGGCCTGGACACTGGTTCCCCTTTTATCAGGAGGAGCAAATTCCTCGCAGAGCTGGTAGACTCCTCCTACCTTACAGGCCTGTAGCCCACCCGGCTGCAGGGGGCCTCACTGGGGGCACACATTGCCAAAACCCAGCTCTGTGAGTGAGAAAGAGGGACAGCGCGGCTGCTGGGTGAGAAACCAAGAGCCCAGGACAAAGCTTTTTTATCGGTCGTATTGGTGACATCTTCGTTTCCAGTGGCATTTTCAGCCTCTTCCCCTTTACCCTCGAATTCTGCATGAGCTGGTCCTGGGGTGACCAGACGCCCGCTTTGCCTGGGGCTGAGGAGCTTCTTCTTGAGGGACTTTCTGGGCTAAACCCAGAGGGCCCCAGCAAACCAGGACCCACTGCCCAGCCCAGCACTGCAGCCTGGCCTGGTGACTGTGCTGCAGAGACAGCGGTGACTCTCGGTTGCCACAACACCTGGCCATGGCCCAGGCTCCGTGCTGAGCACCTTCTGCATACACTGCTTTATTGGACCCTCAGGAAAGCCCACAGGCAAATACACACCCCCATTTTACAGACAGGAAACCAAAGCTCAGAGCCGTGAGGACGCTTGTCCAAGATCACATTCTGGTGGGAGCAGAGCCCGTGTGTTTTTTCCGGGTCTGTCAGACACAAAGCTCAAGGCTCTCATGGTAAAATCTCCCTAGGAGAACCCATAGGGACGTAAAAGAAGAAAATGCGGCTGTGTTGACACAGAGATCAGGAGCGACGCTCACTCACACACGGAGGGCAGCTTTGGGAGAGCCTCAGAGATGGGACAGAGGGACCCAGGGCAGGAAAGAGACTTAGGACCACGTGTGGGCCAAGCGTCCAGCCTTGTACCTTTGGGGGGCAATGTTCAGTGTCCAAAATGTCCAAATGGTCTCAGTTTTTCTGAAATTATTGAGGGAGGCAGCGGCCTGCCCACCCAGAGAAGGTTCTTTCGAAAGTCAAGTCCCACATCCCCTGGGTTCCCGGAGTTCCTGTTTGTACAGGAACTGTGTGTACATTCACTGTGTGTACAGATGGCCTTAGGGGACAGGAGCCAAGGGCCAGCCCTGCAGGGCCGACTCTAACGTGATCTTGTGTGCTTCTCCCAAGATGAAATTCTGGTCCAGGAGATTTTAGATCTGAATAAAACAACACCGAGCGAAATGCCAAGTACAGCATCAACATTATCAACACCGTTACGTAAGGAGAAAAGCAAGCACACCCCTTTCTAACCCTCTAATTGCCCTTATTCCTGGAGGTCTGTGGTATGGAATACGTGACCCTATAATTTGAGCATTAAGACCAGCTATTTCTGGGGCAAGGGCACATGGAGATGTGAACAATATGGCATCTAAAACCATTTCTACAGCTTCCCGAGACAGAGGAAGTCAACCCTAGACTGGCAGGGTTAATTCCCTTTACTCTGGGATCTCTGGAGTGCGTGTTCAGGCACGTTCTCGCCCTCGGGAGCCACTGCAGGAACACAGGGCACAAGAACCTGAGAACCCTGCACTAACCAACACTTTACAGTTCCTCCCACACACGCCCATGCTCTCACTTCACGCTCACCCAAGGCTTCTGAGAGAGCAGGGCAGTTATCATCACCCCATTTGACAGAAGGTAAAACCAAGGTCTAGCAAATGACTTGCCCAAGCCACACAGTGAGTCATGAACCAACACAAAGAATGGCCTTCCCCAAGTGCAGCTTCACATGGTCAAAGACATATGCAAGGAAATAGAACAGCACATTTAGAACCAAGACAGAGTACTGAATCAACAGTTGCCAAGGAGAGAACTGGGAATCAGAAATCCCCACACAGTGCATGAAAGTGTATTCGGCAGCAGGAAAGTTCAGCACTCTTGAAATCTTGCACCCAGAATGTAAATTCCAGTTCCTAGGATTGGTTCACCTGCCATCTGCCAAGGTCCACACTGTTGGTTCAAGGGAGTCAGAGGGCACCTGACTCTGTTTACACCTTCACTTACCAACGCACATTTCCACATAGAGCTTGCAAACTGTATTAACATCCCAACCTTATATTGTAAAATAAAGCATGGGCCAAAAATGTTTATACCTGTGTAATCAAGAAAACTTTTCCCCATTTTTTTCCATGTTCTTCATTGAAGATGCTGGTATTGATGAGAATTATCAAGCTGGTGGTTCTGAGAATTACCATGAATTATTAGAGAATTTACAATTCTCTCCTGGCATTGAGGTCAAAATTTCCAATGATGGTAAATGCAACCCAGTAATTACCCCTTCCCAAGTCCAGCTGTAATGGGAGAGGTAGGAGGCAGGCAGACGCAGGCGGAAACATCTCCTTCCTGGAGGATAAACCCTTGGTGGGAGAATGTGCCCACTTCCCCTGGTTGGGCAGATCTCCCAGTCTCTGTCGGGGCTGAGGGACCCCCAGCTTCCTCACCCCCTGCTGTGGGGCCGACCCTGGAAAAAACACAGCCCAGGGAAGCACAGCAGAAATGTCTCATGGGCAGGCAGATGCCAAGACAGGGAGGCAGGTGCTGCCACAATGCCTGGCCCCCTCTCCCAAAGCTTCAGCTAAGTCACTTCTCCTTCACAGGGCAGGTGCAGAGAGAGCCAGAGTGCCCCCAGGGGGGTCCCCCAGAAGTAGGGAAAAGCCTCCCTCCAACAGATGAGTCTGCTGGGAAAAAAATCAGTGTGCAAAGGCTCAGAGGATAAGATACTTGGACCCCATGGAGGGGCAAAATACCTCCTCTTTACCCTGGAGATTCAAAACCAGAAAGGGCACATATATATACCCAGGTATATGAGTCCATTCTCACACTGCTACAACGAACTACCTGAGGCTGAGTAATTTATAAAGAAAAGAGGTTTAATTTGTTCATGGTTCTGCAGGCTGTGCATGAGGCATGGCTGGGAGCCCTCAGGAAACTTACAATCATGGCAGAAGACCCTAGAGGAAGCAAGTACATCTTCACATGGAGACAGGAGAGAGAGAGTGAAGGGGGAGGTGCCACACACTTATAACCAGACCTCATGAGAACTCACTATCATGAGAACAGCAAGGAGCAACTCTGCCCCCATGATCCAATCATCTCCCACCAGGTCCCTCCCCTAACACTGGGGATTACATTTAGACATGAGATTTGGTTGGGGACACAGAGCCAAACCATATCACTGGGACACACATGTAGGACATCTGTGGTGTTCCCCACACACAGGACCAGGTCACAGCTCCAGTATCTGATGGTGTGCCAGGAGCCAAGCATTTCTGTAGGAGCCCAGGAATCTGCATCCCAATCCATTACCCCAAAGAGTCCCCCCAATAAGACAGACTCTGGAGTTGGGAAAGATTGAACTCGATTTTTTCAGGACTTAAACAGGAATAAGATTTTATTTAAAATTAATATGAATACCTCCAAATTTGTCTGCCTGGTGGTCAGTGTGGTGTTTGCCAACTGGCGAGTTTCTCTTTCTGCCATTGCTTCTCCATTTATTAATTGGGATTCTGCTTTAAGAAAGAGCTGCCCCTCCTCCCCTGTTTATGTATTCGGTTGCTTATTACTGTCTACATGGGCTACTAGGGATTACTATAGTCTGTGGGTTATAAAACACTAACACCGTTACTGATTGTGAGCCAAGAACTGGATGCTTGCTAAGTTCAATGGCACAGCATTTCTTCCAGGCCCTCTCCACAGAAAGAGCTAGGAAACACTTCTGTGCAAATCACAGATCCGTGCAAATCCTCCTTTCCTGCCCGCACTCCTTTCTTCCTACCCCAGTTCTGCAGTCATTATTTTTTGTATGTATCTTTCCATTGTTTGCAATATTTTGCCATTTCAAACACAGCTGCAGTGAGCAGCCTATAGCACAGGTATTTTCATATTGTCAGGAATTATCTCCAGGGTCAATTCTTAGCATTGGGATGTTGGGTCAAAGGACGTGTGGAGGAGTGAATATGTAGTTTTAATAGTCAGATGAGGCCTGGCTCTGTATTCACATATTGAGTTTCCAAAACATATTTTCAAATAAAACTTGAAAATGATATTAGCATCTCAACTTAGCATGTTTAAATAAATAAATGACCAAAGTGCTTATAAGTGTGTAATCAAGGACATTTTCCCCATTTTTTCCATATTTGTCATTAAAGAAGCCAATGCTAATGCAAATCTCCATGGCGATCCTTCTGAGAATTATCGTGGGCCACAGGTGTCTCCTGGCAGTGAGAAGAGTGTTTCCAGTAAAGGTAAATGTGCCCTGCCCACACTGAGAGCTCTGTGGGAGAGACGGAGGCATGAGTGTGTGAGGTGACTGTCTCCCTCCAGCCTCGCCAGTATGCCTTGTTATGCCATTAGGTTTCCACCAACATCATGGTGAGAAGTGGTATTTCAGTACTGCTTTTGTTTGCAATTGTCTCATTATGAGTGAGTTTAAACATCTCATATGTTTAAGGGCCATTTTTATACCACTTTTGTAAATGTTGCATTCATTACAATTTCCCATTTTCCTTTAGGTTTTTGGTCTTTTAGCCTCATTTCTCAAAGCTGTTTATATTTTAAGAACAAACTTTTAGAGAGAGAGAGATGATAGATAGACAGATAGATGATAGATGGATAATTGTTGGGGTTTGTTAGTTGACTTTTGACTACGTTTATAATTTTTCATGCAAAAAAAGTCAATTTTTGTGTAGCCAAAATTATCAATCTCTGACTGCCTTTAGCTTTTGACTTTCTGAGTTAGAAAGTCTTTCTCCACACTGAGGCTAAAGAAGAATTTGTTTTCCTCCAGTATTTATAGGACTTCATCTGCTACATTAGCTCTTGGATCCATTTGGAGTTTATCTCTGAGCATGGTGTGAGGTGTTCCTAATTTTATATTTTTATGAATGGCTACCCAGTTATCCCTGAACCATTTTTTTAAAAGTCCATCTTTGTCCCATGATTTGCAAAGCCACACGTATTACACACAAAGTTTTTCTGTATGTGACTGTCCTGTCTGGGCCATGCAGCACAGTCCTCTACTAAGGGGCCAGCACCACAGTGTGTTATTCAGAGTGTATTTTAACCTCTGGGACACACTTCCCTCTTTTAGTTTTTTTAGCTTTTCTTTTTCCATGTTTCCCTGATTATATTTTTGGTAACATGTCTAATTTCCTTTCCTTGAGTTTATGTTTTTATTGGGATTGCTTTACATTTGTAAAGTAATTTAGAAAATAACTGGCAGTTTTACAATGTTGAGTGGATCTATCTAAGAATAAGTAATGTCTTTCTGTTTGTTCAATGTCATTTCCTATCTTTCAGGAATATTTTTAAGTCTTCCTTGTATAGGTGTTATACTGTCATGATAAGCTTATTCCTAAGTATTCAGTCTACTTTCTTGCTATTAGAAGCAAGATTTTATCTATCATTGTGTACTTTAACTGGTCTTTTGTATGAATGCCTTGATTTCTATAGGTTAATTTTATCCTGCTATCTTACTGAATTATTTTCTTGTTTGAGTTAGCTTTATCATTGATTATCTAGGGTTTTCCAGATCTGCTGTATTATCATCTGTTAAATAGAAATGGTTTTCTTCTTCTTTACCAATTTTTATGCATCTCATTGATGTCCCTTGCCTAATTGCATTGACTGATATATCCAGGATAATGTTTAATAGTAGTGGAGTGAGTGGGCATTCTTGCCTTGTTCATGGCCTTCATAGAAATGCCTATAATGTTTATCCAGTAAGTAGGATTCTGGCTTTGGAACAGAGGCACACACATTTGAACATGTAAGGAAAGCATCCATCAACCATTTTATGTTTTGTCAAAGTCTTTTTTATCATTTTTGGAGCCCATAGTTTTTTTCTTTAGATCTATTAAATATAGTGAATGATATTAATGAGTTTCCTAATACTGAACCAACCTTGCATTTCTAAAATAAATTCCATTTGGTCATGTTGATTATATTCTTAGAATGGTATTAGATTCAACTTGCCAATATTTTATTTCATATTTTTGCATCCAAATACACAAATGACTCTAGTCTATGGTTGGGGTTTTTTTTAAACCTATCTTTATCAGGTTGAAATACTGATGTTACAATAAAAAATTTATAATAAAAATTAGAAATTTTTCTTTCCTTTTTGGTTCTTTAGAGCATCAGAAGCATTTTGTCTTTTAAAATTTATGAGAAATCCCTGTGAAACCATCTCTTCCTGGTGCTTTTTCTGGGGTAGTTCCTTAATAACTTTATTTCTTCTAGGAAAAGTGATTCTTCAGGTTTCTTAATCAATGGGGTCAATTTAGCCATCTATATTTCCCTAGGAAGTTATCCACTTCTTCTTGGTTTTCAAATGTATTTGAATAGAGATCTTTAAATCATCTCCTGATTTTAAAAAAACTTACTTGTTTCCATTGTTATTTCCCCTTTATGATTTCTTGTTTTGTAAATTTATGCTTAATCATTTTCTTCTTGATCAAGTAAGCCAGTGATCTGTCTGGTTTATCGTTTTTTCTGAAATCCAGGGATTTTTTTAATTTCCATAGGTTTTTGGGAAACAGGTGGTGTTTGGTTACATGAATAAGTTCTTTAGGGGTGATTTCTTAGATTTTGGCGCACCCATCATCCGAACAGTACACACTGTACCCAATTTGTAGTCTTTTATCCCTAACTCCCCTCCCACACTTTCCCCCAAGTTCCCAAAGTCCATTGTGTCATTCTTATGCCTTTCCATCCTCATAGCTTAGCTCCCACTTATGAGTGAGAACATACGATGTTTGGTTTTCCATTACTGAGTTACTGCACTTAGAATAATGGTCTCCAGTTCCATCCAGGTTGCTATGAATGCCATTATTTCATTTCTTTTTATACCTGAGTAGTATTCCATAGCATATATATACCACAATTTCTTTATCCACTCATTGATTTATGGGCATTTGGGCTGATTCCATATTTTTGCAATTGCAAATTGTGCTGTGATAAGCATGTATGTGCAAGTGTCTTTTTCATATAATAACTTCTTTTCCTCTGGGTAGATATGCAGTAGTAGGATTGCTGGATCACATGGTAGTTCTACTTTTAGTTCTTTAAGGAATCTCCACACTGTTTTCCATAGTGGTTGTACCACTTTACATTCCCACCAGCAGTGGAGAAGCATTCCCTTTTTACCACATCCACATCACCATCTATTATTTTTTGATTTTTTGATTATGGCCACTCTTGCAGGAGTGAGGTGGTATAGCATTGTGGTTTTGATTTGTATTTCCCTGATCATTAGTGATGTTCAGCATTTTTTCAACTGTTCGTTGGCCATTTGTATATATTCTTTTGAGAATTGTCTATTCATGTCCTCAGCCCACTTTTTGATGGGATTGTTTGTTTTTTCTTGCTGATTTTTTCATTGTAGATTCTGGATATTAGTCCTTTATCAAATGTATAGATTGTGAAGATTTTCTCCCACTCTGTGGATTGTCTGTTCACTCTGCTGATTATTTCTCTTGCTGTGCAGAAGCTTTTTCATTTCATTAAGTCCCATCTATCTTTGTTTTTGTTGTATTTGCATTTGGGTTCTTGCTCATGAAGTCTTTGCCTAAGCAAATGTCTAGAAGGTTTTTTTCCAATGTTATCTTCTAGAATTGGTATGGTTTCAGGTCTTAAATTTAAGTCCTTTATCCATCTTGAGTTGATTTTTGTATAAGCTGAGAGACAAGGATCCAGTTTCATTCTTCTACATGTGGCTTGTCAATTATACCAGCACCATTTGTTGAATAGGGTGTCCTTTCTCCACTTTATGTTTTTTGTTTGCTTTGTTGAAGATCAGTTGGCTGTAAGGACTTGGCTTTATTTCTGGGTTCTCTATTCTGTTCTTTTGGTCTATGTGCCTATTTTTATACTAGTACCATTCTGTTTGGGTGACTATAGCCTTATAGTATAGTTTAAAGTCAGATAATGTGATGCCTCCAGATTTGTTCTTCTTGCTTAGTCTTGCTTTGGCTATGCAAGCTCTTTTTTCATTCCATATAAATTTTAAGACAAAATCCAGTGTTTTGATATACTAATTAGCTCCATTGTATTCTCTTCTTTTTTTTTTTTTTTTTTTTTTTTAAGACAGTCTCGCTGTGTCGCCCAGGCAGGAGTGCA
The DNA here is from genome assembly GCF_000001405.40 of Homo sapiens. Lineage (NCBI taxonomy): Eukaryota > Metazoa > Chordata > Mammalia > Primates > Hominidae > Homo > Homo sapiens. The sequence goes on from NC_000013.11 coordinate 112,405,039, forward strand.
GTGGCGCTATCTCGGCTCACTGCAAGCTCCGCCTCCCGGGTTCACGCCATTCTCCCGCCTCAGCCTCCAGAGCAGCTGGGACTACAGGCATCCGCCAACATGCCCAGCTAATTTTTTGTATTTTTAGTAGAGACGGGGTTTCACCGTGTTAGCCAGGATGTATTTTCTTCTTTACCTCATTAATTTCTGCCTTTGTCACTAATATTACCTTCTTTATTTTCTCTTATAGTTCACTTTCTTGCTCTTTTTCTAGTTTTAGACCTCAGTAATTCTTTTATTTTTTTCCTTTTACCAATAAGTGTTTAGTGCTGTGTTTCTTTAAATGTATTTCACAGATTCTCATGTATAGTGTTTTCATTATTATTTTCCAGAAATTTATCATTTTAGCTTGTATTTCCCTTTTAACCAAAAGTTTTCCAATTCCCAGGTAACAGGGCATTTTGTCTTTGTTTTTCATAATAATTTCTAGTTTTATTGCCCTGTGATCAGAAAGTACTGTTTGTAATAGTTTTACTTTACAAAATTTGCTCATGGTTTCATAAATATATTCAATTTTTGTGAATGTTCCATAAGCACTTGAGAAACAGGTGTATTCTCCAGTGTCAAGATTTAACTGGAATCTGGTGTGTGTTAATAACAACAACCTTTTGATTATGTTGTTTAAGTCTCCTCTTACATTTTACACCTATTCAACCTGTCTTTTGTTAAGAATAGTGTAAAAATTCTCTATTATAAATATTTTTCTGTGTCTCCTTGCATTTTCTGTAGTTTTTGCTTTATGAGTGTGATTCCTGTGTTATTTGGTGCATAGATTTTTATGAATATTATATCTTCGTTGTGAATTCCAACTTTTAGCATCGAAAAGATACTTTCTTTGTCATGTTAATGTTTTGAGGATTGGATATTTCTTTCTCTGCCATAAGGACCACTATCTCTCTGCTTTCATATTAAATAATAAGATATATTTTGTCCATTCTTTATTTTTTAGTTTACCATTTAAACTTTTATTTTTATTCATTTGCTTTTTTCTTCAATTTTTAAAATTGTGCTAAAATACCCACAACATAATTTGCCATGGTAACCATTTTTAACTGTACAGTTCCATGATGTTAAACATATTCATAATGCTGTCTAACCATCACCACCATGTGTCTCCAGAATTATTTCTATCACCCCAAATTGAAACTCTGTACCATTAAGGAATAACTCCCCTTTCTGCCTCCCTCCAGGCTCTGGCAGCCACCATTCTACTTTCTGTTTCTATGAATTTGACTAGTCAGGTGCCTCATATAAGTGGAATCACACGGTATTTGTCCTTCTGTGATTGGTTTATTTCACTTAGCATAATGTCTTCAAGGTTCATCCCTGTCTTAGCATGTGTCAGAATTTTCTCTCTTTTTAAGGCCAAGTAATTTGGAAATTACATATCTGATAGAGATTAATATTGAGAATGTATTTTAAAAACTCCTAAAACCCAACAACAAATAACTCTATCTAAAAATTAGCAAGGGACTTGAATAGAGATTTTTTTCCAAGAAGATATACATGGCCAATAAGTCCATGAAAAGATGTTCATTATCACCAATTATTAGGGAAATATAAATCAACACTACAATGAGATATTACCTCACAATCATTAGGATGGGTAACATTAATGGATGAGTTAAGCCCATTTACATTATGGATGTGACTGATAATTCATCACAACTCTATCAAAATATTATAAAATTATGTGGATTGTGTTACATTCGCTATGTTTCTTCAGGAGATAAATATTCCTTGTTCTTAGGATATCCAGGAATTGAACTCAGCTCTTCACCAAGAGGACCTAATAGACATCTACAGAACTCTCCACCCCAAATCAACAGAATATACATTCTTCTCAGCACCACATCACACTTATTCCAAAATTGACCACATAGTTGGAAGTAAAGCACTCCTCAGCAAATGTAAAAGAATAGAAATTATAACAAACTGTCTCTCAGACCACAGTGCAATCAAACTAGAACTCAGGATTAAGAAACTCACTCAAAACCACTCAACTACATGGAAACTGAATAACCTGCTCCTGAATGACTACTGGGTACATAACAAAATGAAGGCAGAAATAAAGATATTCTTTGAAACCAATGAGAACAAAGACACAACATACCAGAATTTCTGGGACACATTTAAAGCAGTATGTAGAGGGAAATTTATAGCACTAAATGCCCACAAGAGAAAGCAGGAAATATCTAAAATTGACACCCTAACATCACAATGAAAAGAACTAGAGAAGCAAGAGCAAACACATTCAAAAGCTAGCAGAAGGCAAGAAATAACTAAGATCAGAGCAGAACTGAAAGAGATGGAGACACAAAAAACACTTCAAAAAATCAGTGAATCCAGGAGCTGGTTTTTTGAAAAGATCAACAGAATTGATAGACCTCTAGCAAGACTGATAAAGAAGAAAAGAGAGAAGAATCAAACAGACGCAACAAAAAATGGTAAAGGGGATATCACCACCGATACCAAAGAAATACAAACTACCGTCAGAGAATACTCTAAACACCTCTACGCAAATAAACTAGAAAATCTAGAAGAAATGGATAAATTCCTGGACACGTACACCCTCCCAAGACTAAACCAGGAAGAAGTTGAATCCCTGAATACACCAATAACAGGCTCTGAAATTGAGGCAATAATTAATAGCCTACCAAACAAAAAAAGTCCAGGACCAGACGGATTCACAGCCGAATTCTACCAGAGGTACAAGGAGGAGCTGGTACCATTCCTTCTGAAACTATTCCAATCAATAGAAAAAGAGGGAATCCTCCCTAACTCATTTTTATGAGGCCAGCATCATCCTGATACCAAAGGCTGACAGAGACACAACAAAAAAAGGGAATTTTAGACCAATATCCCTGATGAACATTGATGCAAAAATCCTCAATAACACACTGGCAAACCGAATCCAGCAGCACATCAAAAAGCTTATCCACCATGATCAACTGGGCTTTATCCCTGGGATGCAAGGCTGGTTCAAAGTACGCAAATAAATAAACGTAGTCGAGCATATAAACAGAACCAAAGAAAAAACCACATGATTATCTCAATAGATGCAGAAAAGGCCTTCAACAAAATTCAACAGCCTTTCATGCTAAAAACTCTCAATAAATTAGGTATTGATGGGACGTATCTCAAAATAATAAGAACTATTTATGACAAACCCACAGCCAATATCATACTGAATGGGCAAAAACTGGAAGCATTCCCTTTGAAAACTGGCACAAGACAGGGATACCCTCTCTCACCACTCCTATTCAACATAGTGTTGGAAATTCCAGCCAGGGCAATCAGGCAGGAGAAAGAAATAAGGTGTATTTGATTAGGAAAAGAGGAAGTCAAATTGTCCCTGTTTGCAGATGACATGATTGTATATTTAGAAAACCCTATCGTCTCAGCCCAAAATCTCCTTAAGCTGATAAGCAACTTCAGCAAAATCTCAGGATACAAAATCAATGTGCGAAAATCACAAGCATTCTTATACACCAATAACAGACAAACAGAGAGCCAAATCATGAGTGAACTCCCATTCACAATTGCTTCAAAGAGAATAAAATACCTAGGAATCCAACTTACAAGGGATGTGAAGGACCTCTTCAAGGAGAACAACAAACCACTGCTCAACAAAATAGGACACAAACAAATGGAAGAGCATTCCATGCCCATGGATAGGAAGAATAGATATCATGAAAATGGCCATACTGCCCAAGGTAATTTATAGATTCAATGCCACCCCCATCAAGCTACCAATGACTTTTTTCACAGAATTGGAAAAAACTACTTTAAAGTTCATATGGAACCAAAAAAGGGCCTACATTGCCAAGACAATCCTAAGCCAAAAAAACAAAGCTGGAGGCATCATGCTACCTGACTTCAAACTATACTACAAGGCTACAGTAACCAAAACAGCATGATACTGGTACCAAAACAAAGATATAGACCAATGGAACAGAACAGAGCCCTCAGAAATAATACCACACATCTACAACCATCTGATCTTTGACAAACCTGACAAAAACAAGGAATGGGGAAAGGATTCCCTATTTAATAAATGGTGCTGGGAAAACTGACTAGCCATATGTAGAAAGCTGAAACTGGATCCCCTCCTTATACCTTATACAAAAATTAATTCAAGATGGATTAAAGACTTAAATGTTAGACCTAAAATCATAAAAACCCTAGAAGAAAACCTAGGCAATACCATTCAGGACATAGGCATGGGCAAGGACTTCAGGTCTAAAACACCAAAAGCAATGGCAACAAAAGCCAAAATTGACAAATGGGATCTAATTAAACTAAAGAGCTTCTGCACAGCAAAAGAAACTACCATCAGAATGAACAGGCAACCTGCAGAATGGGAGAAAATTTTTGCAATCTACTCATCTGACAAAGGGCTAATATCCAGAATCTACAAAGAACTCAAACAAATTTACAAGAAAAAAACAAACAACCCCATCAAAAAGTGGGTGAAGGATATGAACAGACACTTCTCAAAAGAAGACATTTATGCAGCCAACAAAAACATGAAAAAATGCTCATCATCACTGGCCATCAGAGAAATGCAAATCAAAACCACAATAAGATACCATCTCACACCAGTTAGAATAGTGATCATTAAAAAGTAAGGAAACAACAGGTGCTGGAGAGGATGTGGAGAAATAGGAACACTTTTACACTGTTGTTGGGACTGTAAACTAGTTCAACCATTGTGGAAGTCAGTGTGGCGATTCCTCAAGGAAGTAGAACTAGAAATACCATTTGACCCAGCCATCCCATTAGTGGGTATATACCCAAAGGATTGTAAATCATGCTGCTATAAAGATGCATGCACACGTATGTTTATTGTGGCACTATTCACAATAGCAAAGACTTGGAACCAACCCAAATGTCCATCAATGATAGACTGGATTAAGAAAATGTGGCACATATACACCATGGAATACTATGCAGCCATAAAAAAGGATGAGTTCATGTCCTTTGTAGGGACATGGATGAAACTGGAAACCATCATTCTCATCAAACTATCGCAAGGACAAAAAACCAAACACCACATGTTCTCACTCATAGGTGGGAATTGAACAATGAGAACACTTGGACACAGGAAGGGAAATATCAGATGCTGGGGCCTGTGATGGGGTGCGGGGATGGGGGAGGGATAGCATTAGGAGATATACCTAATGTAAATGATGAGTTAATGGGTGCAGCACACCAACATGATGCATGTGTACATATGTAACAAACCTGCATATTGTGCACATGTACCCTAGAACTTAAAGTACAATTAAAAAAATATATATATATATTCCTTGTTGTTTAAATTATAAAAGTTGTTTGTTGTTGGGTTTTAGGAGTTTTTATATATTCTGAATATTAATCTCTAATCAGATATATAATTTGCAAATTACTTGGCCTTAAAAAGAAATAAAATTCTGACACATAGTAAAACAGTGATGACCCTTGCAGATATTATGCTAAGTGAAATAAATCAATCACAGAAGGACAAATACTGTGTGATTCCACTTATATGACGCACCTGAGTAGTCCAATTCAGACTATTAAAAAAATAGTGAGTACTGGGGAGGATGTAGAGAAATTGGAATTCTTGTGCACTGTTGATGGGAATGTAAAATGGTGCAGCCACTGCAGAAGACAGTATGGTGGTGCCTCAAAAAATAAAAAATAGAATTACTGTATGACCCAGCAATTACACTTCTGGGTATACACCCAAAATAACTGAAAGCAGGGTTTTGAAGAGGCATTTATACCCCTGTGTTCATAGCATTATTCACAATAGCAAAAACATAGAAGCAATCCAGTGTCCACTGACGAATACATGGATAAGCAAAATGTTGTCCGTCCATTTCTTTATTTTTAACCACTCAACATCACTTAAGTATACAGCATATACTTGGATCTTACTTTCTCAGGAAAACTGAAAAAAATAATTAATGGATGAGTTAAGCTCATTTACATTATCAATGTGACTGGTAATTCATCACAACCCTGTCAAAATATCATAAAATTATGTAGATTGTGTTACATTTGCTATGTTTTTTTTAGGAAGTAAATATTCCTGTTCTTTAAATTATAAAAAAAAAAATTGGGGTATTTAAGAAAGTTTATATTTTTGTTCTACTAAACACCTTTGTACTTACAACTTTTTAAATGTCCCTAATTCCCTTTTTTTCTTATTACACCACTTACTATCTGGTTTTTCAGTTTTTAATTCATATATAATAGTTGCACATATTTACAGGACACATTTAACATTTTGCTATATGCATACAATGTGTAATGATCAAATCTGGGTAACTGAGATGTCCACCACCTCAATCATTTATCATTTCTTTGGGTTGAGAACATTCCACATCTTCTCTTCTAGTACTTTTGAAATATACAATAACATATTGTTAACTGTAATCACCCTACCGTGCTGCCAAATGCTAGAACTTATTCCTTCTATCTAACTGTATTTTTGTTCCCATTAACCAATCTCTCTCTATTTCCTTCTCCCCTTTTACCTTCCCAGCCTCTGGTAACCACCATTGCACTCTCTACCTCCATGAGATCATTTTTTTTAGCTCCAACATATGAGTGAGAGCATGTGATATTAGGCTCTCTGTGCCTTTCACTTGACCTAATGTCCTTCAGTTCCACCTGTGTTGCTGCAATTGACAGGATTTTGGTTTTTTATGACTGAATAGTATTCCATTAGTATTCCATGTGTATGTGTGCCATATTTTCTTTATTCGTTTATCCACTGATGGACACTTACGTTGATACCACGTTTGGTCTATTGTAAATAGAACTGCAATGGCCATGGGAGTGTAGAGATTTCTTTGATGTACTGATTTGCTTTCTTTTAGACATATACCCATCACATCAGTGGGCTTCCTAGATCATATGGTAGTTCTGTTTTTAGTTGTTGTTTGAGGAACCTCTATACTGTTTTCCATAGTGGCTGAACTAGTTTACACTCCCACCAACAATGTACAAGGATTCCCCCTTTTTCCCCATCCTTGCCAGCATCTGACATTTCCTGTGTTTTTGAAAAGTTATTTTAACTGGGATGAGATGATATCTCATTGTGGTTTTGATTTGCATTTCCCTGGTGATTAATGCTTTTCACATACCTGTTGGCCACTTGTATGGCTTCTTTTGAGAATGTCAGTTCAGATCTTTTGCCCATTTTTAAATTAGTTTTTTTGTTTTTTGTTTTTTGTTTTGCTACAGAGTTGTTTGAGTTCCTTATATATTCTGATATTCTGGTAATTGATTTCTTGTCAGATGGATAGTTTGCAAATATTTTCTCCCATTCTTTGTCTCTTCACCTTATTGATTGTTTCATTAGTTGTGTAGGAGCTTTTTAGCTTGATATAATCCTAATTGTCTATTTTTGCTTTTGTTGCCTGTGCTTTTAAGGTCTTACTCAAAAAATATTTGCCCAGACAGATGTTCTAAAGTGTTTTTCTAATGTTTACTTCTAATGTTTTCATAGTTTCAGGTCTTACATTTAAGTCTTTAACCCATTTTGAGTTGATTTTTGTATATGGGTGAGAGATAGGGGTCAAGTTTCATTCTTCTGCATATGAATGTCCAGTTTTCCCAGAACCATTTATAAAGGAGACTATCCTTTTTCAAATGTATGTTCTTAGTGCCTTTGTTGAAAATGAATTGGCTGTAAATGCATAGATTTATTTCTAGATTCCCTATTCTGTCTCCTTGGTCTATGTGTTGGTTTTCAGTGTATTTATTACAGATTTTTGCTTTGTGGTTACCAGGAAACCTAAAAAACACATCCTATAACAAGTTATTTTAAACTGATAACAAATTAACTTTGATCACAAAGAAAAGAAAATAAACAAGCAAAGAACAAACTAAAAATCCCTACACTTTAACTCATTTCCTCCTGCATTTTCACGTTTTGTTGCCTCAATTTGTCTTTTTATATTGCCTATCTCTTTAAAATTATTATTTTTTAATAGATTTGCCTTTTCATCTTTATACTAAAGATATGAGTGGTTTGCACACCACAATTGCAGTGTTAGAGTGCTCTGAATTTTCCTGTCTGCTGACTTTTACCATTGAGTTTCATACCTTCAGATAATTGCTTGTTGCACATTAGCACCCTTTTCTTTCAGATTGAAGACTTCTTTTCAGCCTTTCTTGTAAGACAGGTCTGGTGGATGTGAATTCTCTCGGCTTTTGTTTGTCTGGGAAAGTATTTCTTTTTCAGGTTTGAAGGATAGCTTTGCTGAGTAGAGCATTCTTGGTTGGAAGAGTTGTTTTTTTTTTTCCTTTAGCACTTTAAATATGTCATCCAACTCCCTCCTGGCCTATAAAGTTTCCACTGAGAAGTCTGCTGCCAGATGTATCAGAGCTTCTTTAGATATTATTTGATTATTTTATCTTGCTTCTTTTATAATCCTTTCTTTGTCCTTTACATTTGAGAGCTTGATTATTCGATAAATTGGGGTAGTTTTACTTGGGTTGAATATTCCTGGTGATCTTTGATCTTCTTGTACCTCAGTATTCCTATATTTCTCTAGGTTTGGAAAGGTCTCTGTAATTACTTCTTTGAATAAACTTTCTACTCCTATATTTTTCTCTACTCCTTAAGGCCATGACTCCATAGATTTGCCCTTTCTTGATTTCATAAGTGTTCTGCATTGCTTTTTATTTTCCCCTCTGACTGTATATTTTTAAATGGCCTAAGTATTAGTCCCTTTTGTGTTGCCATAATGGGATACCTGAGGCTGGGTAATTTATAAAGAAAAGAGGTTTATTTGGCTCACAGTTATGCAGGCTGTACAGGAAGCATGGTGCCAGCATCTGCCTCTGGTTGGGGCCTCAGGGAACTTTTCCTCATGGCAGAAGGCAAGGGGAACCAGTGTGTTGTGTGATCAGAGAGGGAGCAAGAGGGAGTGATGGGAGGAGTTCCATGCTCTTGAACAACCAGCTCCTGTGTGAACCAAAAGATCAAGAACTCATTACTGAGGGGAAGGCACCAAGCTGTTTATGAGGGATCCACCCTCATGACCCAAACACCTCCCAGAAGGCCCCACGTCCAACACTGGGGATCACATTTCAACATGAGATTTGGAAGGGACAAACATTCAAACTATATCAGCCTGTATTCAAGCCTGATTCTCCTGCCTGATCAATTCTGCTGTTGAGACACTCTGATTAATTTTTCAGTTTTTAATTATGTTTTTCAGCCCCAGGATTTATTATTGTTATTATTGTTATTATTTCAATCTTTCATTAAATTAATCTGATAAGTTTCTGAATGGCTTTTCTGTGTCTTTTTTTTTTTTTTTTTTTTTTTTTTTTTTTTTTTTTTTTGAGATGTGGTCTCATTCTGTCACTCAGGCTGTAGTGCAATGGCGTGATCTCAGCTCACTGCAACCTCTGCCTCCCAGATTCAAGCAGTTCTCCTGCCTCAGCCTCCCAAGTATCTGGGATTACAGGCACATGCCACCATGCCCAGATAATTTTTGTATTTTTAGTGGAAATGGGGTTTCACCATGTTGGCCAGGCTGGTCTCGAACTCCTGACGTCAAGTGATCTGCCCGTTCTTGGCTTCCCAAAGTGCTGGGATTACAGGTGTGAGCCACCGTGCCCAACCTTTTCTGTGTCTTATTGAAGTTTTCCTCAAAATAGCTATATTTTTGTAGAATTCTCAGTCTTAAAGTCACACATCTTCGTATCTCTAGGGTTGGCTAATGGTGCCTTATTTCATCTATTTGACGGAGTCATATTTTTCTGAATGTTCTTAATGCTTCTGAATGTTCACTGGTGCCTGGGCATTGAAAGTTAGATATTTATTCCAGTCATCACATGGGCTTTGTTTCTACCCATCCTTCAGAGGACCTTTCATTGATTCAAAGGAGACTGACTGACTGTTGAGTTCCCTAAGCCTGTGGTCACTGCAGCCACTTTTGCACTACAGAGCATCCTAAGTCCAGTTACACTGCAAATCTCTTGCAACCTCCTAGATACCCAGCTCTGATGCAGTTGGGGAAAATCAGGGAGAATCCTCTGGGCTCCCAAAGTCCCTCACTCACTTCCCTCTGTTTCCCCATAGCAGACGGAATCTCTCTCCACACTGAGCTGCCTGGAGTTGGAAGAGGAGTGATACCGGCACTCTCATGGCCGCCACAGCTGGCACCAATGCTGGGTCTCACCCAAAGTCCCACAGCTGCCCAGACAAGCACAGTACCAGAGCTCATCCAAGGTCTGCAGCTGCTACTGCCTAACTGCCATTGATGTTTATTCGAGGCTCACGGTCACTTTAGTCAGCCAGTGGTGAAGCCAGCCAGGACTCAGGACCATCATACCAAGCTGGTATTATGGTCTTCCAGCCTGGGGTCGGCCTAGAAATGTTGTCTGGAAGTAATAGCCTGGAATCAGGAGCTTCAGGGTTCTTCCCAGTGTGGTTTTGCTGTGGCAGGGTTTGTGCTAGGTTCCAATGCAAAGGCCCCTGTACTCTTTTCTCTCCTTCTCCCCAGAAGGAGTCTCACTCTAAGCTACAGTGCCTGGAGTTGAGAGAGTTGTGATGTGGGCACTTCTATGGCCCCTGCATCTGGTGTTAAATTGGGTTGCATCCCAAGCCTTCTGCCTCCCAGACCAGTGCAGCACCACAGGGTTCACCCAAGGACTGTGGTCACTATAGCCCTGCTGACACTGAAATTTATTTGGGACCTATGGCCACTTTAGGTAATCAGCAGTGAAGCAGGGCAGGACTCAGGTTCATCCTGCAGGGCAGCGATTCTCCTCTGGCCTGGGGTGGGTCTAAATGCTCCCTCTGTGGGCACTGGCCTGGAATCAAGGACCACGGAATTCTGCCAGGTGCTGTGTTCCACTGTGGTGAGGCCAGCATTGAGCTCCAATGCAAGGTCCCACACTCACTTCCCTCCCTCTCTGAAGCACACAGATTCTCTCTCTGCACTGTGCTGCTTGGTGTTGGGGCAGGGTGGTGTAGGCAATACTACACTGTCCTTCCTACCTTCTTCAATGTGTCTTTTCCTGTTATTATGCTAAAACTAGGTACTATGATCACTCATCTGATTTTCCAGTTCTTGTGAAGGTGACTTCTTGAATGCATAGTTGTTCAATTTTATGTTCCTACAGGGGTCAATCACTGGAGGGTAATATTTAGCTATCTTGCTCCACTTTCTGGATTGTCAGTTGTTGTTGTTGTTGTTTGTTGTTGTTGTTGTTGTTACAGACTGTCACTGTCACCTGGGCTGGAGTGCAGTGGCATGATCTCAGCTTACTGCAACCTATACCTCCTGGGTTCAGGAGATTCCCCTGCCTCAGCCTCCCAAGTAGCTGGGATTATAGGCACCTGCCACCATGCCTGGCTAATTTTTGTGTTTTTAGTAGAGAATGGGTTTCACCATGTTGGCCAGGCTGGTCTCAAACTCCTGACATCAAGGGATCCACCCACCTTGGCCTCTCAAAGTGCTGGGATTACAGGTGTGAGCCACCATGCCCAGCCCCTGCTTTGTCAGTTTTTAATGGTGTACTTGAACTATCAATCATTGCCTAATTTCAATTAGGCATCAACATCAATGAGTTTCTATTTTCCTCTTCATCTCCCTTATCACCTCCCATAGTTTAGTTTTATCACCTCTATTTTGTCAATACATATAGCATTTGCATATTAGTTTTCCAGTCTCACCTATGTTTCAGTCATTTACATATATGATTATGAGTTGTGTGTGTGTGTGTGTGTGTGTGTGTGTATCCACCTTCACCATCACTGTTCTTGTTGAAGTTGTCCAGTTATCTTTTGGTTTGATGAAGCTCATCCTGTAGCAGATTACTGAAGAATGTGCTATGGACACACAAATCTTTAGACTCTTGTATGTTTAAGTTGATGTTTGATGCACACTTAGATGGATATAAAATCCTTGATTTATACTTTTTTTTTTCATTAAGTTGATAGAGAACGCTGCTTCATTGTTGCCTTGCTTTTTTGGTTGTTTTATCTTTGAAATCTAATGGTTTTACTGGGATACATCTTGGTATTAGTTTTCCCAGATACAAAATGGATCCTTTCAAAATTAGACTCACCTATTATTTTTCTATAAAGTTATCTTAATTATAACTTCAAATATTCATTCTATTCCATAGTTAATGCTGCTGTTGTTTTCTTCAATTACACCAATTATACAGATGTTATTTCTTCTTTGCCTGCCTGTATTATATTTTCTTATTATTTCCTCATTGATGTTTTTTACTTATTTCTTTATCTCATTACATTTTCTTGTTTTTCTGACTTACTTTTCTACCTTTTATTACATTTCCATTTAAGTTATATCAGTATTGAAAAATACTGATCCTTTAGTGAATATTTTGATTGCTTTGATATAAGAAAAATAAGTGTATCCTCTGATATTTTTGGTTCTTTTTAATCTTACAGGACCATACATGTTCCCCTTTTGCTACTTTTGTCCTTTGTCATTCAATTTCTAAAAGGAGCCTACTCCTTATTTTTTGTCTTTTCTCTTTCCCAGGTGTTATATATTTTGAAGACTGACACATAAAATTCACATGTGCTTTTTAAGTTCTTTCTCTGTAGCCCTTTCTCTGATCTACCCAGGACCCATATTTAGTATTTTCAGTCTTACAGTGGAGTTGCTTATTCTGATAGTGTTTTCAGATCAATATTAGGCTTTTTCTAGCTCACTTTTCTCACTGTTTTATCTCAACCTGCCATTGCTGATCAATAAATGTTGCATGGAGTGAATGTAGGGCAGGAACAGAGATTCTTCACTATAACTTTTAAATTTTTATTATTTATTTTTTACTTACTGTTATTTTGATATTTGAGTATTTTATAGTTAGGTTATGCCTGAGTGTATAGTTTTGTGTAATCTTATTTTTCTTTCCTGTTTTTCTGTGTCATTTTTTGAGGAAATATTGGGAGACACAGGCCTAGGCAGCTGCCATAGTCCTTAGTCACATGGAAATCAAATCAAAGGACTTAGAAGATTCAATTTACTTATTTGTGTTTGCCAACGTTGAAAACTATATAAGTTGAAAATCTTTAGAAATTCTAGATAAAATATAATAAACATTTTTAAATGTCTATTATGATCTGCAGCAAAGTAAAGGAAATCTTCAGGGCTAGAAAACCAAGAGAGAATTAAAATCCAGAGCAGTAAGTTACAGATCTAATTGCAGAACAATCCTCAACTGTAATTTTCCCTTATGAAACATAGAAATTTGGCTGTTAGAGTTTATTTTCAGAAGATGAGGCCTAGGGAAGAAAAGTGTTGCAAATGAAATCCCTGAATAATGCTACGACTGCTAACAAGACTACACCCTCAGTAAAAGGATAGTGTAGATAAAAAACCATCTACCAGCACAGGAAAATGGAAATATGTCTGTGTAAGCCTGTACCACATGGGGACTTCAAGTTCTGTGTATTCTGGAATAGCTAATCTGTGAAACCAGCATGATAGGAAGTCTCATCTGGTGACACTTTGGGTCAGAGGGCACTTGGCAGAAGCAAATACAAACTTGATGTAAAGAATGATTCCCTTAATTTGGGCTACACAGGATTTTCACAGACAATAGCTCTGCCAAAGGTGAGCTTATAATTCAAAACACAAACTTATGGGAAGCAATATGCCATGGATAATAAGCAGCAGGCAAAATAATAGCATTACTAGACTTCAAGAATTTCAGATAATTGAACAATCTGATAGAGCATTTGACATAAGTACGTTTCAGGTTCTCTACCTCCACTTAGAATGCTGTAAAAAAAATGTTACTGTCTAGCCAGGTGCAGTGGTGGGTGCCTGTAATTCCAGCTACTTGGGAGGCTGAGGCAGGAGAATCACTTGAACCCAGGAGGCAGAGGTTGCAGTGAACTGAGATCATGCACTGCACTCCAGCCTGGGAGACAAGAGTGAGACTCCATTTAAAAAAAAAAACAAAAAACAATGCTACGCTACTCTCACCCTAATAATAAAAAGTGGGATCATCTACAAAACCATGGCTTTCCTTGAGCCCATAAGAACATTCCAGTAGCAGGGTAAAGTAGGCAGAATTCAAAAAAGAGGCAAGCCTACCAAACAGAGCTGGAACACATGAGCTTTCTCATTTTTGGCCAAGCAGGAGGAAAACAGGTCACCACCATACAAGTGGGTAAGAAGTAACCACTGAATTTTTTAATAGCCAAGTGTGGGATATAATATGCATTTGAAAAATCCAGAGGCCCCAGGCACAAGGGGGCTTGCACTCACAAGGTCTTCTCCATAGGTCTCTGTAAGATGCTCACAGGAAGGACTGGGGCACAGCAGGGCCACAGAGGCATGTAGGGAATGATCACCCACAGCTGGGGACAGACAGGTGACCCCTCCCACTTTCTCAGTAGCTCTGAAGCTATAAAAGCCTCTTGCGGAGGGGCAGCAAAGCCTCTTATTCCCAAAGCACAAGCAAAGATCTATGACTTCTGGGGATAGGAGTAAAAGCAAAACTTTTCTGCCTCTAGAAGAAAGATGTTAAACTACCTTGGGGCCAGGATCCTTCACCATTACTAACAGAGAGCTGTTACCACAGGAAGAGACAAGAAATACCACCCAAGACCAACCACTGTAAAAGGCAAAGTTTGGCTACTGAGAGAAGTGACATGGGTGCTGATCAAACAACACAGATTGCCTGAGAGTGAGGCTGGATAAGGACAAGTGAGAAATCCCCTGCCCATCACAGGCCTAGCAGGGAGTAACCAGTGAAGGGAGTATATCCCCTGAGGGAAGGGAAGAACTGAGAAAGAAACCCGCTCTGCCGTGCAGGTGTTCAGGGAAGGCTGAAGGCTAAAGGGAAATAGAAACACTACGAAAGTCTCTGGCCCCCTAGCTCATACTGTGAACACAAGGCAACAGCAGCACACTTCTGGAGGACTTTGATTCTTCGGTGCATTGAAGATGTCAATAGCCACAACTGATTCCAAGCCAGACCTACCTCTGACAAAACTGGCTCAACCCCCATGCTAATGGCATGACGAAAGAAGAGGTGTGCCCATTTTAAGGCATAATACAGTTTACGTCAATCTCTACTGTGCTTCATACATGATGTCTGACATTCAATAAAAAATTACAATACACAAAAGGAAGCAAGAAAAATACCCATTATAAAGTAATAAACAACAGAACCAGACACAGAGATGTCCCAGATGTTGGAACTATCAGACAATGATAACTATGATTACTATGTTAAATAATCTAGTGGAAAATATGTATTAAAAGATGAGGAATTTCAGGAGAGATATGGAAATTATAAGAAGAGTCAAATGGAAATACTAGAAATAAAATACATAATTTCTTAAATTAAGAATTTCTTCCAAGAGCTCATCAGTAGACAGTGCACAGCTAGGAAACAAAGTTAGCTATCTTGAAAATAGGTCAATAGAAATAAAAACTGAAACATAAAGGGAAAAAAAAGAATGAAAAAACACCATATTACCAAAGAGTTATGGGTAAATACCTCATTTCCTCACATACATATCATTGAAATCACAGAAAGATAAAGAGACGAGAGAGAGCAATATAGAGGGAGAAATCATGGCTGAAAATGCCCAAAAGTAATAAAAGTTATCAAACTACCGATCCAAGTATCTCAGAGAACACCAAGCAGGATACGTTTAAACACAGAGACACACACACACTGTAGGCATATCATATTTAAGTTGAAATTTTAAAAAGAGGGTATATTGAAGGCAGCTAGAAGGGAGAAAAGAAACACTTTACATAGAAAAAAACCAAGATAGGAATTACAGCAAACTTCATATCAGAAACTATATAATCTAGAGGACAGTGGAATGACATCTTTAAATGACTGAAAGAAAAAATTGCCATCCCAGAATTCTATTCTCAGAGAAAATATCTTTTACATATGAAGACAAAAATAAGGATTATTTCAGACAAAGATAACACATCGTTAGCAGATCTGCAAAGTTAGAAATGTTAAATGGCATTCTCCAGGCCAAAATGTGGATTGTACAAAGAAATAAAAAGTACCAGAAATAGTAAAAATGAAGTAAATATGAAAGACATTTTGGTACTGTTAGTTGAGATCACTTGAAATACAATTGAATCTCCAAAGGGAAAAGAAAGAAAGAAACATGCAAAAAAAAAAAAAAAAAAGTATGTCAACAAAGCAAAAAGGAGGGCAACTGGAGGTATGCCATTTAAAGGTTCTCACACTTTACATGAGGTGATAAATTACTATTTAAAGTTAGACTGCAATAAGTTAGAGATACATATTTGTAAAGCCTAGATCCAACACTAAAAATATTTAAGGTGTGAATAACAAATCAATAGAGGAAGTAAAATGAATATTTAAAAATACCCAATTAATTCAAAGAAGACAAGGGGAAAAAGAAATAAAGAACAGACAAGGCAAATAGAAAACAGCTAGCAAGTTGGCAGTTTTTAATCCAAAAACATCAATAATTACCTTAAGTCTAAATGTTTTACACCAGGGGTTGTCAAACTATAGGCCAAGGGCCAAATATAAATATAGGAATATAAATCATTCTATTATAAAGACACATGCATGTGTCTGTTCATTGCAGCACTACTCACAATAATAAAGACATGAAATCACCCTAAATGCCAATCATTGAGAGACTGGATAAAGAAAATGTGGTGCATATACACCATGGAATACTATACAGCCATTAAAAAGAATGAAATTATGTCCTTTGCAGGGACATGGATGGAGCTGGAGGCTATAATTTTTAGCAAACTAACACTGGAACAGAAAACCAAATACCGCATGTTCTGACTTATAAGTGGAAGCTAAATGATGAGAACACATGGACACATAGAGGGGAACAAAAGTCACTGGGGCCTACTTGAGAGTGGAGAATGGGAGGAGGGAGAGGATGAGGAAAAATAACTAATAGGGACTAGGCTTAATTGCTGGATGATGAAATAATCTGTACAACAAACCTGGTGACACACTTTAAAACTTGGAGAAAAATAAATGTTTTTCTAGAAAACTTTAGAAAAAAAAGAAGAAAGAAGAAAATTGAAGTGGCTATGTTACTATCAGACAAAGTTGACTTCAAAACAACATTATCAAAGATAAAAGGAAAACTAGATCATTTTAGAAGGGTCAGTTTCTTAGGAAGACACACAATAAACTCAAATATCTATGCACTATCCACCACAGAGCTTCAAAACAAGTATGAAGCCAACCTTGATAGAAATGAAAGTAAAAGCAGACAAATCTATAGTTACATTTGGAAACTTTAGCACTCTTTTTCAGTAATTGATAAAAGAAATAGACAGAATAAGGACATAAAAGGCCAAAACAACATTTTTAGCCAAATTACTCAAATTGACCTTTTATAGAACACAATCCACCCAGCAACAGAAGAATGCATATCTTTACAAATGCTCTTGGAACATTCACCAACATCCACCATCTTTTTGACCACAAAACAAACTTCAACAAGTCTAAAATAATTAAAATCATGCAAAGCATGTTATCTGCACACAACAGAAATAAACCAGAAATCAATAATAGAAAATGATGTGGGGAAATCCTCCAAATATTTGCAAATTATGCAACACACTTCTCAATAACCCAATGCGCAAAGAAGTCACAAGGGAAATTCAAAAATGTTTAACCCTTTTCCCATTTAGAAAAATGAAGTGCGTCTCACTGCCAGTGCTCATTTGCTTTTTACATAAACATGCTCTTTAAGGCAGAAGCAAATCTGACTGATTTTCAGTGTGAAAATAAAATAGAAAAAGTGTTCTTGGAGTTAAGCAGAACTAACATCAGAATTTTCTGAATCATCAGAATTGTCTATTTCAGAAAAATCAGATTCATTGAACAAATCTTTGGCCAGCAACTGTTCAAGAACAATGTTAACATTACATATAGGAATGCTACATTTTCTAGGATTTTACATTTTCAGCAACTGAGAATTACTATATTTTGTAAATAAAAATACCTCTACTAAAAACAGAATGCTATAAATAGAATGATGGCTTTTGTTTCCAAAGTCGATATACTCAAGCGATTCAAAAATTAAAAGTGAGATATTTCATGGTAAAGGTATCTTGGGGTAAATGCTGCTGCCACAAGTACCATTGGCAAGTATTCTCGGGGCAAATGGGAAAGGGTTAATTAAATGAAAAGGAAAACACAACATGTCAAAAGTTGTGGGATGCAACTGAAGCAGTGCTCAAATGGAAATTTATAGCATTAAATGCTTATGCTAAAATAAACATGCTTAAAATTATTCATGGCATAGAAATGGAATTGAGAACAGAAAATATCAAGACACTGTGAAAAACAGGCAAAGTTGTCCAATACCAAAAAAGAACTAGGAGAAACAGAAACAAAAAAGTCATTAAAATTCAAGATGAAGTGATGAGTGGAACAGCAGATCTGTCATAATTGAAAAAAAAGTAAATTGGAAGGTGAACCTGAGGCATAAAGAGCTATAAAACCAGAGACCAGGAAACATAAAAGGTAAGAACCAACATCCCACAGGAGGGAATGGAGAGTGAGCAAGGGGCAGTGTTTGAAGGAATGATTATCAAGGCTATCCCCATATCAGTGAAGAACATAATCCTCAGATTCAGGAATCACAGTATGTTCTAAAGGAAGAGAAATAGAAATGAAATTAGACATATCACTTGTAGAGCTGCAGAACTCCAAAATCCAAGAGACGATCTGGCAATCAACCTGAAACAAGTTAAGATTTCTAAAACAGAACGATTAGACTGTAAACGGTTATTTCCACAGAAAACAATAGAAGTCAAAAGACAGCAAATCATATCTTCAAACGATTTTTTTAAAAGCATGGCTATCAATGTAGAATTCCATACCCAGCTGAAGTATCTGCCAGTGAGAGCAAAATAGACTTTGCTGGAAAAGGCCAAGCGTTTCACATTGAGAGAACTTCGTTTTAAAGAAAACGTCATGAAGCATTTGAGGCAGGAGAAGCAAGATGCAGGAGGCAGGGGTGAACAAAAGCCTGATAAATACGGGGTGAATCCGAACAAGGACCCCCCTGGGTGAAGCGGAGCAGCCCCTACCCGCCCGAAGGCACCGCATGTGACCAGCACTGCTCTTCCCTGTCTCCACCAGCATCTCTGCTGCACTCCAAAGAACCTAGGTGCATCCGTGGTGATGCTGCGTTGGGAGCATGAAGATTCCCCTGTCACTGCCGTCATTTCAATTCTGCGTTTAGCCTTCTCATCACACTGAAGTGGAGCTTCTGCTTCTTCCCCAGTTACGGCTTCCCTGCAGGAGTCTGTGGACTTCAGGATGCGTCAGGAATGAGAGCTGGCCCGGGCCAGGGAGGATCTGGATGATCTACTCGAATGAGCTGTTTCTCTGATGAGAACAGAATGACAGAACTTCACATATAGACAATGGCATTGTGTTGGGGGGCTTGGTGCTTTTCATTAAAAGAAAAATCCATCCTGAAATTCGAACCCTGCTTCCATGGCACAGGGTTAAAGAAATGGAGTCTGAATCTTACAAAGTGCCTCCTCTGGGACCCTCTACTGCCAATTATTGCTTTGCTTCCTCTCACCTCCTCCTCCAGCCTGAGTTATGCCTTTTAATTTTTACCAAAAGCCAAATGGAAGTGTCCAGGCAGCTCCTGATTTAGCTCAGCTCCTAAGATGACAGGAACACAAGAGGCAGGGCCGGTGGCATGGTCTCCTGGGCTGAGAGCTGTCTGTTCATGCTGTCTCAGTACCTGCTGCTCTGGGCTGCAGGTATTTCTCGGTACATCCATATCCCCCCATGGGAACAAGGCTTCCTGAATGAGAGAGTGCACCCTCCATGCCGACCCTAGCACCTTGCCTTGAGTAGGTGTTTGTTGAATGAATGAATGAATGCATAGACACTGAGGAGAATGTGAAACCTTGACCCTTATTTGAGCAGAGGACTGGAGAAGATGCTTCTGTGAGAATGTAAAGGAAAAACCCCTTGGATTCATTAACATGGAGGATCCCACAAAGTCCTAGTGACCTTACCAACAACTCAGATGCAACCTGACAGGACAGCCATGTGCCACAGTGGCGTGGGCGCCCGGATCCAAGGGTGCGCACAGGCTCCCCTGCAGGGTGACATAGGCCAGGAGAACATTGCAATAGAAACAGATGTGAGTCAGAGGGCATGAGTTGAAAAAAAAGTTGAAGAAAAGATGGGGAAAACCATTTCTCCATGTTTACTGATGGCACATGACAAGGATAAATTGTCTGAAACAGAAAAGATGGACCATGAAGCCGATACAACTGGAAGGAAACATGCCTTCTCCCTGGTAGTTAGGAAATGGGATGGCTTCCCCTCAGCTCGGCCCGGCCGCTGGAGCCAAGGTTGGGAGTGCCCTGACTCTGCTCCCAGTTTTCAGGCAGCGCGAGGCCACCCAGGATGGGCCATAAAGTCCATTTATTCGATTGGCACCAACATTTGAAAAAGAAGAACAGAATAAAGACAGAGTGTAAGTATGAAACCGTTTTGTTTTCACCAAGAGTGGAGGCAGAGAGAGAGAAGACAGAGAGAGACAGAGAGAGAGAGACAGGGAGACAAAGAAGATGTGTGAGAGAGAGAGAGAAGCTCTCACAGCGTAACATGATTTTTTTGTGCCCTGGTTGAGAGCTAAAGAAAAGGATGGTGCAGCTCTGGGGGACACATTGTCTCTGCAAATCTCTGAGGTCTGGGAGATGCAAAGCACCCTCTGCCTCCCCACCCTCCATGGCACTGGAGGCTGGGCCCACATCACGGGTCCTAGAGTGGACAGCACCAGAGTTCCATCTGCCAGGTCTGGGATCCCCAGGGAACTGATTTGATTTCAGCATTGTATCCTTAACAAACAGTAGCCCCATGCAGGCACATGTCACTGTGTTCATATGTTTAGTCACTACTGGTTCCCTAGGGCTGCCATACAAAGTACTTAAATGGAAATGTATAGCATTAAATGCTTGTATTGAGTTAATTTGCATATATGGTGTGAGGTTATTGTTGTTTTGGTTTGATTTGTTTTGGTTTGGATTTTTGCATATTCATGTCCAATTGTTCCAACATCATTTGCTAAAAAATTCAACTTTCTCTCTTGAGTTGCCTTAGCATATTTGTCGAAAATCAGTTCATCATATATGTGCAAGTCTGTTTCTGGACTTTTTATTTTGTTTTGTTGATGTAAGACCTGTTCTTCCTCATTGCCCACTTCATTGTCTTGGTTACTGTATGTTGATCACAGGTTTGAATTTTCCAACTTTGTTCTTGATTTTCAAAATCAATCTGGCTATTCTAGTGCCTTTATCTTTCTGTATAAATTTAAGAAACAGCTTATTAATGTCTACAAAAAATTCTGCTAGGATTTTAATTTGGATTGCTACAAATCTATAGATCAATTTGGTAAGATCTGCCATCTTAACAATTTCCAGTCTTCCTACCTATGAGCAACTCCACTTATTTAGATCTTTGCTTTCTTTCACTTTTCGTAGTTTTTAGCATAAAGATCTGGCATATATTTTATTAGGTTTATACATAAGTGTTTAGTAGTTACTGATATTATTATAAATGGCACTTTTTCAAATTCAATATCCAGTTATTCATTTTTAGTATACATAGAAATATTATTGCTTTTGTATATTGACTTTATAACCCATAACCTTACTAAACTCACTCTTTAGTTCCAGTAGCATTTTTGTAGATTCTTTTGGATTTTCTACGTAGAGGATCATATCACCTGGGAATCGTTTGTTCTTCCTTTCCAACATATATGTCTTTTGTTTCTTTTTCTTGCCCTGTATCACTAGTTAGGATCTCCAGTGCAATGTTGAATGTTGAATAGGAGTCATAAGCACAGACATTCTTTCATAAGAGTGAAAGCATTTGGTCATTTGCTAGGAAGGATGATGTTAGCTGCAGGGATTTTTTATACATTCCTTTTGTTGGGTTGAAGAAGTTGCCTTCCATTCCTAGTTTGCTGAGAGTTTTGTTCATAAATGGAGTTTGAATTCTGAGAAAAGTTTTTTCTGAATCTATTCTGAGCATAGCAAATATTTTTTGTACAAAGTCAGACAGTAAATCTTTCAGTCTTTGAGGGCAATGTGGGCTCTGTTCCTCGAGCCTGCCACGGGAACACAAAAGCAACGTGAACAGTGTATGAAAGAATGAGCATGGCTGTGTCCAAGGCAGCTTTATTCACTAAAGCAGGTGCGTCCACAGTTGACCATTAGCCGCAGCTTGCAGCCCTGCATCTGTTGGGATGGTCACTTGGTTTTACTTTATTCTGTTGATGAGGAGAATCACATGTGATTGATTTTTGACCCACTTGGTCATTATATTGTTGGATTTAATTTGCTGAAATTTAATTCAGAATTTTTGCATCTGTATCCCTGGGGGACATTGGTCTGTGGTTTGTTGGGTTTTTAATGCTTTTCTCTAGCTTTGGTTTTAAGGTAATAATGGTTTCATAGAAATGGGTTGGGAAGTAGTCTCTCTTCTTGAATTTTCTAGATACATTCATATGAAATGAATATTATTTCTACCCAAAATGTTTGATAGCATTTATCAGTGAAGACATCTGGGCCTATATTTTCTTTATGGAAGGGTTTTAACTACAATCTTAATTTATTTAATAGATAGAGAGCTATTTTGTGTATTTATTTCTTCTTTAATAAGCTTTGATAATTTGGGTCCTTATGGGAACTTTCTCATTTCACCTAAGTTGGCAAAGTTATTGGCAAAAGTTTTTCACAATAGTTTTTTTTTATTCATTTTCAGTGTCTGCAGGAACTGTAGTGATAGCAATTCTCTAGTAATTTGTATCTTTCTAAAAATCCTATCAGTCTGATTTGAGGTTCATCCATTTTATTGATCTGCTCAGAGAACCAGGTTTTTTGTTTCATTTTCCTCTATTTTGTTTTTAATTATAGTGATTTCTTCTCTTAACATTATTTTCTTTCCTCTGCTTATTGTAAATTTTATTTCCCCTTTTTTCTAACTTTTTGATGTGAATACTTAGATCATGGGTTTGAGACTTCTCATGTTTTCTAATAGAAATGTTTAGTGATTTCCTCTAAGTATCACTTTTATCTCATCCCATAAATTCCAATATGTTGTGTTTTTATTTTCATCCAGTTCAAAATACTTTATCATTCACCTTTTAAATTTCTTCTTTGATCCATAGGTTGTTTAGAAGTGTGCTATTTAGGCTGGGCATGGTGGCTCACACCTGTAATCCCAGCACTTTGGGAGGCCAAGGCAGATGGATTACTTGAGGTCAGGAGTTTGAGACCAGCCTGGCCAAAATGATGAAACCCCATCTCTTCTAAAAATACAAAAATTAGCTGGGCTTGGTGGTGGGCACCAGTAATCCCAGCTACATGGGAGGCTGAGGCAGGAGAATCACTTGACCCCAGGCAGCAGAAGTCACAGTGAGCCAAGATCATGCCACTGCACTCCGGTCTGGGTGACAAAGCGAGACTCTATCTCAAAAAATAAAACAAAAACAAAAACAAAAAAAAGAAGTGTGCTATTTAGTTTCAGATATTTGGAGGTTTTTTCCAGATACCATAATTTTATTGATTTATAATTTAATTTTATTTTGGTGAGAAAATATATGTTATATGGCATGATTATTGTTAAATGAATTTTAAAACTTTAAATATAGCCCAGAATATAGTGTGCTTTAGCAAATATTCCAAGTGTTCCTGAAAAGTATGTGTATTATACTGTTAAGAGGTGGACTGTTCTATAAATGTCAATTAGATCAAGTATGCTAAGTAGACTTGTTCAACTCTTCTATATCCTTATTAAATTTCAATCTACTTGTTCAGTTGATTATGGAGAAAGCACTGTTGAAATCTCAAACCATAATTGTGGATGTGTTCATTACTCCTTTTAGTTCTAGCAGTGTTTCCTTCATGTACTTTGAAGCTCTCTTATTTGGTGAATAAACCTGTAGGATTGTTATGTTTTCTTGGTGAGTTATCCCTGCAACAAGACTCTTGGCCAGGTGCAGTGGCTTGTGCCTGTAATCCTAACACTGGGAGTCTGAGGCAACAGGATCACTTGAGCCCAGGAGTTCAAGACCAGCCTGGGCAACATAGCAAGACCTCATCTCTACAAAAAATAAAATATTGGCTTGGTGTTGTGACACACACTTGTAGTTTCAGCTACTCAGGAGGCTGAGGCAGGAGGATGGCTTTAGCCCAGGAGGTCATGACTGCAGTGAGCCAAGATGGTGCCACTGCACTCCAGCCTGGGTAACAAAGTAAGACCCCATCTCAAAAAAAAAAAAAAGAAAGAAAGAAATGACTCTTTTATTCCTAGTAATATTATTTGCCCCTAAATATACTTTGAGATTTAAGTAACTATTTTACCTTTCTTTTGATTGGTATTAGCATGTCTTATCTTTGTCTATCATTTTACTTTTAACCCATTTGTGTCTTTAGGGGGGTTTCTTATAGACAGCGTATGGTTGGCTCTTGCTTTTTTATCTAATCTGACATTCTATGCTTCTTGAACATATGGTATACAGTTTTATAAAAACATTTTTAATACTTTTGCTTTCTAATTCTACTCTCATGTCATTTCTGGGTCAATTTTGATTAATTTTTCTTCTCATTGTAGATGATATTTTATTGCTTATTCACATACCTGGTCATTTTTGTTTGAATGCCAGACATTGTGAATCTTACTTCATTATGTGTTAGATAGTCTTGTATTTTTAAAACTATTATTGAGCCTGTTCTTTTACCCAGTTAAGTTACTTTAAAGCAGTTTGGTCCTTTTGAGGCTTGCTTTTATGCTATATTAAATGGGACCAAGCAGCATTTATTCTAAGTCTACTATTCCCCACTACTGAAGCAATGTAATTCTGTGTACTCAATTTCCTGTGTATTATGAGGGTTTTTTAAAATGTTTTCTGACAGGAACCCCACTTATTTCTGGCCTGTGTGAGCTCTGGAAATTGTTCTGCCTGTTCAGTTGTGTGGTCCTTTTTCCATCCTTGAGTAGTTTTCTTACAGCCATTCATTGGCCAGTAATCAGCTGAAGGCTCAAGGCATCCCTTGCATCTCTCTCTCTGTGTGTGTGTGTGTGTGTGTGTGTGTGTGTGTGTCTCACTCTGTCCTTTGAACTCTAGCTACTGTGACTTCTCCAAACCCCTCAGTATATTGAGATCACTGGGCTCTGCGTAAGTTCTCACTCCTAATGCTGCCCTGGAAACTCTCCAGGCAGTGCCTGAAGCAAGCATAGGGCTGCATTCAGCTGCTTTCCATCTCTCAGGGGATCACTGCTCTTTGCTGATTATTCTCCGATATATGGGAAAGCACTGTTTCATGTATTTTTTCTTGTTTTTTAATTAAATTGGGAGGATAAATCTAATCCTTGTTACTCCATCCTTTCCAGACATTAAAAATTCAAATACTAGATTTTTACCCATGTGGTTCCATTGAGAATCCTGGAACTGTGAAAAGCTCTGCATTTCAACTCTGGAAGGAAAAGCAAGGACTGGGGTGATGGCCCCTGGGTTCTCCCAGCTCAGCCGCATACAGCCTCAGTGCCCTTAGGAAGGTGCTTTGCCTCACTGGGGCCTCATCTACGCATGAAGACTAAGTATTACCCACGGGTTTCACCAGGTGCCCTATAGTCGAATGAAACCACACATACATAGGGAACGGGGAAATGTTAGCATCATATACTCTTCCCTGGGACTCCCAAGGGCTAGAGATTACAAATAAGCAAACTAAAGATAAAATGTTTTGTATTAAATGATGAATTACATATGTTTCCACAAATAGCTAACCTGAATTATCTGCCAAAATTTTCTAAGGAATCTTCTCTAAAAAAACTCTGTGTGAAATCATTTTGAGTATGAAATTGGCAGTAATCTCTCTGGTGTAGGTTATCCCTGGAAAGATACACAGGAAACTGGGTCACAGTTGTGGCCTCCAGGAGGAAACTGGTAGTGAGGACCAACCACCGGAAACAGCCTGATGTTTCACTGAACATCTTTCCTAAAACTTAAAAATTGTTCAATGGGCTTGTGTCCTTATTAAACATATAAACTGAGCACCTAAGAATAATTTAGATAAATGTTTTTAAAGCATGAAGCAGCCTTTAAGGATGCCTGCAGGCTTTAATGAATGTTTGCAGATCCACGTTCCTCTTAATGTAAAACGGATTAAGAGGAAAATAGATCTGCAACTATCCTCTCTTCCTTGTTGCCAGAAAACCCAACTTCCCCATGTAGTCTGTAACTTCTGGGAGTAAGAAAAGTTTCATGGTTCATAATATCATTCCTGACATACTGACTGTGCCTAAACTTCAGTTTAAGACTTTGGGACCTGGTAAAATCTAAGTATCCCATAGGACATATATAAATTCATGTCATAATTATTCATTTCCTATAACATTAATGTCAACAAGAGACTCATTTACTCAGCAATACCTGCTGAGCCTGCTAGGTGCTCGGCAGATATATGAGGGATTCTTGTTTCCAAGAAATGAGACTGAGGGGTCAGGCCAGTCAACAGTAGTCATTATTCATGCGTTCACAAAATGCAGATGTACCAAACCGTATTTTTAAGGATTCCAGGTTGCACCTGCACGGAGTTTTGGGAGAACTAAAGAGAGGTGGGTCCTCCTGGTGTGCTTTGAGAGTAAGAAAAGTAAATAAAGGAAGAGGATTAGGGTTCTCTGTAGGGTGCCCCCCACTAGGAAATGTGCCTCCCAGGCTGGTGGCTGTTCCAAAGGGAGCCTCCCACCCAACAGCTGCAGAAGCTGGGGCCGGTTTGGGGGGACTTGGAGCCACTCCTGAACTGATTAGCCACTCACACTGCCTGCACCTCTTCCTGAGCAGCGGGGACCACACAGCATAGTCATTGGTAGAAAGGGCTGGCCACGAAGAAAGGTGGGGGAAATTCAGTGTCTGTAAAACCTGTGTCCGGGTCCAAGGACCACGGCTCAAGTGACCATGAGTGTCAGATCCACAGAAGGGAGCCCTGCTCACCACCAGCAGTGGGGAGCCCTTAGGACACAGAGTGGACAGAATACTTCTATGCTAGTGTCTCCTAAGAGTGTAAAGAGAAAACACAGAGAAAGCACAAAGATGTAGGACTCCACGCATTGCTTCGGCACCAAGCCACACTTTCTGGGGCTTGCTGGAGGAAATGTTTTTGATGGCCTCGCCTGAGGCTGTGTCTCGAGAAGCTGCAGCACCTCACCCCGCTTGCTCTGTGCGTGGGTGCTGCTTTGCTCAGCGCTTACGGCTCCCTGAAGTTAAAGGAAAAGTGGAATCATGCCTTAATTATTTACAAAGAGTGATCATTGTACTTATTGTTTTCCCCACAGAAAAGAATTCAAAGAACACTCAGTATGAAAATCTATCCATTCTGGACCAAATCCTTCAAAATATTGGAAGATCTTCAGGTAGATTGGAAATAATAGATAAGTGTCTTCTCATTTGGGGATTCTTTTCCTGCTCAAGGGACAGGTGTGTCTCCGAGCAGCTCCAGGGAGAGCAGGTGAGCCCAGCCCCCAGGTGGACCTACCTGAGCTCCACAGGAGCCCCTGTCCAACCGTTGATGTGTGGAAACCTGACCAGACAAGTCCAATTCAAGGAGTCAAGGCCCGTGTCATTGAAGGAGTGCTCTCCCTTTTCAGCTGAATGGAACAGGGGACTAGTCCCCCTTTTCCCAAGAATAATCAGGACTCACAAGGCTGCCACCACCCACCTACTCAAGGGTCTCAACCACGTGATGACGGGAGCCTGCTCCCCCATGACAGGCCCAGGAAGGGCCCCCACATCCCCTTCAGGAGGCCCCCCACCCTCTCGTGGGGTGGGGACCCCCAGTCCAGCCCTTCTCCACTCCCTGTTCACACAGCTTCACCACTGTCCGCCTGCTAAGAGTTGGCCATGCAGATCCTGTGGCTTCTGTCCCTGGCCCCAGGCTTCTCCTAGGAGCTTTCCAGAACACCTGGGAGCCAGTCCTGGGTGAGGCTGACAGCCCTCTTGTCCTCCCGGTATCCCTGAGTCACATGGCAGCCCAGTGTGCCCAGCCCCTCCCCCCATACCCTGCAGCACTTGCCCGTCCACGCAGCCTGAGACCCTCCATCTGGAGCGCGTCACACCATGAATCCCGAGCTGCTGTCTGTGAACTCCAAAGACTTTGGCAAATGAGCCATTGCCGAGCCACATGGCTGGCTTTTCATAGCCCGAGCACAGAGCCAGACATTGAGACCCTGTCACCTTCACTCACCTCCACTGGTGCTTCCCAAGCACCCACCACGTGCCAGGCACTGTCCTAGGCTCTGGGGTTTCTACATAAAACAGAGAGCCCTGCCTGGGAGCTTACCTGCTAGAGAACAGTTAGGTGGGCCTCCCTGTCCCCTCTTAAAGCATTGGGGTTCTGACTTTTCCATCCAGCCTGTTGGCTGCTGCTCCCAGCCCCTCACTGTCCACAAGCGTGGGAAGCCGGCCAGCTCGTCCTTTGTTAAAATGCCGAAGAGGACGGTCCCGGGAAACGTCGCTGGAGACGACCTCCCTGCTGCATGAGTTGTCATCGAGCACAGGCCAAGAGCTTCTCTGAAGTGGGGCCCCCAGCCCCCCAAGTTCAGACTTTGCCAGGCCAGTGTCAGTCCCAGGACCACAAAACCCCAGGCCACAAGGTCTGCTCGTGCCCCCAGCAGCAGGGACCAGGCCAACACACGCGGTGTAGAAAGGGCAGTGAGCGGTCGTTCAAGCTACGGCCAATATCCCAGATTGTGCCACTGTCCAGGACAACCTCTGCTGCTTTAGATACAATTTCATGATTGACCTTGTCAAGATTCCAGTTCCCTGGGACCTGACTGTTCTGCAGGGAGAACCACAAATTCTCCTATAACTCTAACAGCAAAAGACAGGGGCCTCTGCACTGATGAAGCTCCTGTACGTCACCAGCACCTCTAGGTGTGGCCGTCGGCAACAGAAGCCCTGGAGGTGACAGTGGGGACTTCCAGAGCCCTGGCAATGTTGGACAGTGAAGAACCAGGAGTCCCCAACCTCCTGGTACTGACATCCCAGGAATGAGATCCACAGCCGGCCGCCATGAGGGGAGGAGGAGGAGGACCAGTCCAGCTCCGCCAGGCTTGGAGTTGTCGATGGGTTTTGAGGGAGAACGCGGGGGAAATGACACTGGACAGGGTGGCCCCGCAGGGAGAGCCAAAGGCAGCCTGACGCAGCCAGTGCCCCCCTCCCGGTCCTCCTGCCCCAGACACATCCGCAGGGCTCTCCCCTCCCTCCACAACTGAGGGCTTGGTTCCTCCTGTCCCCTGGTGTCCCTCGATCCTGCCAGTGCCTCCATCTCCCTCATACCACACACTGCCAGTCTCAAAATCTCCTCTTTCCACACAGGAAACATTTTCCATAAAGAGCAGCAGAGGACCAGCGCACAGAGGAGGAGCCAAGGCAGTCAGTGAGGCCGCAGCCCCAGACCCCCTGCGCAGGAGAGGAGCCTGCTAGAACCCCCACCCACCAGCCTCCGGAACAGGGCACTTGTGTGCACACGCCCACGTTCTCTGAACCATTCCACATAAAGGAAAATCGTTTATTCACACGATCCCAATTGGAGTTGGTTTATTTAAGTGTTAAGCCAAAGGGTATGTGGGATTTGGGGTTTTTTTTAAAAAAAAGAAGAAATCAAGAAGCAAAAAAACATATCAAACCTGGAAATAAGAGCATCAGAATATTCTGTCTACAAATAACATAATCTCAGAGCTCATAAAGAACTCGTCCATGAGGAACAGAGACTACAAAGGCCTGAGAGTCTCTTCCCTACTGCCATGCCTTGCAAAACACACACGCACACATATAACACATGCACACACATAACGCATGCATACAAACACAACACATGCATACACAACATGCATGCACGTACAACACATG
Organism: Homo sapiens; assembly: GCF_000001405.40. Lineage (NCBI taxonomy): Eukaryota > Metazoa > Chordata > Mammalia > Primates > Hominidae > Homo > Homo sapiens. Next base: position 112,435,019 of record NC_000013.11, read on the forward strand.
CACACATACAACACGCATGCACATGCATGTGTGTGCATGCAACACACATGCAACATGCACACACATGCAGCGTACATGCACATCCAACACATGCGCATGCAACATGTGCACACATACAATCCACGTGCATACAATACACGCATACATGCAACACACGTGCAACACGCACACACATACAACACATGGGCACACACGAAGCCTCATTGCATTGGAATGTTTGCCAAGCTTGGGAATGCTGGCTGGGACTGTGTGTTATGGAAGGTGAAGGTTTGCTCCAGGTGGTGTGTGTGACCTACAGCATTACCTGGGGGTAGGGGCTGGGGGTGACCAGGACACATCTTGGGCAACTTTTCTTATCCAAACTGATTCTGACTGTGGAGGGGCTGCAACCTCTGCTGGATTCATTGAGGTGACCCATCTGGAAAGATTTAGGACAAAATATGATTTTCCCATTTCTCTAGAAAGGCAGCCAGGCTTGGAGAAGCTCATGGATCGCGTTTGAGAACAATCCTGGACAGACGACTTCCATGCCCTTTGCACAGTTTAGCAGTGGATTGGTGTCCTTTCCATTAATAACACCATTTTCAAAGGCAGCTGGAAACGGAAGCAGACAATGCCATTGTACTTGTAGCCGCTGGCTGTGCTCTCTTCCTAAGAGATGCAAACGTCCTGTGCCCTCTTTCTATGGTGTCTCCAAGGCAACTGCAGAGGACTGAGGGTTTGGAATCAGAGAATGCTTGTATTGGAATGACCCTTTGAGGCCTTTCATGCAATCCCTCAATTCCAGATGAGGAAACTGAGGCAGCAAGGACACATGACTCACTAGTTACTCAGTAAGTCAGTGGCAAGGCAGGATGCAGTTATTTCTGATGCCCGGTGCTAACCTGTGTCTACTAAACCATGCTGCAGCCTCTCTATGAATACAGGGACAGCTGCGTGTAGTTCTTCTCCTTTCTTTGTACACTTGTAGTTTTTATTTTTCTGTCTTGTGCATGGATCTCACAAAGCATTTTTAGCGAACTCTGTGGTTTATAAGTTGTTTCCATGCACAGTGGCCCACCGAGTCCTCACAGCAAGGCCAGGAGGCAGGCATCGCCTCCACTCCACATGAGTGGGCCTGGGGCTCAGAGGTATTCAGTGGCTCACTCACTGCCACACCGTCACGTGGCCTGTTGCAGCCCTGACACCGTGCCCCAGGCCGGGCCTTTGCTGCTGGATGTTTTAATCGTCAATGGCATCATCGTTTTCCAAGCAGGGTCTTGCAGGGTTTGTCCCCCAGGAAACCTTGGCAGAGCAATGCTGACCCAGAGAAGACAAAACATATAAAGTGTCATTGATTTGACCACTCTCTCTCCTCTGTCCTGACCACATGAGATCCCTGATTACACAGTCTTCAAAAGCTGGAAGTTTGATGTATTAGTTTGATCACATCAAAATATTCCCTCTCTCAGGGATGGCACTGAAAACAGCCACGGGAACACGTTGGGTCTCCAGATTGATGATTGCTGTGCAAGGCTCAAGCACGCCCTGCTTGCTGTATGGGACACACCCTTGCTGTTCCCAGGAGGCTTAAGACAAGAGTCAGGAACTAAGCTGACGAGGAAAATCATCAATGTTAATATTGGCTACCCCAAGGCAAGTGATGAACTGGCTTACAGGGGTGTTAAAGATGTGCCTGTGAGGTAGAAGTGACCCCCACATGTACTAGGATGGGCATTCCAGGAAGAAAGTGTCCCAAAGGTGCCAGGGCAGGGGTGGGTGAGTGTCGGGGGGGCTCTGCCACCGAGGGTGGGAATTGTGGCCAGAGTGGTCCCCTATTATATGTTATGGGTGGGAGAAAATGGTGAAACATATTAATGTATGCTGTATGATTTCAGTTTTTTGAAATTTTTTGAGACTTGATTTAGGGCCAAACATACAGCCAATTTTGGTAAAAATTCCATTTGGAGCTTGGGAGGATGGTGTATTCTGCAGTTTTGGGGGGTGGGATCCCACAGAGTCAATCGGGTCAAGTTTGTTAATTGTGTGGTTAAAATATCTCCTTACTCATTCCTCTTTGGTCATCCAGTATCAAAAGAGGTGTAAAAGATCCCCACTGTGAATGCAAGGCATTTATTTCTTTGGTTCTATTTTGTTTTGTATGTTTCAAAGCTATGTTGCTAGGGTCCTACAGACTAAATTGTCTTTCTGGTGGATTTAAGCCTCTATTGTTATGAAATGTTCCTCTTTATCTGTAGTATTTCTTCTTGCCTTATATTCATTTTGTCTGATATTAACATAGCCACGCTAACTTTCTCTTGGTAAATGTTTGCATGGTATATCATTTTCCATCCTATAATGTTATATTATATATATATATATATATATAGTAATATATAGGAGTACACTTTTAGAAATCCAGTCCTTTTGTCTTTTAATTGGAATATTTCATCCTTTTCCATGAAATATAAGCAGTGCTAGAGCTGGGTTTGTATCTATGAAGCAACTATTTATTTTCTATTTGTCTCACATGCCTCATTTTTTTCTTCTTTCACTTTATTTGGATTAAGCAAGTATTTTTTTAATTCCATTTTCCCCTCTATTAGAACATTATGTATTTTAATATTGTTTTAAAGGTTATATTAGAGACAACAATATATATCCTTGACTTACTATCACCTAAAATTAATACTTTTACCACTTCCTTTTCTCTTCTTTCACTTTATTTAGATTGAGCAAGTTTTTTTTTCATTCAATTTCCCCCTCTATTAGATCATGGATTACGTATTTTTAATATTATTTTAAAGGTTATATTATAGACTACTACAGTATGCATCTTGGACTTCCTATAACCTAAAATTAGCACTTTTACCATTTCCTAATAATGCAAGAATAGAAGAATACTTAACTCCACTTACCATTTTTTGCATTATTTTTGTCACAGATTTTAATTCTACATATATTTTAAATGCTTCAAAATATTATACTTAGTTCTATGCAGTTAATATTTGTTTCAGATTTATCCACATATTTACTCCTTTATTTGTTCTTCATTCTGTTGTGCATTTTTAATGCTTCTGGCTAGCAGTACATTCCTGCCAACTAACTCCTTTTAGTATTTTAGTGTAGCCCTACTGGGAAAATCCTCAGTTTTTATTCGTCTGAAAATATCTTTACCTTCATGTTTTGAAGAATGTTTTCACTAGATGTAGGCTCTAGATTACCAGGTACTTTCTTTTCCATTGTCTTTTGACCTCCATCATTTCTCCTGGGGAATCTACTGTCACTCTCTGTGTTATTACTGCTCCTTGGACAGTAATGTGTCTTTCTACCTCTAGCTAATGTTAATCATTTCTCTTTGCCTTTTCATTTCAGCATTTTTACAATGATGTTCCTAGCTGTGTTTTCATTGCATTTATCCTGTCTAGGGTTTATGGTGATATTTGAACCCATGGCTTATTTCTTTAGTAAGTTCTGAAAAATTCTGTCTTTTCAAATATTCTGTGCCTTTTTTCTCTCTCTCTTCTCTCCTCCAATTACGCATGTTTGATGTTTGTGCTCTGTCCCACACTTTTCTTATACTCTTTTTATTTTTCATTCTTTGTTCTCTTTTATTTCAATCTGAATATTTTCTCCTGACCTACATCCAGACCACTAAATCTCTCTTTAGCTTTGGATAATCATTTAATCATCATATTAAATTAATATTTTATTTTAATTAATTAAAAATTAAAATAATTAATTAAATTTTAATTACTACGTCTTTTAATCCTGGAATTTCCATTTGGTTCTATGGATTCCACTTATCTGTGATGTTCACCATTGTCTCATCTGTTTTATGGATATATTAATCATAGTTATGCCTAATCTGTATTTGATAACTCCAATATCTGTATTATCCAGAAGTCTGTTTCTATTGCCTGGATTATTGATATGATTGGTACTTTTTGATGGAATGCTGGACATCGTGTGATGAAAAACTAGAAACTCTGAAAGACATCTAGCTCTGGTAGCCAGTTAGAGTGAGGACAGATCATCTTAATTAAGTTGTTTTAATACTAGATTTGTCTTTGTAACACCTGGTCTATTTCTAGTTTTCCTTGTTCCTATGGGAATTCCAATTTAGAGCTCTGAGAATTTACCAGGGCCCTTCAAATGCGACTTTTATTTTTTACACTAGGAGACTGCTTGAAAACTCTTTAGCTCCTCAGCCTCTCTGCTACCACTTTCTGCTGACCTTCTCCCCAGCAGCACAGCTGAGGACTTAGGGAATGCTTTAGGGGGACAAGCAGATTGGCTAGTTGGACTCACTACACTGAACAGGCGTTCTTTCTGGGATCTTAGCACCTGAAGCCCTGGCTGTGTAAGAAGCCCTTAACTCACATTTTTTCTTCCCAGCCCTGGGAGATTACTGAAAGCCTCCTAGCAACTGCTTTCTGCTGTGCTGCTCAACCTGTCTGTGATGCATAAGAATTAGCAAATGCCTCAAGGGGGTGATGAGCTCAGAATATAAAACTCACATCCACAAATTTCCTTCTCTCTTAATCTTGACCACTCAAGTTCTGCCCATTTTGGGAGTTTTTCAATATACACATCTGCATTTTATCCAGGTTTTCCCATTGTTTTCAGTGAGGATGTGGCTGCTACTTATCCCAGAACCACATTTTAGAATCTTTAATCTAGAAACAGAGTTAATCAGCTACATCCTGACATCTACAAGGAAGACAGGATTTTGCCACAAAGAGGAAAAAACAGAGCTTCTGTACTTGGGGTCAGGGAGGGAACAGATCAAAACCACCTCAGAGGAAGGGGTGTGTGTGAGCAGTGGGGAGCACTGCAACATTAGGGAGCTCAGAGATGGCTCCAGAAACTAGAGGTGGCAGCCGTGCCACCTCCTGTGAGTCAGGGCAGGACCAACCAAGAGCCTAACACCAACGGCAACACCCAGCCACTTCCCAAACTCTGTACAGTTTTAGGATTGAATGTTAATTTGTTGCAGACAGACTGAGAGGGCTCTGAGAATTGCATTCTATCACCAATATCATCAATGGCTAAGAGCACGTGCACCAGGAACAACAAGACCAGGGTAATGGAAGAACACAGGTAGCAGGGTCAGGACCAGGGCAAGGCTGGTCCCCAAACCACCTTGACAAAGTGCTTTGCAGAAAGACACTACTCGATACATCCACAGTGAGTGTGTGTGTGTGTGTGTGTGTGTGAGAGAGAGAGAGAGAGAGACAGAGAGAGAGAGAAAGATTTGCTGACTAAGGGCTCTATCAATGAGGAGGAATTGGAACTTCACACTAGAATCAAGTTACACTTGTATGTTATCTGGAACATCTCTTGCACATTTATAGCGTAAGTCACCTATTAGTGAACTACGTATAGTTCCTTCTGCAGTTTGAGTTTCTCAACCAGCTGGTCTGTTGTTAAATTCACAAACCCTCTCTCCCCATCTTGCATCAGGGCCTGGTCACCTCTGGTGATCTGGGGTAAACTGGTGCCTGAACAAGATTGAGAGCCACACCCCAGACTCTTAGATTTCCAAAACATAAACCATGACGAAGTGCTGACCCACGGTGGTGCAGCTGGCCTTTTGCCCAAGATCCTCCCAGTTCCTCACTCTGATTCCAGAGGAGGTTGCCTCTGTCCCTATGTGCCAACAGCTGTGTCCAGATGAACAGATTCCAACCCTGGGTCCTCTGAGAACCACAGTTCAGAGGCCAAGGGACCCAAAGCTTCCCCCAGCCCTGCAGTGACCACAGACAAGCAGCAGGAGAACCTGGAACAGTGCACAGTTGAGACAGTCACTTACAGGGAGCGTCGAGATGCCGTGCTCAGAGACAAATGACTGCAGACAGGGCATCTGCTTGCCCTCCCTGAGATTTTAACTGAATACGTGTCAGGACACCATTCCACCATTCTTTTTTTTTTTTTTTTTTTTTGAGATGGAGTCTTGCTCTGTCACCCAGGCTGGAGTGCAGGGGCACGATCTCGGCTCACTGCAACCTTCGCCTCCCAGGTTAGAGCGATTCTCCTGCCTCAGCCTCCCAGGTAGCTGGGATTACAGGCACGCATCACCACGCCCGGCTGATTTTTGTATTTTTAGTAGAGACCAGGTTTCCCCATGTTGGCCAGGCTGGTCTCAAACTCCTGACCTCAGGTGATCCACCCACCTCGGCCTCCCAAAGTGCTGGGGTTACAGGTGTGAGCCGCCGCGCCTGGCCCCCATTCGTTTATTCACAAAAGCACACGCCCGTCTGCTGTTAAACCAACTCCAGGAGTTTCACCACCTTTCAGAAGATGCTACTTTTGAGTAGTGTCTACACAGCAAGAGCCATAGAGGATCCAGCCACTGTCTGCGGCTTTCCTACAGAGAAGAGGGACGGACCGCCACGACCCCCCCCGTCCCCAACTTGCCTGTGTCTTCACTGCTGAATCAGCTGAGCCCAAGTCCTCGGCGGCTGGAACAGACCCTTCCAAAACCGCGCAGGCCCAAGCCCCACGCCCCAGTGCCAGCGTCCTTGCGTGGCTTTGGCTCCAAGGACTTCTGCTATCGATGTTTGGCGCCCTCCTCACCTTTATTCCAAGTGTGAGTTTCCCTTTTCTGGAGTTTATGCTGTTTGGTGAACTGCGCTTTCTAGACACAGCTCTCCAGAGATGAACCTGATTTCCATTGGAAAGCATGGCCTCTTTCCCCTGAGGACCGTGGGCCAGGAGGCCTCTGCTATTCCTGGTCTCTCTGAAAACAGCCTGTGGTCCTTTTCCTTGGGCATTGGGATGGTTTCTGCTCTGGCATGGTCCTCCGTCTCCTTGTGCCCCAGCCAAAGGAAATGGTCCCAGGCAGTCCCATGGCCTGACGCACCTCTGCCCAAGGAGACGCTGCTCACACGCTGGCTGGACACACCCCATGGGAAACATGCACGTTCAGGCACACTTGAGGTCATCTGTGCCGAGGCCGCTCCCTGCCCGAACCCCCCCACCCGTTGTGCTCTCCACGACTGGCGCCTTTGCTGCTGTGCACAGAAGCCCTACCGTGTGCACTGCCGTAGCACAGCCCAGACCTGCCACTCACAACATGGCAAGGCCAGCACCCCAGCGCCCCACATAACCACCTACAGTGGGCCTCAGGTGTGATGCAGCCACACTGCCGTGCAGGCAGACCCAGCTGGATTTCACAGCTGTGCTTGAGGGCAGAGGTCGGCAAAGATTCTCCATCAAGGGCGGGATGAAAAGCATTTGAGGCTTCACAGGCTCTCTGGTCCCTGTGGCAACTCAACCTCCGGATTATAGCACAAAAGCACTAGAGGCCGGGTGCGGTGGTTCACCTGAGGCCAGGAGTTCAAGACCAGCCTGGCCAACATGGTGAAACCCTGTCTCTATTAAAAATATTTTTTAAAAAAAAATTAGCCAGGCGTGGTGGCGGGAACCTGTAATCCCAGCTACTCGGGAGGCTGAGGCAGGAGAACCACTGGAGCCTGGGAGGCCGAGGTTGCAATGAGCTGAGATCACGCCACTGCACTCCAGCCTGGGTGACAGAGGAAGACTCTATCTCAAAAAAAAAAAAAAAAAGCCAGCAGAGGGGATCCATGAACCACGGGCTTGGCTGTGTCCCAGGAAGCTTTATTTACAAACCTAGGTGGGAGCTGCACCCACGGGAGCTTTCTCAGCAGGAGGAGAAGCCCGCCCTGCAGTCCCTCCCTGCACGGGGACCACGGTGGGCTCCTGAGCACTTCCAGTAGGTGCGACTGCAGAACTGAACTCTTCATTTTATCTGGATGAGTTTAAATGTAAACGATCTGTGTGACTGGTGACTCCCACGCTGCCCCGCGCAGCTCTGGGAGCACAAACCTCAGGACGGGTCTCTGCAGGCCCCACCTCTCCCATGAGCCCCACCTCCACGTGTGCCCGGGGCGGGTCTCCCAGCAGCACCACCTCCTCCACCCCCGAAGCTGCTTCTTAGACCAAAGGCTTGCTCCTTGCAAAAGACTGAACAGCTGCATCGTTTCCTAGGTAAGAGGCTGCATACGAAGCTTTAGAAGGCTAAACGTGGCTGGCCCGGGAAACACTGTGTTAAAAAGATGGGACTTTTTAAGAGGCCACATAGACTTGAAAAATATTTGTAATAAAATGTTTTCCAGCTAAAGATCCCACACGATGTTTTTCAACCCAGAAAGCACTCTTACTCCTTGATCCTGAATCACTGATAGAAGAGCTTTGTAAAAGGTGATTCCGACGGCCCTACCAAGCAGATGGCCGGCAGACAGCCCCGAAACACCAGGAATCCGTCCCCGGGGCTGGGTGGAGCAGGCAGGGCTGGCCGGGAGTGAGCAACCAGGTGCTGCCAATTTCACCCTGGCCACCCCTGTCCCAGGCAACGCAGGCTCCAGGAAGGGAGTTCCAGGGTTCAAGTCTCAAAGTCAGGGGCAAGATCTTTCAGCTCGTGGGGTGGTGGTGAGGGCTGACTTAGACGTCGAAAACAGTAGGTCTGAGGAAGTGAAGGAGGTAGTTAATAATAAGAACAACGGACCCCTCCGCCACTTCTGGGGGCTGACCCAGAGCCACACGTCTCATCCACCCGAAGGCGACGGCACCAGGCAGTGAGGACACACGACCGCCACCCTGTGGTCATCACGCACCCTCCAGCCCCAAGGGCAGCCCCACGCCTGCAGTGGTGAGGGGCTCCAGGAGACAGAAGCTGTGGGACCACCCACACACGCACACACACATCACACAGAGGGGGAGATTTTCAGGAACTGGTCGGGAACCTGAGAGAGTCGACACTGCCGTTCAAGTGCAGAGCTCTCTGCAGGCAGGATTCCCTCTTCTGTGGGGACCCCAGTCTTTTTCTTAAGACGTTCCGCAGAGTGGATGAGGCCCACCCACACCACAGCCAGACGACTTTTCTCAAAGTCCCCTGAATTAACATTAATTTCATAGAAAAAGTTGTTCACAGCCGCGTCCCAGGGGCGTCTGTCCAGATATCTGGGTGCCATGGCCCAGCCAGGTTGACATGAGGATTGACCATCACCTCACCCTCCCATCCTCACCCCGCTAAACACAGGGGGATTGGCGGAGAAGCCAGGATCTGTCAGTGGACAGAGCCCAGGCTGAGCCCAGAAGCTGCAGCGCCTGGGCCGGGACCTCAAGCCCTGTCCTGCACTGCCTCTCTATGGCGGGTCCGGGAATAGCAGCCTCCTTCGTCCGGGAAGTTCAGGCTCAGCTGTGCACACCTGACAGGAGGCCGCAGGGTGGCCGAGAGCCCATCCCAGACCCATGACCCCACAGCAAAGCCCTTCATGCTGCCTTGCCCCACACAGGCCCCCGTGACCTTTCCTCCCCGGCAGATGGGGCCACAGAGGAGACCCCGAAAAGATAGCCCCCCAACAGTCCCCCATTACCAAGGCCCTGTGGCTGCACCAGAGGCCATGAGAGTGGGGGCGGTGGGCAGAGCAGACTGTGAAAGGGCTTGGGAGACATGGGGCTTGGGGGTTTTGGGTGGGGGTAAAGACTGGGGTTTGGGGTCAAGCGGGGGTCTGGGACCGTGCCTCACCACGGGATCTGTGTACACAGCGATGCACCCAGCGTACGCGGGCCCTTCCCTCTGAGCCCTCGGCCCCTCATCTGCAGGATGGGTGAGCCCTGGAGAAGCGGGCAGAAGCAGAGGAGGCAGCGAACGCAGAGCATGTGGCCTGTGACTGAGCCTAGAAAGTCCGCTCGGCAACAGAGGCTGCAATCCAGAAAGCCCCCTCGGTGACAGAGGCTACAATCTAGAAAGCTCGCTCAGCGACAGAGGCTACCACCTAGAAAGCCTGCTCGGCGACAGACACTACAATCTAGACAGCCCATTTGGCGACAGTGGCTACAACCCAGACAGCCCGCTCAGCAACAGTGTCTATGATCTAGAAAGCTCCCTCGGCAACAGCAGCTGTCATCTAGAAAGCCCGCTCAGCGACAGAGGCCACAATCTAGAAAGCCTCCTCAGCGACAGCGGCTGCGACCCAGAAAGCCCTCTCAGTGACAGTGGCTATGATCGCTCGCAACTCTGGCCCCTGGCTCTGTTGGTCAAGCCTGCCACAGCCCGGAAGCCTCTGCAGCCTCCCTGTTGCTGCTGAAAAGGACGCTGGTTGGAGAAGGACCCAAGGAAGCACCGACAGATTGGGACCGGCTCGGGGCTGACTAGCCGGGAGGCTGAGAGGCTGGTGCCCAGGCTGCCCCTTGACCCTGCTGCACCAGCGCCGCCTCTGCGTTTGGTCCTGTCTCAAAGACCGAGGGGAACAACAGAGCAGGGTGGGGGTGAGGAGACTGAGGTGAACAGAGCAGGATGGGGGTGCGGAGACTGAGGTGAACGGGTGAGGAGGACTGAGGTGAACCCACCCTTGCTGGCCATTTCCGTTTCCCCACGAGGCAACATTACTTTTCAATACTGGGTAAAGGCTGTGCGACCACAGAACCACAGATGTCAGACCCCTCCCACTCTGACCAGAAAGCCCCCTTCGAGGAGCCTGAGGCTGCCCTGCCTGCGTCCGCTTCACTCGTGTCCACACTCACAGCTTCCACCCCTTGCACCCCCCATGGAGGGGGCGGCAGGCGGCCGCTCAAGGTCCGCTCCCCGTGCCCTGCCCGCCACGCCCGCCCTCCCTCCCCGGGCTCTCCCCGCCCTGGTCCCGCACAAGCTGAGCCCCTCTGCCTTCACCCTCAGGGAAGCGGGCTCCCTGTTAGGGACTTGGAGCAAGGTCGGCCCCTACTTTCCCGCTGCCCCTCAAGATTTCACAGTGAGAAGCTGGGCTGGGGACCCGCAGGTGTTCACAGAGGCTCACTGTCACTGTCTCAACGCTGGGGTCTGTTCTGTTTAGACTCACCTCGATCCTGTACCTGGACACAGTAGGGTTCATGGTCTTTTGCTGAACTAAGCTGAGCTGGATTCCAGCCCTCCAAGGAGCCTGTGATGGGAGGGGCTGGTCTCTCCCTTGGCGAGGAGTAGGGAGGAGCCAATGGGCACAGAATGGAGACACACCCCACTCAGGTCCAGTGGTCAGAGGTGGGGCAGGGGGCCCAGTGGTCAGAGTGACGAAGGTGCTGTGTCCTGGGGAGGCTCAGCCCCTGCCAGCATCCCACCCCCTCCAGGCAGCAGCTTCCCGGCGTTCCTGGATCCCCTCTTGCCTTTAACTCCCACCTGCACGATCCAGTTCTCCCACACTCCATGCGTGTTCCTACTGAACGCCGACGGGGACAATTGCAGAAAGCCCAGGAGCCTTTAGGTTGGGTTTGCCTGCTCTTTTCTGACACCCAAGGGCTACAATAACATTTGCTTTTGAGGGAAGCTGCCATTTTTAATCAGCTGAACAGTGACCCAGCACAACAGGCTGAGTACTGCAAAGAAAAGTTTAACAGAATAAATGTGGGGACAGGCACAGAGTCCGACAAGAGTGGCCACCATGCAGGAGGCAGGTGTGTCTGGGGCAGATGGGGGAGGCTCCGCAGCGAGCCCAGGAAGCCCAGTCCTCAGCGGTGGATGGGGCTTCCGTGGCCAATACAACCCGTGTGGCTGGATTACAAAGAAGGGTGTCTAGAAGCCGCACTGCCTCTCCCAGGCACCTCTGAGCTGGTCCCAGGAGGGGCTGCTGTGAGTTAAGGAGAACAGCAGTCAGCTGGGACTGAGAGTTACGTCCAACGAGAAACGGGGGAGTCCAGGGTGTTTCTCATGTACTGAGACAGCAAAGGACCCACAGGGTGTGTGTGCACAAGCAACTGCAGCTGCCACGAGGGCCAGGCTTGTTCTGCTGGTCCAAGGAATCCAGTGGCCACAGGAAGACATTTCAGCCCCATGCAGTGCCCAGCACAGGGAGCACCGCCTCTGCAGGGGCCGGGCTCAAGGCCACACCCAAGGCCCATGTCCAGCACTCCCCAATGACCAGCACTCCCCGGACACCCCCAAGGCCCATGGCCAGCACTCCCCAGCCACCCTGCCTCCCCTCCCCGCAGACACACAGCCCCTGGGACCCTACTCCAGCACTCCCCAGCCACCCTGCCTTCCCTCCCCGCAGACACACTGGGCCCCCACTCCAGCCAGTAACTCCACCACAGCCTCCAGGGGCAGGTCAGTCCCGTCTGCCGCCTCCACCCATCCAAACCGCCCTGGTGACCGCGCAGCAGTCTCCATGCCGCAAACCCAGACACGGGCTGCGTTGTTTCCCAAAGTCCAGGGTGGTCGGCAGCCGTAAATGAGCCCAGCCACCCCTTCCCCTGGGATCTACTTCCCCGGTAATCCTCTCCCCTTGAGCACGGACTGAACTCGTGGAATATGGAAACATGATGGAATATTGCTTCCAACCTCAGGCCACAAAACAACTGTGGCTTCCATTTCAGGGCCTCTCATGCTTTCTCTCTCTCTTATGTACTCCAAGGCAGGCAGCTGTCAGGCCATGGCTTCCCTCTGGAAAGCCCAGGTGACAAGGAACCTGGCCACAGTCAGTGGGAGCCCACTGTGGAAGTGGATCCTTCTCCTGCTGAGCCTTCTGATGAGACCTGGGCCTGGCCACAGCTTGCTGTCCTCAGGAGAAGCCCTGGGCAGGAGGTGCCCAGCTACAGGCCCTGGATTCCCGACCCCATAAACTGTGCCATAATGTGTGCTTTAAGCCATTGCATTTGGGATAACTTGTTATTCAAAAGTAGACAAAGGGCCGTAGATCTTCCTGAGCCCATGAAGAAAGCTCACTAATGAGGGCTCACTGAGTCTGGAGCAGCTTGTGTCCTGCCATTCCAGCAGCAGCAACGTGCGCAGGAGGAGGGTGGGGCCCCCGAGGGGCTCTCCTGCTCCCACACCCCTCCCCACTGGACGTGGCTATCCATGGACGCCAGGTGAAAATCCACATCACAGCAGCCTTGAAGGAGACATGCGGCTCCAGGGGGCTGAGGAGCAGGAGTGGGGATGATCAAATCAGATTCGAGAGCATCTCATCGCCCCTAATGGGGCCGCCCTCTCTCCATCCCGGACCCCTGCCTGACCGCCCCCTGGGAGCAGAGTGCTCAGCCACGATGGCCACACCCTAGGAGCAGAGTGCTCAGCCCCGCCCCCGCTGCACTGTGGCCAAGAGTTTGCAGGTGATTTGTAAACAACAGTAAGGTATGAACTAAGAATGTGAACCAGTCAGGGTTTGAGGCAGAGAAGGGAAGCCACTCCAGGTGTCTTCAGCAGGAAAGGAGGTAATGCTGGTGTCTCTGAAAGTGACTGGAAAGTTGAAGCAAGTTCTCACTTGGCTGTGGCTCCCAGAAACTACTTGCAGGACAATGTAAAGCCCACCCATCATGGGGGCCGCCATTCCTGGGGCTGCCATTGACCATGGATTCACCTGAGCCAGCTGGGGACCAGGAGCAGAAGCCGGGAGCCCGCGGGGTCACGGCTGCCATCCGCTGCCATCCAACTGCGTCTGGGGTTTGAAGAACGGACATCACGCAGAAATACTCACATCTCAACAACGGTGCTTTCCAGCAAACATGGCACAATGGCAACAAGATGCGCTCCTCTTCCGCCTGTCTTTTGGATTGCCTTTGGGTGCCTCTCGTTGGTGGACTCTGCCCAGCTGCCAAGCATCTTGGAAATGAGTTGTTTTGTTCTCTGTCTTCTCCAACCACAGGGAGAATGGAAGGAAGGTTGAATAAGCCAACCCCGTGCATGCCCCACAGAATGTAGAATTTAAACAGCTGGACGGCTTCAAGACAGTTCTGCCCATAGCCTGGATGTGCTTCTTCATGATGAAGACGACTTTGGAACTCCAGCCCAGAGACCCCAGGGACGTGGCGGCAACACATGGGCACCATGCTTCCAGGGGCGAGGCCTCTCCCACCACTGGCTTACCCACAGCACAGCTCAGCTGGGTCTGCCAGCTGCCACCGATTCACCACTGGAAGGCAATTCTCTGCGGGTGGCACATTTTCCATACACCCCATGTAGCGAGACACTGGCCTCCCCTTTGTTCAGGCCTACCTGTTCAAGGACGCCTGAAAGCAAATACAGCCCTGGAAGGCAAAGGCAGTGCCTTCCTCTGTGGCAGAAGACTCAGGGGTGCTCTCCTATGACCCTGACTCATGGTGTGTGCGGCAGCACTGGTCCCTTCACGGGGCTGAGTAGACATGGGGTCCTGCGGGTTCACAGCCACTGTCACTGCTGTAACAAGCTGTCCTCCCTCCCTGACCTCAGAGCCCCATATCTCCTCCCAGCACCCATGAAGCTGGGCAGGTTAGGTTACAGGTAGGGTGACATTCCAGAGCTGCCTCAGTCCTCAACACCCCGAAAGGGTCATCTTGAATGACAGGCAGTGGTCACAGCCCGGCATAGAGACCAGGAGAACGACTCTCCCTCTTGACCCAAGTCAGGAGCATCCGGCCGCCCACAGAGAGGGAGACTGGGCTCCTTTCAGGCTCCAGGAGCCCGTCCTGCTCCTGAAGCTCATGGTTCAAACCTTGTTTCCTGCTTTGTAAACACTTAGGAGTCATTGATTTAAAAGTGTCCAGACCCCAAAATGCCACACGTCTTTTTGTTTAACTCATAAAAAAATACTGACTATAAATGAGTCCAGACTCGTGTCTTGATGTTCAAAGCCTCCCACATTCTGTCCCAACCCGCCTTTGCCACCACCAGGGTCTCCTTCAGTACTGGGGGCGTGTCTCATCCTCCCATCTCCACACGTCACTGTTCCTGAGACTGTCTTTCTCGTTCCTTCCACCGGGCCAGCCCCAACCAGGGTAGACCCAGCCTCCGGCCCCTAGGAACCCCTGCTCGGAGCCTCCGTCACATTTTGCAGTGCCGTCACTGTGCACACATCGTCATCGCAACTGCACACACCTCCCAGCTCTCCCAGCGACCGTGCACACTTCATCATCACAACCGCACACACCTCCCAGCTCTCCCAGCCACCGTGCACACTTCATCACAACCGCACACACCTCCCAGCTCTCCCAGCCACCGTGCACACTTCATCATCACAACCGCACACACCTCCCAGCTCTCCCAGCCACCGTGCACACTTCATCATCACAACCGCACACACCTCCCAGCTCTCCCAGCCACCGTGCACACTTCATCATCACAACCGCACACACCTCCCAGCTCTCCCAGCCACCGTGCACACTTCATCATCACAACCGCACACACCTCCCAGCTCTCCCAGCCACCGTGCACACTTCATCATCACAACCGCACACACCTCCCAGCTCTCCCAGCCACCGTGCACGCTTCGTCATTGCAACCGCACACACTTCTCAGCTCTCCCAGCAGCCTCAGGTCCCTCACAGCAGGCTGGGGTTTCTTCATCCTGCACCCCTGCAAGTCCAGGACAGGGGCCCGGATTTGAAGCGTGGATAGTCCTGTGACCTTTGGATAAGTTACTAAATGTTTACAAACCTCAGGGTGTTCAAATGTGTACAAATAAAATTATGAAAATGAAAATGTGTAAATTGAACAATCGATATTTGTTGCTTTGTTGATGAAGGATGGCTGGCTTCCACAAATGCAACCCCAGGCAGTTCTTCAGGAAAGGCGGCCATCTGGAAGGTGCATTCGCCTTTCTGCCGTCTGCAGGCTTGGCCTCTAGCCGGGCGTCCAGCCTGCCTAGCCTTCCACAGCCCTCACTGAACACATCTTCTCCAAAAGTGCAAATCCAACGAGCTTGAGCTAATCACAGTGCTTTAGAGAAGGGACCTGTCTTCTTCCAGCTCCTCAATGGACTTCGATTCTGCTAACAGGAGCCTTGTTTTTGCAAGATAGGTCCAGTCTCGAGCCTTTCCGCTCCACAGGGCTCGGTCCCTGAACGCTGCCCAGGGCCTCCCCACACGGAGATTTCTCTTTCCTTTCACCAACACCAGAAAGATCAACCATAGCAGATTTTTTCATCTGAAAGGATTTTTTTAAAGTAACTATTTAAAAATGGTGTTTCCTTTGGCCATCTGTATTCTAAATGGTGGCTCCTCCCGCCAGAGGCCTCTGTGAGAACTGAACTGTAGACGCAGAGGGGCAGGGAGGAGGTCAAACGCAGTTTCCAGCGCCCGGGGCCGCCTAACTCTGCCTTTCTGCATTAACACTTGACGAGCATATTGACATACTAGGCTTTGCGATCCTCTTTCTATTTTTAAACGCTTGATTTATGCCTTTCAGTTGGATCTTATTCAACTAAAAATGTACTGTGTGTTCAGCTGAAAAAGAGTAAACATTTTCCATGGCTATGGCAATATGTTTGCATAGACCTCAATTACAAAATTAACAGGGCAGATTTGGTTGTCTTTGTTGAGCCGAAGAGATTACAATGAAAACCTCTAATGAAAGGAGACATGAGAAATAAGACCTAAAGACAATACTAAACAAGAACGGCTCGTTTATTCACTAAATTTGATTTACTAGACAGCTGTGTTGCTTCCATTTTAGAATTCAACAAGTAAGAATGTCATTTCTAAATGGCAGCAAAACCCGAAATCCCGGGTTAGAGCCGAGGGTGTGTGGGTCAGGGGGTGGACAGGGATGGGCGGAGGGCGTGGGGAGAGATGGTGACGGCGCGGAGCCTCCCTGGGCCGATTGGCACGATCCGCGCTCCGGAGTCACCTGCGCGCCAGCTGATGACACAGTGTGAATCTCCTCCAAGGTGTGACTCCATGTCCCGGGACTGGCGGAGGCAGAAGGTGGGAGGTGGGGACTGGCTGTGCCCAGCCTGGAGGGAAGAGGTGCTCGGGCCTGGGCTGGCGGGGCTGCCTCAGGGGCTGAGTGACCAGCAGAGCCCTCAGACCTGTGCCACGCTGCCCTGGAACGGGGACAGGTGACCCAAAGCCAGGCACAGAAGGGCGGGTGTCACTTTCTTCCCCTGGCCCGAAAGGCCCCTGCCCGCCTGGAGAGCATCAGGAGGCTGGCAGGGGACTGGTGCCATGGACAGGCCCTGGCTGACGATGGAGGTGGGCACGTCGGCCCACAGAGGCTCTCCTTGGCCTACACTCAGTTGGCTCCTGAGCCCTTTCTAATGAGGCCTGACCTGGGGCTTCCCGCTCTGTCCTCGTGAGGGGGAGCCGCTCCACTGGGTGAAAATACCGGCACATCAGCGTCATGGGAGCCCTGCCGGCCATCAGCCGTGGTCCTATCAAATCTGTCGGAGCCCCTCACCCTGATGCTTCCTGTTCACGGTGTTCCATCCCTGGCCCTTCCTCGTCCACGGTTACACGTCCTGTCCCCTCCCTCCCCATCCTCACGGCGGTAGGAGCTGAGTCCACTCTCCCCATCCCACGGCCCTGCTGCTGCCATCCTGAAACCTATCACCAGGGCCCCCGGAATGGAGCCAGCCTGGCCACCTCCAACACGCGTTTGGTGAGATTTTTTGTTTGTTCTTCAGCGTGATGTACAGAGAAGAGGGTGGGAGGATGTGGCCACAGGGCAGGAAGTGCAGGGTGACACCCAAGGGCTGACAGCTGCCCCCGAGCCCCTAGCCCCTCGCCTGGCCATCCCAGACCACCCCCAGACCCCATGCTGGCCACTGAGAGGCCATGCCTGGCAGGCCAGCAGCCCCCCAGAAACACCATGCAGCTACACACTGGCCGGTGAGGGCCCCACACACAGAGCCGGGAAAGCGAGCACCTGGCTGATGAGGGGCGCACACACGGAGCCGGGAGAGTGAGCGGGCAGGCGCACACTGTGTGCTGGGAAACCAGTGCCTCTCACTGCTCTCCAGTGCTGGGCACACACACTCCTGGCAGCAGACGGAAGGGCGGCTGCCGGGCCCTCAGACCCAGGACGGGCACCACGCTGGAGCTCAGCCATCCCGGCGGTGGCATCACAGAGAGTGGCCCTGCTCTCCCACAGAGTCCTTGCCCGGATGAGGGCTGCCAAGACAGGGCCATCGGGGAAGCTGCTGCCGGTTCATTTGCAGCTTCCTTCCGGAGGCCCAGATGCGGTTCTGCAGAAAAAGAGTGCTTCGGGGGCTCCGGAGCCCACCGCACAGCCCCGGCCACCTTGGAGCCACACTGGCCCCTCCGCTTCAGGTCTCTGGAACACCAAAGGAAGGTGGAGACCGGCCCCCGTCAGGACTAGGAAGCAGGGGGCTTCCCAGAGCCTCCACCGGGCTCGAGGCCAGGCAGGCTTCACCACACCCCGCCACAGCCCACCACACACCCCTGACCCCCAGCAGCGTCCTGACCCCAGGCCGTCAGTCCACATGCAGGCGTCGGGTGCACATCAGTGAGGGAAGGAAGGAACACAAGGCCAATGCCGATCACAAAACTGCCCCGAGAAAACGGAGAGAAGCCCCTCCATTCAGGGAGTTCCATTCC